>NC_000008.11:664570-966855 GCF_000001405.40 Homo sapiens | reverse complement strand
ACAGACACATTTATTTTACAGGCGTGGAAATAAAGCTGGAAGAAGGTTGACCATCCTAACAACAGTCATTTCTAGCGTAGGAAATGTGAGGAGAGGCAGATGCTCACTCTCAGTCCATTTGCTTCTATGTGTTTGAATAAACCCAGATGTAAAAGACTCCACCAGTAGCAAAAACCGTGAAAGAGGATAAAAGATAACACCCATCACATTTTGTTAGAGGGAAAAAGAAGGTTACAAAGCAGTGTGCATAGCATAAACTAATCATTACCAAAAATACTTATTCATCCATTGTCATTTTTTAAAAAGTTTGAAAATTAAAAACTTTTAAAAAAAAGATATGAAAGCATTCTCAAAGACCAAATGGATATATTTAGAGTTACTAACTCAACTACAGAAAAAGATGTTTGATTCACCCTAAAACTTTCCTGCGGAGTTGGTTTGAAATGGAAGCTTCCTCGATACTTATCTTTTTAAATGATATTTTAAAAAATCATCTTAGTCATGATTTATCAGAAACATGTCATCCGTTTTCTCTTTCTGATCAAGTGTTCAAAGTTACATTCATGAAGCTTCACTCATTCATACCCCAACGTGGACAACTGGTAAACACTTCCTGGGAAAACGCTGCCTGGAACAATCGCTGAAACTCAAATTCCTATGGATTCCCACAACTGGCTCCACTGGTCCAGATGTTACAGCTGCGTTTACTGTGCAAGAAACGAGGATGATGCCCCTGCTCTGGTCTCAGCGCGTGACTGACCTCATCAGGGAGTCTGGCGAGAAGCTGTGATCGTCCCTCAAGAATGGCGCTTGTCCTTGGGAGACCACGGGGGTCACGGCAGAGCTGAGAGTCCCCGTCCTCTACACTGGCTCCAGCCCAGGAGAAGGGTACCTGGCTGCTTGCAGACTCATGGTAGCTGTCCTTGCCACCACGCTCCTCCTCAGGCTCAGGAGCCACATGCGGTGGTGAACAGCGCTGTGTGCATGCGGGGGTCGGGCTCTGGAGCCGCGTGTGTGATGAACAGTGCCGTGTACAGCGCAGGGGTCAGACTCAGGAGCCCTGTGTGGTGAACAGTGCCGTGTGCAGCGCAGGGGTCAGACTCAGGAGCCGTGTGAGGTGAACAGTGCCGTGTGCACGCGGGGGTTGGGCTCAGGAGCCGTGTGAGGTGAACAGTGCCGTGTGCAGTGCGGGGTCAGACTCAGGAGCCCTGTGTGGTGAACAGTGCCGTGTGCAGTGCGGGGCCAGACTCAGGAGCCGTGTGAGGTGAACAGTGCCGTGTGCACGCGGGGGTTGGGCTCAGGAGCCCTGTGTGGTGAACAGTGCCGTGTGCAGCGCAGGGGTCAGACTCAGGAGCCCTGTGTGGTGAACAGTGCCGTGTGCAGTGCGGGGTCAGACTCAGGAGCCCTGTGTGGTGAACAGCGCTGTGTGCATGCGGGGGTCGGGCTCTGGAGCCGCGTGTGTGATGAACAGTGCCGTGTACAGCGCAGGGGTCAGACTCAGGAGCCCTGTGTGGTGAACAGTGCCGTGTGCAGCGCAGGGGTCAGACTCAGGAGCCCTGTGTGGTGAACAGTGCCGTGTGCACGCGGGGGTTGGGCTCAGGAGCCGTGTGAGGTGAACAGTGCCGTGTGCAGTGCGGGGTCAGACTCAGGAGCCCTGTGTGGTGAACAGTGCCGTGTGCAGCGCAGGGGTCAGACTCAGGAGCCCTGTGAGGTGAACAGCGCCGTGTGCATGCGGGGGTCGGGCTCTGGAGCCGCGTGTGTGATGAACACTGCCGTGTGCAGTGCGGGGTCAGACTCAGGAGCTCTGTGTGGTGAACAGTGCCATGTGCAGCGCAGGGGTCAGACTCAGGAGCCATGTGAGGTGAACAGTGCCGTGTGCACGCGGGGGTTGGGCTCAGGAGCCGTGTGTGCGGTGGCGACAGTGCCGTGTGAACGTGGAAGTCGGGCTCAGCGAGCGGGAAGGCAGTACCCCCCGGAGCATGGCCACAGGCGGAGCCAAAGGCCATCGCAAGGCCACCAGGATCCGAGCCTGGCAGCGCTGGAAGGGCTTCCAGTAGAATCTGCACAGAGCAGCAAGAAGTGTGGCCCTCGGGGGAGGGTAGGTGGAGGCGGTGCCCACCCTTGAGAGCAAATGTCCAAAGGCCTGGGCCCCTTGGGTGTGGGCAGAAGCCACACTGGGACCCCTGAAGAAGGACCAGGCCTTGGTGAGGAACATTAGGAGGCCGAGGCCCCAGGATGGGACAGACACTTGCCACGCTCTCTGGCTTCCCGCGTGGGGAACACGGCAGATACCAGCAACATTTCCCAAGGACTCTGTTTACGTTTCAAATAAACAGCTGAACCTGGAGATAGGCACAGCATGTTAGAAATAATTGTTCTTGACTTACGATAGGCTTTGAATAAAAGGCTGGGTCCTCTGCGACTCTGCTCTGTGGGAGAATTGTGTGTCTACACAGAAAGGTCTTCAACGCAGGACAGCAAGTGACAACTGCGTCGCAGCAGAGTCCACGACAGTACAGCGCCACCAGGGCTGCGTGCATAAAAACATGCGGGAATAGCCCTCTGTGAAGCACTTTTTCATTACTGGTTTATAAACAGAGAGTCCACCTAGACACAGGACTATCATGCTTCAAATTAAGGTGAATCCCTGAAGACGTCAGATAGGTTCAAAAATTTGGGGTTTAAAAACAGCTTTATGTCTCCCTGAATGTATCACGACATAGAATACAAGGGAAGCATGCATTTTATTTTACATAAGACTTGAATTTGTTTTCTCGTGGGAAGCATAAACTTCCTAAAGTTTTCCATATAGTTTTATCAGTTATCGTTTCCAAATAATGTTTGAGATTATAAAAATATACACATTTGGGTCGACTAAGTTGAATTTTAATAAGTGATCTCTAGAGGATAAAAAAAGAGTCAGTTCTTTCGAACTTCAGGCAATGCTGCAAGCCACCTGGACTTGGCTTTACACTTGTATTAATTGCACAAAAATTTTAAATGTCATCCCGCTGTCAAATTTTTCATGTTAACTGTGATGGTGCTGGGTCTTTTATGTAATGTTTAATGGAATTCCTACTGTTCATAAATGACATTAGGATCTTGAAATAATATTGAGTTAATAAATGAGAAATCTTTGGTTACCCAGACAATATTAAATTAATTAAAATTCACCGAGGCAGAGCAAGAGTAGGTCCTGGGGGTCACCAACCACAGTTTTTACTGTCTCAATTTCCTTTTTGTAAAGTTCCAATTAAGATGATAAAATTAATGTGATTATTCCTTGCTTACGTTGTGTTGAGAGGAATTACATTTAACGCTTACTTTAATAGTCATCCATATGAATATTTTACATACATAAAAGTTATATTAAAATTAATAAGCAAAAATGCATATATGTACCATATACATAGAGAAGACTGGTAATTAAATAAGAAAAGGCAGTAAAAGGTTATTCTTTATCTTTTGTGTAATCTGCCCAGGGAGCTCACATTCCAAAATACGTCCACTCCAAAGCTGCTAACTTTTGTTTCTCCCTCACATCTGAGAGCTGACTTGCCTTACGTAGGGTGCCTTCTGAAATACTCATTTTCAAACACTGTTTCCAAATGGGGTCGTGGGGTGGCGAAGCTACATCCACCTCTGCTCCCTGCAGGCAAGGTCCTATGAGACCAGTGGCCATCTCCTTCCTGGGTGTGGACTCTCCTTCGACACAAGAAGCTCCGAGGGGTGACCGCTGTTGCTGCTTTTCATGCTGATGTCACTGGTGCTTTCCTGGATGGCGCCCGCACCGAAGCCCACACAGTCCCGGATGAGAGGGGCACAGCAGCCAGCATGGCTGTGCGAGGGCTGCCCATTCCCACACTTTTCCCATCAGAGGACCCCGAACCTAAGACCTGCCTCCTGACCATGGGAATGGGCTGCTGCAGTCGGTACCTCAGCATGGAGGGAGGCACGGTCACAAAGCCTGGCATGAAAGCCACCCACAGATGGATCCTACGAAGGCCATCAGGGTTTCCAAGGCTCTTGTCACCTGAGGGCCACAGCAAAGTGTCCTGCGCCTGGGTGCTGAGGGCCATGCTCCCTGCCGTGACCACCCCTGCCGCTACGGCCACCCCTGTGGAGTCATAGCACATCATGTCTCCAGGGAGGGTTCCACTCTGCTCCATCTGATGTCGTTGTTGCCGGGAATACCAAGCGGAGCCTCTCCATTTTGTCACAGGGTTGGTTTCCCACTCCCCTCTCGGAGGGCGGGGGCCTCTGCTGGAGCAGGTGACCTCAAAAGGAGTCTCTGGGAGCACAGGTCAGGCCAGGGCCCATGTGAGCAGCCCCAGGAGGCTCCCTCAAGGCGCCCACCCCAGCATGGACTCCCAGCAGCGCCCCACGGCCACAGTGCAAGGACGGGTCAGCAACTCCTGGACACTGACTCCAAAGGCAAGCGACTTGCACTGGCAGCTGCTGACCCAAGATCAGGCAGAACAAAAGTTAATTATGGAGACCGGATGGCACTGATGAGGGTAATTTAATTGTATTCAGTGTTCTGCTTTCTAGGGCCAGGGGAAGAAGCCCCTCTCCTTACTTCGCCATCTGTTTTTAGCTGTAATTTTACTACTTGAGATGGGAGACCCTTTCACTGGTATCTTGTTCCAACTAATTCCTCAGAATTTGGTAAAAATGTGCTATGGAAAATATAATGCAAATTATAAGAAAATGAGCCATCCAAACACAAGTATGATGACGACTATGATAATTACAATTCAGAGAAATGCTTTTACAAATGCTAAGCTTAGAAATCTCATTAATGATTACACTTAAATTATATTCATTCTAACTACTATAGCCTGAAACCAATCAAATCTCTGTGTGGATGGCCACACTGGTGGCGTCCATGATGACGCTGGAGAAAATAATCCACATATTGATCGGCCTTGCCAGCAAAGCCACTCCACATGGTGATCAAAAGGTCTATGAAGACTTCCCGAGTCCAGTACTCATCATGACAGTTTAGTTACTTTTACAGTTTCAATAAGAACCTGCCCTTATTTCTACCAGAGAAGAAAACAAAAAATTTACACAAACGTATAACTTTAACAATGTCAGAATGTCGGGATAAATTTCTTTCATATCTCCCATAATTTTCACATAGTTATGTTTTAATTAAAAGAAAATAAAAATACTAGTATGTTACTTTGAAAATGTATTAATTCTAATTTCTTAATAATCAGAAATACTTGTGTATAAATTTAAGGAAAATATCATTCAATGAAATGACAGGTCCCACTGTTGCACAGCCAGGACAGCTCCCCCTATATAGAAATGATATTCAGAAAGCCCTCCTTAGAAACAGAACTGGTGTCTACATTTTGGCTTAAGTACACACCTTAAAGAAAGAAAAGAATGTCACTTCTGCAAGCCAGAACCTCGGCAAACAGGGACTTCTAGAAAGAAGCATACACCCTCTGTTACAGGTGAAATATGCAAAATTGTGTGGAGTCAAACTGGACGGTTCTTGGATCCAAGCCTGAAAATAAATGAGCTGATGATGGAACTCATTTTCCTGAGCACACAGTTCTGGAATGACTGAAGGGGTCAAAATAAGACATCAGGAACTTTACAAAGCCACATGATAGAAGTCAGTGGCCTTGATATTGTATGGCCCCAGCTTTCGCAGACCACATATGAAGAAGTATGTACACTAACCAAGACCTTTTAATGCATCTATGTGCACAGATCAGGCAAGCCTAATGGAATATGTACAACGTCTAAGTATCGTTCACAGGCAACATGAGAGAGCCACCACTGAATTGGTGTCAACATGGGGGTCTGTGCAGAATCCCTTCTCCAAATTAGAAAATTGATGAAAAAGAATATCAATGGCAGCACAATTACTTTTTGGAATCATAACTGTATAAATGGCATACAGACAGTTCCAGACTTATGATGGTTCAACTTACAATTTTTGAGTTTAC
Organism: Homo sapiens; assembly: GCF_000001405.40. Taxonomy (NCBI): domain Eukaryota; kingdom Metazoa; phylum Chordata; class Mammalia; order Primates; family Hominidae; genus Homo; species Homo sapiens. The sequence goes on along the minus strand of NC_000008.11, from coordinate 960,886 downwards.
AATCAGTTTATTGGGACATAACCCCATCGTAAGTCAAGAAGCATTTGGACTTATAATGGTTCAACTTATGATGTTTCAACTTTACCATGGGCTTATCAGAGTATTAAATGCATTTCAACTTACAATACTTTCAACTTACAATAGGTTTATCGGGCTATAACTCCATCATAAGTCGAGGAGCATCTGTAAATTAAATGTATGTCCAATTTCCAGTATCTATCAGATAAGTAAATACCAGCTGACTAAACAACAAATTCAATTAACGGTCTTTGTATGAACACAAGTGAGAGTAGCCTTTTATGATAAAGAATAATCATTAGGGAGATTTACGATCACAGAAGATACAATTCAGGGCCGGGAGTGGTGGCCCATGCTTGTAATCCCAGCACTTTGGGAGGCCAAGGCAGACGGATTGCCTGTGGTCAGGAGGAGTTCAAGACCACCCTGGCCAATGTGGTGAAACTCCGTCTCTACTAAAAATACAAACAGCTGGCGTGGTGGTGCCTGCCTGTAATCCCAGCTACTCTGGAGGCTGAGGCACGAGAATCGATTGAAGCCAGGAGGTGGAGGTTGCAGTGAGCCAAGATTGTGCCACTTCACTCCAGCATGGACGACAGCGTGAGAGTGTCTCGGGAAAAAAAAAAAAAAAGATATACTTCAGGAATAATTGCCCAAAACTTGGAAATAAATTTTTAAAGATGACTATATGCACTTCTAACAGCATGTAAGAACCCATATGAGGGGAACTGGGCCATCTTTGGAAACATAACCGTGACTAACAAATTATTAACATTTAAAACCTTTTAAACTTAGAGCCTAACTAGAAAACTTAAGGGTTGAAGATTTTATTACTTTCTAACAGAGAGGATAATCCTCAAACATCAGTTTATTGCCCTGTAGAACAATACTCAGTTTTATACCTAGCATAACTATCTTTTTTCAGTATTCCTTTCCTCACTATGTAAATCCTTTTTGAGACAGCTGTTCACTCAATTTGCCTCATCAATAAGTTAAATAAAACTCATTTTATATGAGCATGAAAATCATTGTTTTTAATGACTTGAGAATGTTTCTTATAAATGAGAATATAGTCATATTCTCTCCTCTTTAGTTTAAAATAAAAGTGAATGTCAGATGGACAAGCTATTTGCCCTTGAGCCAATCAGACCTTGCATCTCTCACAGAGACCTCTCACACCCATGATGAATTAACTCTCACAATGTCACATGACTGGCAACCAGTAACAGTTTCCCAGAAGACCACACTCAAGTTCAATGGAATGAAGAGTGTTGCCCAGTGGACTCACATCCCAGTGAGGAAGCAAGCCTTGTGACGACGGGCACAGAGCTTTCTGTTGCACAAGGCTGCCCTGGACACAGAAGACAGCACCATCTTCAAGCTCTTCAAGACCACATTCTAAGCCAGCATGAGCCAGGGCATTCTCAGAGCTAAGGCTGTGGGAAAATCGTGACTGCAGTGGCGTTTCTCACAGGACAGGGCCGTTTCTCTGAGGGACCCAGCCCTGCCTGGCTCATCCGTGACAGTGGAGCAGACATCAATTATTCTGTCATGTGTGCCACACAAATGCACTTGAGACCTCCTTCCCCAAAACATTAGAGCCACAACACCAGCTGCTGCACTTACACAACTCTTCTTTCCTCTGAAACACTCACTCTTTTACATGTCTTTTGGAGACGTATAAGCAAGTTTATTAAAAAATTAGGAAATATATTTTTATCCAACTACCCTGACACAATACATATTATCACTTTATTACTGTTAGCTTTTAGTCATATGCAAGCACCCTCTACATAGCCATAATTAAAATTATGTGGATATTATCATAGCATGCCCTTCTCACTGAATTTGGATTGTATCCGTGGAAAGACATTTTGTTGCTGCATAATCTTCAGCATCAATGCTTCAAAAGCCCACACACCAAAACATCTAAATTTTCTTTAATAAAATCATATCAAGCCACCTTATGTTCTCATTGCATAGTTTGTATGTATAAGATTTCCGAGCAACTGTCTCCTGTCCCATCATCAAATCTTTTCCTGTAGATCCTGCTCCCATTCTAAGTCTCACAATATGCCCTTTCCATTTCAATACCTTGGTTCAATAGTTGAAGACTTGGTTCAACTAAACTACTGAAACTCTTCTAACCTTTGGTATGCTAGATACAGAAATATGCCCTAAATACAACACAGAAGCACGAGGCTTCCATTTGCATGGCTTGATTTTTCTTGGGTCTTTCCCATCATTAACATCCCCGGGAAAAGTTTTTTTTTTTTTTTTTTTTTTGGAGGTCTAGTTTAATTTCCAATAACTAATGGCATTACAATCACTGGAATGCCTGCAAAACACTATTCCAGAAAGATGTCTGAATGAGCCGCTTCCATCTCTCATCCCCACAGAAACAATGAAAACCAGAATCACCATATGACCCTGCAATTCCACTTGTAGGTCATTCCCGAGGGAGATGAGCAACGGAGGGGAAGACTGGGACCTGCACGCATACTCATGCCCCAGTGTCCACTGTTGACTATTCACAACAGCCAAAGGCAGAAATGGCCCAAATGCCCATCAATAGATGAATGGATCGACAAAACATGGCGGCGGTGGGGGGGTGTCCACACAATGGATTACTGTTCAGACATATAAAGGAATGCAGTTCTGACACAGGCCACCACATAAATGAATCTTGAAAACATCATGCTAACTGAAATAAGCCAGATCAACATTATAAATATTGTATAACTCCGCTTTTGAGAAACATCTAGAATGGTCAGATTTATAGACACAGAAAGAATGAACAGAGGCTGCCAGGGGCTGGGGGTGGGTTAGCGAGGGCTGCTGTTTAATGACACAGAGTTTCTACAGGGATGACGGAGTTTCAGAGGTGGACAGTGGTGAGGGTCACACAGCACCAGGAACGTATTGTATGTCACTGAATTGGACATTTAAAATGGCAGGTGAGGGAAATCCTATGTTTTTAATATATTTTTCCCACAATAAAAATATTTTTAAAATATTTTTCCCATATATAATTTCTTTCATAATGAGAAACTATACCAATTAGACACATATTATTACCAGCCTACACCTTCTTCTAAAATGTTCATTTCTGCTGGAATAAAATAAACACAGCTGAATGACAAAGATTTTTGAAAGATTAATAAAACTAGACTGACAAGGGTAAGGCATTAGAGATACTGTCATTAATGACGGTCATTATGTAGGACAGTCATTTGACTATTTCAACACTAAGAAATTGCAACAACGTATCCCTCTGAAATAATGACAGGAGCACAAAGATGAACACTGCTGCCCGTTTCTAACGGTAGAACATGGACACAATCCAAATACACATCAGCAGTGGCCTAATATCAGCATCTCTAGGCTGGTGTTTTGGACATATGAGAGTTCTGAGCATAATGGAGTCACGGGTGAAAAATACGCTTTAAACCCAGCTTCCAAGACACAGCAGCCCTGCGTTTTCTATAGATCAACGAAGGACAACTTTTAACCTGAACTCCACACACAGGGCCGATGGAATGCACCCTTGGGTTTCCCTGGCTCCTCTTCCAGGGTCATCCGTGGTGCCATGGGGAAGACAGGAGGCCCTGGAGGGGCCTCTGGCTGTCCCACAAGCACTGACCCTGCCTTCAAAGGCCCCCAGCTCTTGCCGTTATCCATCCTATGCCAGGTCCAGGACTCTCTCCGAAGCCAGCTAAAGGCCTCATTCCCCATGTTTCCAACTGACTCTGATTCTTTAAGAAAACCTCCTCTCCCACATCTTTGCAAATGGTCTGAGCTTTCCAACCAGCTTGGGTGCTTGAAATTATAAGCCAGGACAACTGACAGGTGACATTTCTTAGACCCTGATGTGTGTGTCTTGGAGCAATCTAGTAAGATAGCTCTGATGAACAGGAGGGGAGGTGTGAAATGTGAAAACAAAATTAAAACTCAATTTCATCCATTCTCTCATGGAAATGTATAAGAAATGACAGAAGCAAGTTGCTGGACAACCACAATAATCCTGTTCCCACTTAAATACCATTTAAACAGTGACACATGTGCACTAAAGTACCTGGAAAAGCATAAAATAAACCCTGAATCATGGTTAGACCTCAGGACAGATTGGAGAGGGCTTCCCTTGCCTAAGTAACTGGAATTGACAAGTGTGGAAAATCTTTGGCTATTTTGCCATCACATGTATTAGATCTGTAAATGGAATGTGGGTGTAGGAAAACGGAGGCAGCAGTCTAAAATATCAGGTTTCAGGGGTGTTTTGATGCCCACGATGCGTGGCTCTGTGGCCCCTCCTGCCCTGGTCCTTCAGAAAACTCTGAGTGGTGTCTGGGCTGTGGCCCCTGTCATGCCAGGAACCAGCGGGTGGACAGATGATTCTCAGAGCTGAGAGGGTCCTCTCATTTGGCCTTCACTGGCCACACCAGCCTGCAGTGATCTCCAGCCACCCCCACACACTCACTGTGACCCTGTCAATACCGTTCATGCACCAAATAACCATGAGCTTTCTGGGGCCCACTGTGTTTTCCTAACAAGGCCTGGCCTTGCCAAGCAGCTTTTGAGCTCCTGGGGAGCACAACTTGTCGGCTGCAAGTCTTCAGACGCTGTGCACAGTGGAAAAGTTTCCAATATCACATCCACCACTGCACAGGAAGTGAAGCCCGTGAGAAATAAACTCAAAAGAAATGCACCAGACGCACACACAAATTATATATCTCAAGCTTGCTTTATACAATGTGCTTGGTACTAGTGTCAACATTTGGCCTGTGTTGGTAACCATCCTCAAAACAGCCCCACCAGGGAATTTAACTCCACCATCACCCCATCTTTCTGAAGAGGGCTATGAAGGAAGAGGGGTTAATAAGCCTCCCAAAGTCACAGGGCCCAAAAGGTTAAAGCCAAGACTTCAATCTGGGCGGTCTGGGCTGCTGTCTGTGTTCTTAATACCGAGCAACACATGCCACTCAAGGCCGCCACCCCTTGTTGTTCCCAGGAAAACTACAGATGAGAACAGAGAGCTGCAAATGGCAAGGGCACCACATTTGTTCAACAAGGTAAGATATTGGGAATATGTCCATTCTTCCCAAGCCGGAAGATTGCAACAATGCAATCCTATTTAAAATTCATGTAAGACTTTTTGAGGAAGTTGGGATAATAATTCAAAAGTTTATCTGGAACATTAAGTGAAAAAAGCCTTGAAGTTTTGGGGAAAAAAAGAAAAACGGAGCACTGTCACTCCAAGTAGTAGATCCCACGTATTATAAATGAGTAACATCCGTGTGCAGCAACCCTGTTAAGGCAGACAAGCCAAGAAGGAAGCCCACCCAACCCGGGGCTCAGAAATGGGGATCAAGGAACCTCACACAGAGCAGCACACAGAGAAGGTAGAATTTACTTCCAAAAACTGACACTGGGGCAGGCAGCAGTGGGGAGGAGGGAGGAGGATGAATGGACACACAAGATTCCAGTGGGTGGAAACAGAGCGACGCACCTGCTTCTGACATTGAGAGGCCTCGCTGGGCACTTGGAAAGCTGTAAGGGGGATACTATGAAAAGAAAGGCACCACAGGTTTAACTCCATAAACATATGTGAGGTGAAGAGGCAAATGTGCACCTGGGAAGGTGGTTTCTGAGACAGGCTCGCAGTCTTCGGGAAGCAAACTCAAATACAGCATACACGGGTGAGCTTCCATGAGCATGAAGACCTGCCAGGTGATGACGCCTGGTGTCAATGGCAAACCTTCAAACTCTCATGGCCTTTCACAGAGATCAATATTGGCCAAGCAGAGACAAATTGGTACAACAGGCACTGGCAGTTCTGTACTGAAAATGAAACCGTTCTGTGGAATGCTATTTGCTTGTCTTTTTAAAAATCCTCGTTCTCTTCTAGGCAGTTAGGGAACAACTGATGACCATTTGAAATGGAAAGACCATTAAAATTTTTCTAATTTAGTCAAATATTAGACACAGCAAACTAACACCTATACATCTAAGGTATTCAGAATAACAAGGAAAGTTACATCAATGAACCTACCATACCAGCCCTACCCTCAAAGACTCCTGGACACAACTCCCTGGCCATCTTCTTCCCCACCCAGGCTAACCAGTGTCATGCATTTTCAACTAATTAGTCCCTTGATTTTTATTATGGTTGTATCATATATGTAACCATAATCAATATATTGCTTATTTTCCAGGTTTTTAAACTTTATCTAAATCCAATCCTATTATATGTCTCCCTGTATGACTTGCTTTTTATTCTCTATGGGATGTTTCTAAGATATACCCTTTCTGATGTATGAAGCTGCAGTTCATTTTCCACTGCTGTGTAATATTCAGTTACATTATAAATACAACACAATTTATACATTCTCTAGTCAATGAACATTTATATGTGTTTCCAAATTTTAGTATTACAGATACTGCGTCCGTGAACATTTTGAACACATTTCTTGGTCACTTGTATAAGAGTTTCTCCTAGGGGCTGAAGGGAGGCGAGAGGGATGGAGAAATGTCAAAGGGTAATACAAATTTTCACTTATAGATGAACAGGTTCTGGGGTTCTATTGTACAACATGGTGACTATAGTTAATAATACTGTATTGCGCACATAAAATGTGCTGAGAATAGATCTCGAATTTTCTCACTACACAAAAAACTGGTAACTTTAAAAATGCCACATTATGCACCTTAAAAAAATTTCTCTTAGGCAGTGTGGACAACCTTTTCCTGGGAGCCACTGACACTCTTTCAGGGGTTCAAGACGTCAAAACTACTTTCATTATAATGATGAGGGTTGCCTAACAGTGCACACATAGGGGAGAGCTAGCTGCTTGCTGGTGTCTCCAAAGAAGTCAACACAGCCAGCACCAGTGGCACAAGTCCTCATGGCACCTTCCACAGCAAACACTTGCAGTTTAAAAAGAGTCTGTTTCACTAAAGAACATCCTTGATGAGGCATCAACCAAGATCAGTTTTATTAAATCTCAGCTCTTTTCAGCCATCTGAGTGACTGACCAAATGGAAAGTCCCATAAAGCGCTTCTGCTGCAAAGGAAACGACTGTCTTAAACGGAAGCACTCAATTTCACTGTGACAGCGTCAGCTCCACTCGGCACTTTCTTTCTCAATTTCACTGTGACAGCGTCAGCTCCACTCGGCACTTTCTTTCACGCAACTCTGTTTTTATGTGAAAAAAGACTGATGGACAAAACCACAGTCATTGGGATTTGGCAACATGGCAGACATTCTATTTTTAAAAAAGAATCAAAGACACTATAACTTTCAGAAAAACAACTGAAAGTATTTGCTATCAGTGATCAAATTTAAGCTTCCAAGCAAAAATTAGAAATTTAAAAATTTGGGCCAGGCACGGTGGCTCACGCCTGTAATCCCAGCACTTTGGGAAGCTGATGTGGGTGGATCACGACGTCAGGAGTTCAAGACCAGCCTGGCCAACATGGCGAAATCCCGTCTCTGCTAAAAATACAAAAATTAGCCGGGCGTGGTGACAAGTGTCTGTAATCCCAGCTACTCGGGAGGCTGAGGCAGAGAATTGCTTGAACCTGGGAGGCGGAGGTTGCAGTGAGCCAAGAATGCACCACTGCACTCCAGCCTGGGCAATGGAGCGAAACTCCATCTCAAAAAAAAGAAAAAAGAAAAAAAAGAAACATAGAAATTTCGAATATCTGTATTTAACACCATGAGCCAGGAAGCTTTCCAAAACTTTAAAGGCTTTTCTGATGAAATTGGTAGTGATATTAATGAATGAGATTTTTCCATGTTGTATAGGATCTGTCAGCATTTTGAAGACCTGCATAATTCAGTGAACCAATAATTTCCAAATGACCAGTGCATGATGCTATAATCTCATGTATGAGCAAAAGAACCTTCCAAAGCATAAAACAGACCAACAGATTTCAACATAAGGAATGACAAAGTGTTTATCAATATGGCCTAACTCCATATTTGTGTGAGAATGCATTTTCTTCATATACCTGAACCAAAATAACATGTCACATCAAAGATGCAAACATGAGACTCCACATGCTTCTAATATACCAGAAATTAGAGAAGTCTGAAAAAATAACATAAAATAATGCTACTCATCACAAATTTGGTAAGGTGTTTTGTGGACAATAGGTGTTTTTTCATATATACCTGTTTCTTTTATTAATATGAAATATGTTGATTATTTTTATTTTATTTTTATTTTTTTGAGATCATGTATCACACTGTCACCCAGGCTGGAGTACAGTGGCGTGATCTCAGCTCACTGCAGCTTCCATCTCCCTGGCTCAAATGATTCTCCCACCTCAGCCTCCTGAGTAGTTGGGATTATAGACGCCCACCACTACACCCAACTAATTTTTGTATTTTTAGTAGAGACGGGGTTTCACCATGTTGGCCAGGCTGGTCTTGAACTCCTGACCTCAAATGATCCTTGGCCTCCCAAAGGATTATTTTTAAATGAAGCACTAAATAATTTGAAATGTTCTCCATTTTAATTTCGAATGCAATAAACATCAAGAGACATAAACAGAAGCTCTGGGGAATTGTTGGCCCTTAGTAATAGCATCAAGAGGTCCTAAGCTCTGAAAGTTAAAAACCTGGGCTCTAGGATGTACTGGGAAATATGGGGTCACAAGGAGGCACATCCTTTCAGCTCTGCAAAATGGGTCGGATTATTTTACAAGGTGGTTCCATCAATGCAGGCTCCATGAGCTGGGCAGGAGGCCTGCACTCCTCCACACCTGGAGAGAAAATGGAACTAGAAAACTCAACCAAAAAGGAGAGGTCAGTGCCACTGGAGGAGAACCCACTGGGAGAGGGCACTCCCGGGAGGGCAAGGACAAAGTCCAAGTGGAGGAACCAGAGTCAGGATCAGCAGGAGCAAACGGCATGCCCAGAACTCATCCCCTTACTCTTCAAGTTACTTTGCTTCCAAGTGGTTCCAATGAGTCTACCAGGGCCTTGAAATGATTGTTTCTTAACAGTTGTGGGAAAAGGGGGTAAGATAAACATGGATTTGAGACCGCCTTTAGCCACTAAGGTCATTAGTTACTCTCCTCCTTTAAAACTCATCTGATCTAGGAAATGCATGACGCCCCAGGTGAGGACCCGTCTGAATGACGATGCTCTAATGCCTGCAAGGAGCACCTGGACATGTCCCAGCACAGCATGCCACGCAGTACACATCTTCTGAGTTATTAAAAATAGTGAGCATGAACTAGGAAAAGCTTCATGAACGCAATAATTATCAAGGGTACTAAAAGTGTGCTTTCCCTTTTAAAATACATTTATCAGCCAGGTGCAGTGGCTCACGCCTGTAATCCCAGCACTTTGGGAGGCCAAGACGGGCAGATCACCTGAGGTCAGGAGTTCAAGACCCACCTGGCCAACATGGCAAAACCCCATCTCTATTAAAAAATAAAAACAAAAAAATAGCCAGGTGTGGTGGCAGGTGCCTGTAATCCTGGCTACTTGGGAGGCTGAGGCAGGAGAATCACTTGAACTGGGAGGCAGAGTTTGCAGTGAGCCGAGATCACACCACTGCACTCCAGCCAGGGCAACAGAATACATTTATCCAATGTGTGAAAAGACACAGAGTCACTGCACTATTTTTTAAAGTAACAAAATATCAGAAACAAGATAGATATCCTATAATTGAAGTAAATTATGGTATAGGCACACAATGGAATATGATAAATAATGTTTTGGAAAAATGAATATGGAAAGATATTGGCAATACAATGTTAAGTTAAAAAAATAGAATGTAGTATGCATATTCTTATGCTATTTACATGGTCTATGTGAAGAAAATATAAACAAAATAGGAATCCAAATAATCAAAGTGATTACTGCAGGGCAGGAGATACAGGTGAATTTTTCCTTGGCTTCACTCGATCTTTTAATATAAGAAATATTCTAGGGCCGAGCGCGGTGGCTCACGTCTGTAATCCCAGCGCTTTGGGAAGTTGAGGCGGGTGGACCACAAGGTCAGGAAATCGAGACCAGCCTGGCCAATATGGTGAAACCCCATCTCTACTAAAAAAATACAAAAAAATTAGCCGGGCACGGTGGCACATGCCTGTAATCCCAGCTACTCGGGAGGCTGAGGCAGGAGAAATGCTTGAACCCGAGAGGCGGAGGTTGCAGTGAGCCAAGATCGTGCCACTACACTCCAGCCTGGGTGACAGAGCGAGACTCCATCTCAAAAAAAAAAAAAAAAAGAAAAAGAAAAAAAGAAATATTCTACAAATTTTTCTACAAGGAAAGGTGAGAAGTAATGGTCAGATGAACAGGTCAGGTTTAGATTTCGCTCTTACAATTTACTAACTGTGCTGTATTTTATCTTCAAAGATGTTTTCTCACCTGTATACCAAATGTTCCTTCATAAATGGTGCTGCAAGTGACATGACGTGACCCGCAGGAAGCGCTTGGTAAGAGGCATTATTTTATGTATTCTTTGAATAATTAAAAGGTTGAACAAAGGGATATTGAATGATTTTCTCTGGGAAGTGCTCTTTTGTAAATCTGCGTCCCTGTCAAATTGTATCACAATCATCAAATAAAGCAAAATGGGCCATGCTGTATTTCCTCATGATTTTTGGTACCATGTTATCAAGAAGCTGCATCTTGAGATCACAAAATTAACTTCAGCCGGGCATGAGATTGAAAACCCAGCCCCGAGTCACTGTTTTGGACTCTCCCGTTCCAGGTGACTTCACTTGCAGTCCCTGAGTATTGAGCCCCGCGGCACCAAGGCAGGTGCTGCCGGGCAGATAAGGCGTCCTAAAGACCTGGGTCCCCTGGAGAAGCAAGACGGGACACATTGCAGCGATTTGTCCGAGTGTCTCTTTGTGTGTGTGCCTCGCTTTGAAAATGTACTAAAAGCTGCTGGGCCCAGATAAGTATCTTCCACGACTCCCATTTCCTGTTAGCAGAAAATCAACGCTATTTTTACTCATCTGCCACCAAGAGAAAAGCGCCGGTTCCATTAGACCAAAGGGTCACTGTGGGTGCCTGTGTTCTCTGGAGGGCCCGCGTGACCTGCGTCCCAGGACGGCCCCCACAAAAGCCTCTTAGCTCTACTCTCTGCCCGTTCCTGACAGCAGAACATCTGCCGGGTCCCTGAACTGACCTGAGGACAACCGGGGACACTGCAAGGGGGGTGGGAACGAGGACATGTAGGAGAAAGAGGACCTGCCAGAAAAAGAGTGACCCACAATGAGGAAGCTGCAGCGGGGAGGCCCGTCCTGGGGAGCACACGCCCTGGCACGCGCCCACGTGTGGGGTCCTGCCCCGGCAGGCACTGGCCCGACTGTGCCTTCCTCTTCTTTTCTGCTTGAATGTTCGCATCTTCCCGAGTTTCAGCTCCGGAAGCCCAGGGCTCCTCTTGCAGACCCCTCCCTCCTCATCCTCTCTCCTGGATCCGCATTCACTCCTGGGCGGCCCCAGCCAATCCGTGGCTCTAAACACTGTCTACAGCTGGGACTATCCAGCGTGGTGTCTGCCACGAACCCATCCTGAATCCCAGACTCACGCCCAACGGCCTGGTCCGCACCTGTGCCTGAACTAGGAAAGTTCCTCCTTTTCCTGCCGACAAATGGCAACTTGGCTTTCCACAGCACAGGCTGGACCCTTGATGCATCCCTGATCCCATCTACTCCAGGAACCACACGTCCTTTCCACCCACAAATCCCTTCAGCTGTATCTCTAAATACCCAACCTCTCCAGAGCCACGACCTCCAACCACCCCAGCATCCCCTCAAGACGGCGGCAGTCACGCCCACGGGCCCTGCTCCCACCCTGGCGTCCCCTCAAGATGGCGGCAGCCACCCCGACAGGTCCTGCTCCCACCCCGGCGACTCCTCAAGATGGCGGCAGTCACGCCCACGGGCCCTGCTCTCACCCTGGCGTCCCCCCGCCAAGATGGCGGCAGTCACGCCCACGGGCCCTGCTCCCACCCTAACACCAGCCCTGGCTCCCGAGTGGCTTCAGGCCAGGACGCGCCTCTGCTCCAAAGCATGAGGTGTTTGCCCGGTCACTCATGGCGAAAGGCAGTGTCTGACAAGGCTGGCTCCCCACGGCCTGAGCCCTGCTCACTCAGCCCCAGGGGCAGTGAGAAGGGTGGCCTGGGCTGCGCTGGAGCAGCAGGGAGACGTGGGGCCGGGCAGCGCCGCGGCATTTCCACACTGCAACCCCGGCCTGGCTCTGAGAACGCAGCCTCGCCTTCCACGGCGCCTTGAGGAACCCACTGTCACCGCTTACTTCACCTCCTTCCTCTGCACTCAGGCCCCGTGGGGCTCAGGGAGCAGAGCGGAGGAGCCAACGTCTCCCCTGCTGTGACCCCGCCATCACCCAGCAGGCGCCTGGTGTGGTGGGAGAGATGGAGGCCGGGCCTGAGGAAGGAAGGGGAAGGCATGGGACCCTGTCGCCCGCTTCGCCCACTCCTCCTGCACCCGGGGCTGGCCGAGCTCACGTCTTACTTCCTCTTTCTTCCTTCCTCTGCACGGACCTCACGCCCGCAGGCGACACGCATGAGGAGCCAGGGTCGAGGCCAGTGGCATCACAGCACCCAGGAAACAGGGTCCTCCACACAGGGCCGTAGGGGGAGCCTCCACCTATGCCCCAAATCAAAGTGAAAGATCTTCTCTCCCGGCCCAAGTTGTCCCACGGCCTGGGGTTCAGGACGCCCACAGCTGGGCAGCAGATCAGCCCGCACTGGCTGGCACAGGGTCAGTGGAACCATGGCGCACGCGGGCTGGCATGGGGTCGGGGAAGCCATGGCGCACACGCGGTGGGGTCATGACGCACGCGGGCTGGCACGGGGTCGGGGGAGCCATGGCGCACACGCGGGCTGGCATGGGATCAGGGAAGCCATGGCGCACGCGGGCTGGCACGGGGTCGGTGGAACCCATGGCACACGCGGGTTGGCACGGGTTCGGTGGGGCCATGGCCCACACGGGCTGGCACAGGGTTGGGGAGCCATGGCACACATGGGCTGGCACGGGGTCGGGAGCCATGGCACACACGGGCTGGCACAGGGTCGGGGAGCCATGGCACATGCTGGCTGGCACAGGAGGGACCGGGGAGCCGGATCCTCAAAAGTGACGGGTGGGAATGGAGAAGTCTCTTGGCAGAGCCCTTCCCGGAGCCGTGGGCAGGGAGGGCCAGGACAGGATGGCCCGGCCAAGAGCAGACAGCGCCGCGCGTGGAGGTGGTGACCAGGCTGAAGCCAGCGGGGCCTGGGCCGGTTGGTGTGAGACTGGCAGGCACACCGAGGGGCCCGGCAACCTGTGGGTCCAGGATCAGCAACCTGCAGCCACCACAGGCTCCACGGGCCACATCTTACTGGAACACAGCCGCCACCGTCTCTACGCTTCGTGTAAGGGCAGGGCTGAGCCGCGCGGACGTAAGGGGCCTGTCGCAGCAAGTGCAAGGCCAGCGCAACATGAAAATCCTTCCCGCAAAATTACGTCCTGTGTGAGGGAGCCCCTGCTGACAGGACCCCTCTGCTGCCAGGACCCCTGCCCCCGTCCCCAGGGCCCAAACCACCTGGCGCCCAGCCCCTGACAGGAACGAGAGTGGACCCCGGGAGATTCCTGGTAGAGAGTGTGGGGCAGCCCTGCAGATGCAGCTCCCCGGGCTCCTGGGTTGTTCTTACAGTAAGAACAACTGTAAAGCATGACTCGGCTGCTGTGTTCAATTGAAAGACAGTCTTCCTGGCAGATGCGGGCGCACCCGGAGCCAGGGATGCCATCCCAGAGGGAACTAGAAAGTCTCTCTTGGGAGGCGCCTTCCTGGGAGCCTGAAGCCGTTCCAGCCGCAGGTGCAGCCGAGTGCAGCCACCGGTGTCCAGCAGGTGGTGCTGCTACCCGACGTCCCAGAGCCCTCGCCCGGTGCGCAACCCCGGCAGCAGGACAGGGCGGCCGGTGGCTTTTCCTCCTGCTTTATGCACAGACTGTGCTACGAAGGCTGCTGGCAGCCACCGTCAGGGACGGGGGAGCTGCTGTGCTATTGCTGTTTCTATCTGTGTGTAATGGCAGTTCTTTTGTAATGAGAAGGGCTCTGCAGTCCACAGAGTTCATAGAGAATTCTCAAGACCACTATGGCACTCAGTCCTGACACTCAGAGTGATAACATGGGCTTTGCGGTGGCAGCCACCTAGACAGGTATTACCTGTCTGCTGTTACCATGCAAAATTTCAATCTAGAAATAAAAACAGAAAGAACCCCTATCTAGTCACTCTGTCATGCACACTGTGTGACAAGTAAAAACTAAGGAACGGGCCGGGCGCGGTGGCTCACGCCTGTAATCCCAGCACTTTGGGAGGCCAAGGCGGGCAGATCACAAGGTCAGGAGATCGAGACCATCCTGGCTAATATGGTGAAACCCCGTCTCTACAAAAACTACAAAAAATTAGCCGGGCGTGGTGGCGGGCGCCTGTAGTCCCAGACACTCGGGAGTCTGAGGCAGAAGAATGGTGTGAACCCGGGAGGCGGAGCTTGCAATGAGCCCAGATCGCACCACTGCACTCCAGCCTGGATGACAGAGTGAGACTGTCAAAAAAAAAAAAAAAACCTAAGAAACAGCACTATTCTCACAGAAGCACCAAGTTACTCAGACAAATGCCAATACACATCCCAGGAGATCAGATGACAATCAATGTGTGACTCCCTGGGGGAGTCAGGGGGTCACGCTAAGGGTTTGCCCAAGCGCAGCTTCCCAGAGCCTTCCTGCAATCACAGGGACACACAAATGGGGGTGCTGAGCACAGGAGGCTGCAGCCCTGGAAGGCAAGTTTACGCCTATTCAGGAGCAAAGGAGTTCAACCCCCCAGAGACCATGCAGCAAAGTGGGGCACAGTCATCAACTAACTTCTTAAAAGGGCACAGGAGAAGATCAGTCTCGTTACTTTCCAGGAACTTCCCATGTCTTCAAGGAAACATGGGAACTTCAACACACATATTTCAGACAAAACAACATTAATGTAGGCAAAGAGACACACGCAGAGAGAGAGGGGGAAATGGACAGCGAGGGAGCGAGAGAGGGAGGAGAGGGAGAGAGTGAGAGAGAGAGCAAAAGCAAGAAAAGGAATTAACTTGGAGAAAATTAGAAAATGTTCCCTGTAAATGTTCCCAATAAAGATGCTGCTAAAGAAATGACTCAATGTTCATTCCTTAAACTTATAAACCACAAGTAATGCTCAATAGGCTTTTTGGGGGAACAAACTCTTACACAAATGCACGTTAAGTGGTGGCGTTTTTAGCTGTTCTCCGGGCTGAGTAAGAAGAGACAAAGATGGGGCAGGGAGGGAAATGGTGACCTCAGCTTGTCCGGGGCTCAGCCTCATTCTTCGTGAGTTTAGTATTTCTAGCTGCTAGTAAACTAGGAAAATTTAAAGTCTAACAATAAACACAGAAATGCTACACCTGTATTCAAGGTCAAACAACATGTCAGTTTCAAAAGGGGTCTAGAAACTCACTCTTTCTCCATAGGCCAATGACCTGATTCTGAGAATTGTTTCTGGTGACAGGCCAAGGAGAGATGCATAGATCCACTCCCAGGAGGGAGGACATAGACAGGAGTGCAGGGAAGGGGACCAGAAGCAGCCATCAGCTGCTGGTGCCTTGGATTTAAAACACTGCTCACACTTTTTATAAACCAGTCAGATAATGGAAAAATAAAAACAAAAGTCATGGTTCTTAGGGGTGTTTTGTGCACTGAATCCTCATTCTCCCCAATACAGGTTTCTGTCAAAGAATTCCCAAACTGAACAGAACAGAAATTGGGGTGGAAAGAACTTTGCTCTTGAATTAGTCACATCTAACACATAGATTGTGTTAAACACCCAGAAGTGACCAACTATCACTCCACAGATCACTAGGAAAATCAGTTACCACCCACCAGATCACCCACATGGATCAGTTATCACCCACCAGATCACCTGCAGGGTTTGGCTGCCACTGACTGGATCACCTGCACAAAGTCGTTACCAACCACTGGATCACCCGCAGGGATCATTACCACCCACTGGATCACCCATATCGACTGGTTACCACCCCCTGGATCACCCACATGGATCAGTTACCACCCACCAGATCACCTGCAGGGATTGGCTGCCACTGACTGGATCACCTGCACAAAGTCGTTACCAACCACTGGATCACCCGCAGGGATCATTACCACCCACTGGATCACCCATATTGACTGGTTACCACCCCCTGGATCACCCACATGGATCAGCTACCACCCACTGAGTCACCTGCAGGGATGTTACCACCCACTGGGTCAGCCACAGGGATCGACTGCCACCCACTGGATCACCCACATGGACTGGTTACCACCCAATGGATCACCCACAGGGACTGGTTACCACCCACTGGATCACCTACAGGGATCAGTTGTCACCCACTGGGTCATCCACAGGGATCAATTACCACCTGCTGGATCACCCACAGGGATTGGTTACCACTCACTGGATCACTCACAGGGATTAGTTATCACCCACTGGATCACCCACATGGACTGGTTACCATATCCACTGGATCACCCACATGGGCTGGTTACAATCCACTGGATCACCCACAAGGATCAATTACCACCCACTGGATCACCCACAGGGACTGGTTACCACCCAGTGAATCACTCACAGGGACGGGTTACCGCCCACTGGATCACCCCACAGGGATCAGTTACCACCTAACAGATCAGCAGCAAAATATTTTCTGAGCAACAGTCATACTGCCTTCCTCATTTGGGCAAATTATACAATATAGTTAGATACCAAATGGTCTCTACGCCAAAACAAGTCACAGATTTGTGAAAACAAAGCTGTGTTATGTTTGTAATCTCAAAATTAATCATCTGCAGGGAGATCTTGATGTCTTCACTATTGATCTTCAACACTGACAGATTCAAATCTTATCTATGAGAGATTAAGGTTGACTTCCTGGAATTCTGGATGAGAAATTTAAGCACACACTGTTCAGATACCTTCATTAACTTTTGACAATTTTCAATCTAATCCATAATGTTTCACTAAATAGTGCGTTAGATCAAAATTTACTACCAGCTCCTCCACATGATCGTGTACAGAGCGGTTCTCGCTGTGCTTGTGGCGGGATGGCCACATCACGACGTCTACATGCCAGATCCTCCACATGATCTTGTACACAGTGGTTCTTGCCGTGCTTGTGGCGGGATGGCCACATCACGACGTCCACATGCCAGCTCCTCCACATGATCGTGTACAGAGCGGTTCTCGCTGTGCTTGTGGCGGGATGGCCACATCACGACGTCCACACGCCACCTCCTCCACATGATCTTGTACACAGCGGTTCTTGCTGTGCTTGTGGCGGGATGGCCGCGTCATGACGTCCACACACCGGAGCTCTACTTTCCCACAGAGCAGCCACCAGACACGCGGGTGCCGCACATATGAAACGTGGCCAGTCAAAACCAAAGTGTCCGGTGCATAAAAATACACACTGGATTTCAAGGACTTCACATTAAAAAATGTAAAATCTCGCCGTATGATTTTTTTTTCCCACTGATGACACGCTGTGCAGAAAGGCAAGCAGCAAGCCTGAGAATGCGATCCCTAGAAAGGCTGCCTGGAAAAGTGGCCATCCTGTGTCTGAGCACTCAACTGGTAAACATTTCTCTACCCTGTGGTCTGGTATAAAATAGCCCCTAAAATTGTAAGAGTTCCTCACTGTGCGCACACCCTCTGTATAAACAATGTGATGCCAGCTGAGCACCTGATTTTCTTCTGAAAGTCAGGAATTCGGATTGTGGTCAGTCACGCAAGCTCAATATGCCCATGTGGCCAACCCACAATCCAACCCCGAACTCCCAGGCTCCGATGAGCAGCGCTGATAGATGGTGTTCCGCACACCCTTGCAACGCATCACTGGAGAGGCAAACATGCCCGTGTGGCTCTCCTGGGAGGGAGTTTTGGGAGCCTGCACTGTCTTCCTCCAGACTCCAACCTGTGCACCTTTTCCCTTTGCTGGCTTAGCTCTATGTCTTTTCACTGTAATGAATTCTACCTGTGAGTAAAACCTCATGCTGAGCCCTGTGAATCCTAGCAAATCACCAAGTCTGTAGTTGGTCTTAAGGACCCCAGTGAAGTTGGTGTCAGAAGTGGGGTTGGCTAACATGACTCTGCCTCACTGAAATACGATGAAAGCTTTCTTTGGGAAAATGAAGGATGAAGAGGTGAAGATGAGATGTTAGCTCCTGAGTCTTCCACAGCATGAAATGCAGCTGAGCTGCCAAATGCCGTGAAAGGTAAAAGTCATCTATGGAGTTTAGAAATGATAGTCCAAGCCCAGGAGAGCTGGGATGCTGGACCTGGAGATGGATTTTGGCTGTTCTGGATGATGTGAGTGGGAAAAGTACATCCCAGGTGGGGACTCTGGTTTTCTGTTCTCTCCTCCAGGTGGGAGGAGAAAGACCCCAACATTTCTAAGGTGAGTGCTGAGTGTGCCAGAAACACTACAAGTGTGTGTTGCTCCCTCCCTGAAGTGGGAAGAATAAATGTGAGGTCAGGTTACACAGGCGGCAGCAGAGCTTTAGATAAACAGAAATGCTCAGGGCTGGGCCCATTGGCTCCTGCCTGTAATCCCAGCACTTTGGAAGGCTGAAATAGGAGGATCACTTAAGCCCAGGATTTCAGGACCATCCTGAGCAAACAGTGCAAGACCCCATCTCTACAAATATTAGCTGGACATAGTGGCATGCACCTGTGGTCCCAGTGACTCGAGGCCAGAGGAGGAGAATCACTGAAGCCTAGAATTCGAGACCAGCCTGGACAACAGAGAGCCCATCTCTACAAAAAAAGACCATTTTTTAAAGAGAGACAACAAAAACATTCCCACTGATGATGCATCAGCACCCCCGCTTCCCAGCCAAAACCTCCGGGCACCTGTAATGTCAGCCCTGTAAATGCTGAGTTTAATGCCAGAGGTTTCAGTAAACTTCCAATGAGGAAAAAAAGAAAGGGAGGATTTTCAAAAAAAAAAATGTATTTTGTGGCTACTGAATCAGAATATAGGACCTACACTGATGTAAAATATTATATGCTTGCAATTTCCTAAATGCTAGAGAGCTCATCCCAATCAAAGAAAGCCGCACAAAGAATAATAACATAGAGGGGACACAGCTGCTTAGGACACCATGGCTTTTCGCTGTGGCTGGCAGATTGAAATGCACACTTCCTGAGAATTAGATCTCCAGAACGATGAGAGCTGCTGTTATTTTTTCCAATAGCGCCTGTGGAGAAAGGGGAGCAGGGAGAGAGGCAATCTCCAGATGGAGACACTCTTCCACGGTTTTTAAAGGCACTTTTTAGTTAGTAATGAGCCCTCGTGGCATCTAGAGTCTGACGGGTTTCCAGCCTGATGTGCACATCTCGAGTGAGTAACACAGACCCTTGGCTGACAAAGCAAAAGGGCATGGGGGAGCCTTGCTTGGACCGGGCTTGGGACATGACCCTGGTACATCTCACCTTGCCGCTGCCCAAGAAAAGCCACTGGCTTTTCCCAAAATCCTAGATACACAGATCCTAACTGCCCAAACCTCAGTCTATGCTAAAACCAGACAGCATCTGCTGTGTCTGTCTGGTCACTAGCTGTGCCCAGCTGAGATCAGGTGACCAGTTCCACCCCACAAACAGGACTCAGACGCAGGGACAGCAGCATCCCACGACCCCCCTGAGGGTCCCACACGAAAGCTCCTGGGAAAGGGCCTGTTCTCTGGTGGGGCTGTCTGAAAGCACACTGCTGAGCTCTGTACCGTGCTTCTGGTACAAAGGCTAACTATGTGTGATTCCTGCAAAACCTGTAGATGGGTGGGGGCATCCCTGAACTGTGACCCCGCTGCTCCCCTCTCCTGGCAGGTGGTACCCTACGCCCGCTCTGGGGGACATCTCAGGGCTGGTGACTCCTGGGCTCAGCCTCCCGAGCAGCCTGACTGCCTCCTCCCCTCCTCCCAGAGCAGAGACCTCAGTGAGGTGGGTGGACAACCACCAATAACTCTTCCCAGAAAGGTGGTGATCTTTTCTCATTGGATAATGATCAGAACAAAAGTGGCTGCAGAAAACTATTTTAAATTTTTGTAAAACAAAACCCCAGCATCTGGAGACATGGGAGAAGAGGGAGAGCATCAATGAACTTTGGTTTTCCAAACTGTCCTGAAAACCTTTCCTTCCCCCTTCCCCCGAAAACGTCCCAGGCTGCCCTCCCCAGCTGTTGCCAGAGCCCTGAATTCAAAGTGACCCAGAGCCTCTGACCGCATGTCATGGACACGGATGTGGTCAGCTCCTGCATGTTCCTCACAATACACTCACAGACGATGTCCACACCCACATTTCAGATGAAGAATCCCGGCTAAGCAGGGACGAACCACCCAGGGTGAAATCACAGGGAACTCCTGGGCTTCAGCACCCTTTTCCCTCTCTCTCTCCCTCTCCCTCTCTCTCTCTCTCTCTCTGTCCCTGTGCCTGGCTCTGTCAACCTCACAGGACCACCTCATGTCGCAGGCATTGGTTTTCGTGCCTCTGCCCATCCTGGCCACCTGACCAGCTCAGAATGTCGCCATTATTGTTCTCCCAATTTTAAAGGTGAAATGGAAACTCAGAGAACTTAAGTAAATGTCACAAGAGTCATCAAATACGTAGTAAAACTCAAGCCATAAGCCATGTCTTCAGGCCCCACGCCCCACGCCCCACTGTCTTTCCACAGCTCTGTGGCCTTCGTTCACATTCCAAGCACCCTACTGCACTCCATAGCAGCCAAAGAAGCTTTCCACCTTAAAGACGGAGATCCCGGCTCCTTCTATTCCCGGATTCTCTCATGGGCAGTTGGGGGCCTGGTGTGCGCTCTCAGGAGCCTGTACGTGTTCACCCTGGGAAGGCCTCAGCCATCCCCTCATGGGACCGCAGCCTGGGGCCTCCGAGTGGGCACCCCAGCCCCTGTGTCTGCACCTCCCACTCCCAGGCACCCCAGCCCCTGTGTCTGCACCTCCCACTCCCAGGCACCCCAGCCCCTGTGTCTGCACCTCCCAATCCCAGGCACCCCAGCCCCTGTGTCTGCACCTCCCACTCCCAGGCACCCCAGCCCCCCTGTGTCTGCACCTCCCACTCCCAGGCACCCCAGCCCCTGTGTCTGCACCTCCCACTCCCAGGCACCCCAGCCCCTGTGTGTGCACCTCCCACTCCCAGGCACCCCAGCCCCTGTGTGTGCACCTCCCACTCCCAGGCACCCCAGCCCCTCTGTGTGTGCACCTCCCACTCCCAGGCACCCCAGCCCCTGTGTGTGCACCTCCCACTCCCAGGCACCCCAGCCCCTCTGTGTCTGCACCTCCCACTCCCAGGCACCCCAGCCCCTGTGTGTGCACCTCCCACTCCCAGGCACCCCAGCCCCTGTGTGTGCACCTCCCACTCCCAGGCACCCCAGCCCCTCTGTGTCTGCACCTCCCACTCCCAGGCACCCCAGCCCCCCTGTGTCTGCACCTCCCACTCCCAGGCACCCCAGCCCCTGTGTCTGCACCTCCAACTCCCAGGCACCCCAGCCCCTCTGTGTCTGCACCTCCCACTCCCAGGCACCCCAGCC
Organism: Homo sapiens; assembly: GCF_000001405.40. Classification (NCBI taxonomy): domain Eukaryota; kingdom Metazoa; phylum Chordata; class Mammalia; order Primates; family Hominidae; genus Homo; species Homo sapiens. Next base: position 939,231 of record NC_000008.11, on the reverse strand, counting down.
CCTGTGTCTGCACCTCCCACTCCCAGGCACCCCAGCCCCTCTGTGTCTGCACCTCCCACTCCCAGGCACCCCAGCCCCTGTGTCTGCACCTCCCACTCCCAGGCACCCCAGCCCCTGTGTCTGCACCTCCCACTCCCAGGCACCCCAGCCCCTGTGTCTGCACCTCCCACTCCCAGGCAGGGGCCGTGATCCCGCTTTCTGCAGCCCTGCCGGTGGCTGCTCTGCTGCGTCTCTGGAGGTTGCCTGCAGAGGTTTCTGAACAGAAAGGCTCAGCCTCCTTAGCACAGATGCCCTTCACCTCATACCTTGGTCTCATCCTCACACTCTTCCTCGGGGCTTAAGGCAGAGGCCTGGGAGTTTCTGCCATTTTCTCTCCCATCCTCTGCCCTCTCCTTGGCCTCTGAGGCAATGAGAGCCGAGACCTGGGTTCCCTCTGGCTCCCGTGGCCCCTGTGCTGAGACACACAGGGCTGAAACATTGGCTGGCCGTGCCCACACCACCTCACAGCCAGGCCACAGCCCCCCACAAGCTGAGCTACACAGGGCTGCCATGCCGGCTGGTCACCCCCAGGTCACACTCTGGCTTCTGAGCAGGAGGCCAGTGTGGCCATCCAAGCCTCTTTCTTGCAGTCAGGAATAAGGAACTGCTTCTGCAGGGAGCAGGGGAGGCCCTTGTAGGCTGGGTCTGGCCCAGATCCCTTCCCTACCCCCACCGTGTGCTCCACACAAACCATGCATCCACTACAGCCTGCTCAGGGTCCAGGCCTGGTCTTTCTTCTTCACCTCCGTCCCCTTGAGAACTTGGATCCAACCTCAAGCTCTCTATGGGCAACATAGTGAGACCTTGTCTCTACAAAAAAATTTAAAAATCAGCCAGGCATGGTGGCGCATACCTGTAGTCCTAGCTACCCAGAGACGGAGGAAGGAGGATCGCTTAAGCCTGGGAGTTCTGGGCTGTAGTGAGCCTTCAAAGGGTCTCTCTCTGTCACCATTATACTCCAGCCTGGGCAACAGAGAGAGACCCTGTCTCAATTTAAAGGGAAAACATGCTGAGTCTAACTTGTCATTGAGCTTTGTGGCCTTCCCAGGCTCGTGTGAGATCCGCAGCTCACACTGCACGTTTGATGTCCTAAGTCAGGAAGCGCAGCACCCCTCCTCTTTCACAGTGCACGGCAGGGCCTCAGCAGATATGTGTGGAAGGAATAGTTGTCTGAGACACAAGGCCAGAGGGTCCTGATATGAGAGTAAGAACTGCTGAACTACCCTCAGCTCCACCTTGGATCAGCACTGCAGAAAGGCCGGGATGGACACCTCCTGTCCCCCTACCCCAGGCACCTGTCACCTCCTCACAGAGTCACAAAAAGGCAGGACACTGAACTTGGAGGCGTCCGTAGAGTCGATCCCACTCCTTCACTTTCGGTAAGAGAAAAATGAGGCCTAGACAGGGAACATACACCTTAGGACACAGGGCACAGACGCAGACAACACCAGATTCCCTTGATTGTAGGAGATGGAGGAGAAGACCCTGTCCCATCCAAGCTCCACCTGGCACCCAGCGAGGCAGTTGGGCAAGATAAGGCCCCTGCCTTCCAAGGGTATTCTCTCCAGCATTTCCTCCAGCTCCTCCAGCCCCAAGCAACTCCAGGGACCTGTGTGGAGAAAGATTGCTCTCTCTCTGATAAATGCACCCCACCATCCACAGAGCTGAGGGTCTTTCCACTGTGTTGTTTTTGGCTTTGAAAATCATGCGACATTCTAAAAAATTCCATTAACTGGCATCTCTTTAAAGAAGTCTCTCTCATAGTCATGGGGAAAAATAGGCTTCTTAAAAAAATTTTTTTGGAGAAAGCCAGTGACAATTAGATCCGATTTTAAAACAATAGAGATGATGAAAAACTTAAAACATCACTCTTGTTTTGATCTTAATATGGTGAAATATGGGCATGTTTTTGAATCCATAAGAAACAGCATGCCCATCATGGTGATAATGACTAGAGAGGACTCACAGCTGAGAGATCCTTTCTAAATGATAGCATTTTCCCAGTACAACAGCAAGACAGGCAGCACCTCGTCAGGCGAGCGAGGGAGACTTGAGGAGCGTCCTCAGGAGAAAGTCTTAAGAAGAGTGCCATGGCTGAAGGGCACCACATGTCTGTAGATGTGCGGGGCCTTCACACAGGAGGCCATCATGGCAAGACCTCTGTACACAGAAACAGGTCCCGCCACCAGCTCTGAGGCCTGAGGAAAGTTCACACATAAGCCTAGGCCTTTAGAAAGGGCAGTATTGATTACCCATTGACGTCACGCAGTGCGCTTTGTGAAAATGGTCCACGGTGGTGAAACGATGGACCAGAATCTTCTCCTACACTGCTGGAAACATTCTCCTGGTCAGCACTTTTATTCAAAAGTCATGAAAAAGTTGACTAAATGCTCTCATCCAACTTCCCGGGCATCTGCAGAGCATTCCCTTAAACAGCAGCTCCCTGCCACCTCCATGCTGTACCCTAAGTGCCCAACAGCAACTAAAAAACCAAAACAAAAAGAGAGGACCTTGCACTCAGCTTGCAACCAGGCTCCAGCTTCCAACTAGGCTCCAGCTCAGACTCCTGCACCGAGTTCCATGTTTCAGGGCCTGGTGTGCCTCAGTCGTGTTCTGTCATCCGTCATGTCTAAGTGTGTTTCCTTCACAAGATCTCTACACCCCAGCAGCCCAGGAGCCATGCGTCCTGCTCTAGTTTCAGAGCTTCCCTCTGAGAGGGAGAGGCGGCTGGGCTTCCCTTCCTCCCTAGGCATTAAGTTCTTAAAAGAAAGGCCGCCATCTCCCAGGGGAGGCAATGCAATCAGAGGTCCTACTCAACAGCAAACATCCTTCCCGAGTTTTACACATTGGTCGGTTCCTGCACTTTGCTTTTTCCAATGTAGAAGCATGTGTGGCCACCTTCAAATAGAGCCCCCTTGGGTCCCCTTCTCTTTCTTGATGGGAGCAGTCAAGGCTGCTTGCTCTGGCCCTCTAGGCTCTGCTGACCGGGCCACACAGACTCCTACAGAGGCTCACTCTCTTCAGAGACCCTCTTCATAAACCGACTGTGACTCAGCGACACACGGTACACAGTGTTCTGTTCCACTCAGTCAGAACACACCGGCAGCTCAACCCACAACGTGCTCCGCGAGCTAATTTCCAGCAGGTTGGAGACGGGTCCCACTGGGCAGGGTCCTCGGTCATTTTAATGAACTTCCTACTCTGACTCTTAGACTGTTCCCAGTTTCCTAGAAACAATCATTGTTAAATGTCCCCACTCTTATGCAGCTCTCCAAATTTCATTAAGCAAATATGAACAATAATTGATAGACATTTTAATAATAACCACATAAAAAGCACATAAACACTCATACTCCCTGAAAAACAAAAAGCCAACCCAGAGGTTTATGTGGAATTCCACCGAGTATCCAACAAACAGGAACCACTATGCTTTGAGGGAAGCTCTGAAACTAGAGCAGGACGCACGGCTCCTGGGCTGCTGGGGTGTAGAGATCTTGTGAAGGAAACACACTTAGACACGACGGATGACAGAACACGACTGAGGCACACCCGGCCCTGAAACATGGAACTCGGTGCAGGAGTATGCAAATGCGACAGAGCCACACCGTCCAAGAGAAATACAGTGTGAGCACATGTGCCATTTATGGCTTTATTAACTACATTAAAACCATAAGAAACAGGTGAGATTAATTTTAATATAGTTTATTTAATCCAACATATGCAAAATATCACTTCCACATGCAATCCACATAAAAAAATTAATAAGCTACTTCACATGTGTTTTCATACCAAGTCTTCAAAATCCAGCATGTAAAATGCTTTACATGGACAGACCCTCTGGACTGAGGAGCCGGGCATCCTGGGCTCACGACCGCATGTGGTTGGCAGCTGACACAAGGTTTGTACAGCGAGGACTCCCACACACAGCTTTGGGTCCAAGGCAAAGAGCACATCTCTGAGCCCTTGACCCACACCGGGAAGGAAGAGAGACGCCCCCATGGTGGAGTCGCTCAGAGAAGCTGTTTCCAACACTCCCGAGGGGCAGCCGCCTCAGCGTCCCCTGCGGGAATGGCAGCAGGCTCTCTTCAAGTGTGTGGGGTTTAATGGCCACTTACACAGCTCGCGGTACACGGTTCTGCTGGGCTGAGGTATTGTGCCCTTCCCAGTGCCAACGGAAGCCGAGTAATACACGTTCCTACAAATCACACTCAGAGGGTTTGGAAACGCTGAAGAGACAGAAAGGAGACTATGGGAATGCTGAATGCTCTTTAGACTTTAAAGAGGCAGAGCTGAGGGAAAGCTCTATCTTTGGACAGCAAATCACTCTTTCCTTCTGTTGCTCTTATAGCCGAGAACACCTGTGCGTCTGATCTGTTCTTCTTCAGACAGAATAGCCTTGAACTGAAGAAAAGGTGGGTACTCTGGTTCCCCAAATGTTCCATCTCCCCGAGAGCCGGCACAGGGCTGGGGTCCACCGCCTCCCTGAGCTCATGAGCATGAGCGAGCATGAAGCAGGATGAGTTTCCGCATCTGCACCCAGTGCCCGCTCTGCCTCCACCGTCCCCACCACAAGCCGGGAATAGCCACGTCACACGCCTCCTCGCAGAAGTGAGCACTCGCTTCCTCTCCACCCCCTGGGAGGCGCAGCTGACTCAGAGCCACCCCAAGTAGGGATGGGCAGAAACCAAGGCAAGAATCGAAGAGGTGGCCTGTTTCAAGCAGGTCCCACTCAATGGAGCTGGAAATAGATCGACTCCGACAGGCTGCCGTTCCCACTAAGTGGGATGAAAACAAAGAGCCAGGTGTCTCCACAGCAGTCTCTGCCCTCACCCTCCCCTCGTGCCCACGGCCAGGTGTCTCCACAGCAGGCTCTGCCCTCACCCTCCCCTCGTGCCCACGGCCAGGTGTCTCCACAGCAGGCTCTGCCCTCACCCTCCCCTCGTGCCCACGGCCAGGTGTCTCCACAGCAGGCTCTGCCCTCACCCTCCCCTCGTGCCCACGGCCAGGTGTCTCCACAGCAGGCTCTGCCCTCACCCTCCCCTCGTGCCCACGGCCAGGTGTCTCCACAGCAGGCTCTGCCCTCACCCTCCCCTCGTGCCCACGGCCAGGTGTCTCCACAGCAGGCTCTGCCCTCACCCTCCCCTCGTGCCCACGGCCAGGTGTCTCCACAGCAGGCTCTGCCCTCACCCTCCCCTCGTGCCCACGGCCAGGTGTCTCCACAGCAGGCTCTGCCCTCACCCTCCCCTCGTGCCCACGGCCAGGTGTCTCCACAGCAGGCTCTGCCCTCACCCTCCCCTCGTGCCCACGGCCAGGTGTCTCCATAGCAGGCTCTGCCCTCACCCTCCCCTCGTGCCCACGGCCAGGTGTCCACAGCAGGCTCTGCCCTCACCCTCCCCTCGTGCCCACGGCCAGGTGTCTCCACAGCAGGCTCTGCCCTCACCCTCCCCTCGTGCCCACGGCCAGGTGTCTCCACAGCAGGCTCTGCCCTCACCCTCCCCTTGTGCCCACGGCCAGGTGTCCACAGCAGGCTCTGCCCTCACCCTCCCCTCGTGCCCACAGCCAGGTGTCTCCACAGCAGGCTCTGCCCTCACCCTCCCCTCGTGCCCACGGCCAGATGTCTCCACAGCAGGCTCTGCCCTCACCCTCCCCTCATGCCCACGGCCAGGTGTCTCCACAGCAGGCTCTGCCCTCACCCTTGTGCCCACAGCCAGGTGTCTCCACAGCAGGCTCTGCCCTCACCCTCCCCTCGTGCCCACAGCCAGATGTCCACTGCAGGCTCTGCCCTCACCCTCGTGCCCACAGCCAGGTATCTGCACAGCAGGCTCTGCCCTCACCCTCCCCTCATGCCCACAGCCAGGTGTCCACAGCAGACTCTGCCCTCACCCCCGGGACCATGGCCAGGGCCGTCATTTGTTCCAGGACAGAGGGCTCCCTAACCCACAGAATGATCAGGGGTCAAGGAAGCAGCAGATGTGGCAAAGAGGGTCTGACCCTAGAGAGGCCTGAATTCCCGTCACAACCCGACCACCCATAAGCCAAAGCTTCCTTCTCTGAAGGGAACAGACAGCAGCTGCCACTGTGCAGGGTTCTGCAGGAACGGACGGGGACAGGATCGGAAGGTATGCTTATAGACGAGTCCATAGGAACTCCAGAAAATATCACTTCCTTCCCACATATTCTTGCAGGAAAGAAGAAAAAACCCTAACCATATATTTCCAATATTGTTTATCTTTGCCCAAAACAGTCTAAGAAGCTACAGAAAGATCGAGGGGAAAGGGGGAAGTTATGTTTTCAATCAGGAATGTGAAATGCTGACTGATCTTTTTCAAACTGTTGGTTATCAACATTTCTTCATCTTAAGAAATTTTTTTTTTAATTTTTCATTTTGAAATAATTTCAGACATATAGAAAAGTTACAAAAGCAGTACAGGGAATTCCTACATACTCTTTACCCTGATTTCCCAAACCCTGACATTTTATGTTCACGATTCTTTCTCTGTCTTTCATGTAATTTTTTTCAGAGCCACATGAGACTACATTGCAGGCATAATAGCCCTTCACATAATAAATGATTCATTATGTGCTTACTAAAACCAATGGCATTTTCATAATAATCACAATATGATGATCAAAATCTTGAAATACTAGTACTTCACTGACAAACCTTATTCACATTTTGCCAATTGTTCCACTCTTGTGTTTTATAGGAAATGAAAAAACAAAACTCAGCACAAAACCACACGTTGCACTTGTGACATCTCTAGTTTTATTTAACCTGGAACCATTTATCAGTCTTTCTCATCTCTAGTGAGAATTTTTCCCTTTACAAATCATAAGAAGAAAAGAACCGGATCATGAGAGTCCCTCCTATGAATTATTCACAGTGTGTGAAAATCCAAAGGTTATGAACTTCAGAGAACATTTGTCACCCTTTTCTATTTCAGAACACACGTGGCTGCTGGACTGCATGTGTGTTTATGGACTTTGGTCAGGAAAGTGTCTAGAGGCCAAAGGTGAGAGGGAAAAGGTGAAAAGGAAAAGGTTTGTCGACAAAAACATCAGACACTTGCTCTTCCTCCAAGATCCTAGCCAACTCACAGGAATGCCACGAGGTCTTACAGTACATGTTTGTGCTGCAATATTTCCTAGAAGGGAATATTTCCACTGATAACAGAACATTCCTCAAATAAAAGAAAGATTAACAAATAAAACGTACATGAGGCAAACATTCCTCCGTTTCCTTCCAGCCATGGGGACCAAACATCCCCTCGGTTACTCCTCTTGACAAGACAGAGGCCAAATGAATTCCAGCAAAAGGACTCAAAATTGCGGGTTTTACATACATTATGTTGTTTCATTGAGAGTCCAAAAAATGAAGATCAAGGATGTCATAAGACTCCAAAGATTTTTAAAGAAAAACCAAGTGGGGCCCTTTTTCCTGTGCCAACGCCCACCACTGTGTTTCAGCAGCCCAGTAAGAAGGGCTGGGAGCCAGGGCGTGGCCACCAGGACGACGGGAAGGGCTTTAATCAGAAACTCAGAATGGGCTGGCAAGGGTTCCAGAGAACAAATGAAATTCAAATGGAAGTAAGGAACCAAGCTTCCCGGGAGCCAAATGTCCCAGCTCTCACTGCAGGAAGAACATCATGACAAGTGGCAGTGCCTAAAAATAACGGCCGAGATACCTGGGATTCTTAACAGAAGGGCCAGGAATCCCAGATCCCAGGGTAGCCAGGGAATTTAAGAAGGAATCACAGGCGGCTTTTTCTAGAACATGTTCCTGATGCTTTTTCCAGAGCCAGGAGGCGGGAGAGGCAGAGCGCTCTTGTTCTCACCCTCGCGTGAAACGCCCCTGCCATTGCCTGCTCCCTCAGCGTGGGAGACCCCAGACACCAGGGTGTGGACATAACTGGAAACCACTTCTTCAGAAACACAACTGGCCCGTGTCAGCTGCACACGCTGCTCCTCAGCCCTCAGACACCCGCCTGTCCCAGGACCAAGATCCAGGAGCAAGATTCAGTAGGGCAGTGGCCTCAGTGCCTGGACTTCAGCTGACGGCTTTCTCACACATACCTCCTACCTACACATGCGTTTCTATTCAGCTGCAAAAAAAAAAATCCTCCCTTTTACTGCCCCCACCTCGGGAAATCATTTGACGAAGACAATTCTGTGATTATGTCATCTTCACTGGGGATTTAAGGAAACCCAGAAGAATGGATCTGAGCCCCCAAACCTCTGCCCTTCCCCTGCCTCCCTCCCCACTCATCTCCAGAACAACCCACAGAGTCCTCCCAATTCATGCAGTTCCAGAGGGATTTCCATGAGCAAGGCGCCTCCCTCCCATTACATAATAAACGGGATGTAAATCTGAGTTCCCTGGTTTTCACTGTTCACAGGACAGCCTCTGCACCACGGCCTGGCACACTGGTGTGGCTCCCACAGCTCTGGAAGACAGCGGGAGGAAGTCTCTGCAGTGTGGGGTCTCCATGAGGCTCCCAATCCCCGCACACCTGCACCTGCTCTTGGTGTCTGGCCCACAGCCTGTGTCCCACACCCAACGTGGCGGCAAGCCCAGGACGCACCTGCCCTCTCTGCATCTCCAGGTAGTCTTTGCAGGTTTCCTCCACTAACTAGAATATCTCTGTCTGCCTGGCAATCTATTGTAAAAGACTCAGCATTGAAGTCCCCTCCTCGGACCTTTTCTGCAGAGAACCCTCTCACCCCCTGGCTTCTGATGCAGTGTTGTTACATCATGCTGTGTGTGCCTGGAGTCCCTGGTGTGCACCCCAGCACAGGAACTCTTCGTTCATGTTACTGTCTCTCTGTAGGACACAATAATTTCCCCTAAAGCAGAGACAACATTGCATTTGTCTTTAAACGCTGGTGGCCGGCAGAGCAGGTGGATCGTGCACTGATTCCATGACCACATGATCAACCAAGAGGAGAACAAACTGGATTCCACGTCTTGCCTTTGCTTCCTCCAGGAAGGCAAGGGGCTGCGTAGCCCTGGGTTCTACAGTGAGTCACTCACTTTTCTAAGGTCTGCAAAAAGGAGAGGCCAGGGTCGCCAGGTCTGAGTCAGAATTCTCAGCCTTCAACCCGATGCAAACACATCAGTGTGGCCTGTCTCAGACTGACAGGCACAAGAAAATCATGAATCAGGATGAGCAGGTGCACCAACTCACTCCTCCCAGAGACACAACACAGAAAATTAGAACTGCAATGGCAGGAAGAAAAAAATACACATTTCTGAGGTGAAAAAACAAAGCCAGAGACCAAAGTAATTTCTATAGTGCCCAATACATTTCAATTCCATCCTGCACTAATGTGTCCATTCTTGGTAACTCAAATTAAAGTGGAAATGACTTGTACTATAAATCATGGAAACCAAGATCAATATTTCCTTCTAAGTATAATTAGACTGCAGCCCTCATTGTTGCCGGGAACTCTCAACCAAAGCCAGGCAAACACTGCTTGAGTACCGCGGTGTGGGATGTTTAGAGGGGGAATGGGGTGTGTGTGGGATGTTTAGAGGGGGAATGGTGGGGGGTGTGGGATGTTTACAGGGGGAATGGCGGGGGGTGTGGGATGTTTAGAGGGGGAATGGCGGGGGGTGTGGGATGTTTAGAGGGGGAATGGCGGGGTGTGTGGGATGTTTAGAGGGGGAATGGGGGGGTCTGGGATGTTTAGAGGGGGAATGGCGGGGTTCTGGGATGTTTAGAGGGGGAATGGCGGGGGGGTCTGGGATGTTTAGAGGGGGAATGGCAGGGGTGTGTGGGATGTTTAGAGTGGGAATGGCGGGGAATCGGGATATTTAGAGGGGGAATGGCAGGGGGGTGTGGGATGTTTAGAGGGGGAATGGCGGGGGTTCTGGGATGTTTAGAGGGGGAATGGCAGCGGGGTGTGGGATGTTTAGAGGGGGAATGGCAGGGGTGTGTGGGATGTTTAGAGTGGGAATGGCGGGGAATCGGGATATTTAGAGGGGGAATGGCAGGGGGGTGTGGGATGTTTAGAGGGGGAATGGCGGGGGGTCTGGGATGTTTAGAGGGGGAATGGCAGCGGGGTGTGGGATGTTTAGAGGGGGAATGGCGGGGGGTCTGGGATGTTTAGAGGGGGAATGGCCGGGGGTTCTGGGATGTTTACAGGGGGAATGGCAGGGGGTCTGGGATGTTTAGAGGGGGAATGGTGGGGGGTCTGGGATGTTTAGAGTGGGAATGGCGGGGGGGGTCTTCATCTTTCCAGAGAAACCTTGAGCAGTGTGTTGCAGCCAAAACTGCCTGAAAAGCCGTCCGGCCCACCCTGCCCCTACCCTGGTGTAAGCCCAGACCACCCACTTACGGCCTCAGTGCTCCTGTTTCCTCCTCTGTGAAATCAGGCTTCGCAACAGAAAATCCTCGAGTCCCTTCTAACTCGAAGGCTCTGTGAATCTTCTGGTTCTTCCTGCATCGAGGGCAGCGATTCCCACCTATTTCCTCCACATGTGGACACCTTGCGCCTGACCCGGGGTGCAAGGCAAAGGGCAGAGGAGGACCTGTCCAGTATCACCAAGTTCTTCCCCTGTGCTTTATTTTTTTTTATTCCTCTAAATCAAAAACCTTATGCTGTCTTCTGAGTGCATCCCACCCTTCACAGATGCCTTTGCAAGGTGTCAAGTACCCAGTCCCCGCCAGCATCACCCGTGTTGTCACCACAAGAATCAAACAGGCACCTGAGCACCAAGCTGGGGACCTGTTCCTCATTCCTCTTCCATGAAGCCTGGGATACACTAAGGGCACAGTAAATCCACGTCCAGGACACCTACTGAACACATTCTCGACCTCCGTAAATCCCCGACCAGGACACCTAGTGAACGCAAACTCGACCTCCGTAATCCCTGTCCAGGATGCCTAGTGAACACACACTCAACCTCGGTAAACCGTGTCCAGGACACCTAGTGAACGCAAACTCGACCTCAGGGAATCATGTCCAGGAAAATCTCGTAAATCTGCGTCCATGAGGCCTACTGAATATGAACTCAGCCTCAGTACATCCGTGTCTATGACATGACCAGAAATTCTCCTAGGAGGTGGCTTCAGGCTGGCGCCCTCCCCAGTCACAGGACCTGCCACAAAGACCATGAGACCCTCAGCCCTGGGCAGGGAACTCTGGTCCCGTTCTCCCGGGACCCCATGGCTGGCCGGCATCCCTTCTACTGCACACACGTGCTTCCCTCTGCTCTGCTATGGAATTCAAGTGTGTCCCATGGCATCTGATGGGCCTGGCACTGCTCTGCCCCTTCAGGGGAACTTGTGCATCTGTGTGCTGGTCCTTTGTGGGGTTTTTTTGTTTGTTTTTTGCAATTTAGCTCTCTGAACTCTGCCCTTTTTTTCTCATTATATACTTCTTGAGAAATTTCTAACTATAATCTCCAGGAACGACCAAGAACAGTAATTCCCAACTCTAACCCCATACTCCAAATCTCCTTCCTGCTCCATACATCCCAAGACCTCTGTCCCTCCCTGGTGTGTCTGGCTTGACACGTTTGTATGACAGCCGACAACAACCCCATACCCTACCCCACGGTGCTGGGCCCCACGATTCTCCTGTTAAGAACAGAATTGTTACGATTATGTCTGATCTATGAGGACACTGAGGCTCGGAGGCGTTAAGTGCCCTCTCTGGGTGAGGGACACACGCGGAGGACTTTGAACTTTAAGGACCTCAAAATCAGCCACCTGCTCAAAGCACATTCCTGACGTGAACAATTCCACCCTGAGACCTTTGGTGTGTGCCGCGTATGCTCAGGTAGACCCAAGAGCCTTGGGGACCAGAACGTTTTAAACACACCCCCACAAAGTGCTACAGTCACGGTCATTTTTAGTCATTGAATCAACATGTTCAAGTAAGAAAACAGTCGCCACAGAAGCTTCAAGAAAATCCCCATAGGCTCATCACTGTCCTCCATCAACATGAATCCCCCATAATGGATCATGTTCTATAAACAGCGTTCTTACCTTTGTAGGAGTTTTCCTGAACACTCCCCATCTGACACATCATCACCAGCTTCACCTTCATGTAATTACAATCGATTAGTTTGCTCCGAAGTCTTTTACCATCCCGGCCACTGGGGCCCTCCCACGAGGATCTCTCCCACATCGGCTCCTCCAGGCCTCCAGTCCCCGGCTCTGAGCTCTTTCTCTTTCTCGGCGGGGGGTCCTCTGGCCCCGGCTTTTCCTGGCTTCCCCCCACGCTGTCCCCACCCCCACAGCGCAGAGGCATTTAATCCGGCTCAGGGAACACCTGGAACGCCTACGAGGCTCGCTCCGCTCCTGCCACGCAGTGCTGTGAGCCCCACCAGGATTATTACACAACTGCAGCCGTCCTTGCCGGAGGAGGGCAGCTCCGCTGTGTGACGGCTCCTGTGGGTGCGGCCAGCTCTGTGTGCCAGCACCCTCATCCTTCCTCCTGGCTCACTCAGTTTAGCTCCACATGGCTCAGCTGCTGCCAGCCCCTCGGCGGCCACCCACGGCTGCCGCACACCCCCTTCAGCTCATGCCCTGGCCACGGCCGCCCAGGCGGTTCCAGAGAGCAGCTCCCTGTGCCACCCGGTGAAACCTGCCGCTCTCCTCCCAGCAGGAGCAGAGCCCACTGTGCCCTCCAGGAGCCAGGAGAGCAATGGGCACAGATTCTGCTTGTTTTCAGGGTTCCTGGGATCTGTTTACTCAGGTGCGGTGAGACACAGAGACAGAAATTACCATCGTGGATGGAGCAGTGGAAACACACAGACCCCCGACCTGGAGGCAGGGCCTGCCACAGGGCCAGGGCCACACAGGTGCACTGGGAAGGCCAGGAGGTGTGAGGGGGGTGGCCAACACGGGGAGCCCTCACTGGGATCTGGGAAGGAAGAACGGGAAAGCAGGGCCAGCAGGCTTAGGCCTGGCCAGGCTGAATGGTCCCAGGGCTCTGGGCTGTCAGCAGTCAGGAGCATGAGAGCCCACGGAGGGAGTGGTGGGCGTGGGCTCTGGAAGTCGGCTTCATGTACAGGCACGACCACAGGCGAGCCGCTCACTGTCCCCAGGAACCGGCCAGCCCAGGAAAAGCCATCCCTCCCAAGTCAGCGAGGCCCAGACATGAAAGCGTCAGAACACGGAAAATTGACAGCATGGCTAAGACCTGCTCTGTGCCCCCGAGCGGCCCGGAGCCCAAGTGAGTTACTCACTGAGTAATGGCAGTGTGATGTGTTCATTCTCCATGACATATCCGCTCCTCCTGTGAGCGCAACCCCATTCAGTAGGGCGGGAAAACCCTGAATTAATTAATTAAAATACATTTTATTATGCAACGCCCCTGCCTGCCTTTGAACTGGAACACCACATTTTTTCCTGCCTTCATGCTAGAATGGACACATGGGCTCTTCCTGGGCCTTCAGCTGGCTGAGCAGATCTCAGACTCGTCAGCCTCATAACCACATGAGCCAATTCCTTTTAACAAATCTCCTTCTATTCACACAGATATACATGATGAGATTTATATATATAAGCATGGGGTCTACATATGTGTAAACAAATACACCCACATATATCCAACGACTTCCACTTCTCTGGAGGGCCCTAATACACCTGCAAAGCCCACAGGGTTACTCCGTCCACAATGTGGACATCCAAGCTGTGCTAATACACTCTCTCCGCACCCATCCACAAGGCTGCCCCCCAAGTCATGGATTCCTGGACCACCACAAATCCAGCCCTGTCCAGCCTCCACACAGAACACCATCCTTCCGTGAGGTAACTTCAGCCCAGAGACAACCATTCACATTTCATATATGTATATGAAACAAGCTGAGCTGGGAGGATCGCTTAAGCCCTAGAATTCAAGACCAGCCTCGGCAACATAAGGAGACACCCCCTCTACAAAAAAAACATTATAATTAAAAAATAAAAATTAGCTGAGCAAGGTGGTGTGCACCTGTCGTCCCAGCTACTTTGGAGATTGAGATGGGAGGATAGCTTGAGCCCAGAAGGCCACTGCACACCAGCTTGAGTGACAAAATAAGATTTCTTCTCTAAAAGCAATCATACCCAAAACACTCCAAGTGGCCATCACCCACGCGCACCTACACTTTCACCATTATCAACATAATTATCAATACACTTTAACCATTATCAACATAATTATCAATACATCTTCACCATTATCAACTATCAATACACCAATAGCAAGCAATCACCCACACGTGCCTACACTTTCACCATTATCAACATAATTATCAATATATTAATAGCAAGCAGGCCTTCACAACGTCTGGATTTAGTAAGAATAACCTGGATTGGCCAGGCGCGGTGGCTCATGCTGGCAATCCCAGCACTTTGGGAGGCCAAGGCAGGTGGATCACCTGAGATCGGGAGTTTAAGAACAGCCTAACCAACACAGAGAAACCCCATGTATCTACTAAAAATACAAAAAAATAGCCAGGCATGGTGGTGCATGCCTGTAATCCCAGCTACTCAGGAGGCTGAGGCAGGAAAATCCCTTGAATCCAGGAGGTGGAGGTTGCAGTGACCAGAGATCGCGCCATTGCACTCCAGCCTGGGCAACGAGCAAAACTCCGTCTCAAAAAGAAAGAAAGAAAAAAAAAAAAGAATAACCGGGATAAGCATGCAGTGCCAGCTTCCCGAAGTTTCTGAAATGTGCCTCTGTAAATTCACGTCCTGCACCTCGGCAAGGCCAGCACTAAACTTCACCGGGCTTACAGTCCTGCCCTAACAGTCACCACACAACAGGACCCCACAACATTGTCCCTCCCCATCCACCCCACCCAACGTCCAAGCCCAGGGCTCCGAGAGGATCTGGCCCCAACATCTGCTAACCTGCTGTCGGTACTGCCCTCTCGCCTCCAAAAACGTGAGCCGGAGGACAGAGATGGCCTCACTGTCTTCTACCCACATCACCTAGGAAGGGCCAGTATCTCTGGGATTGACTGAATTAACGTCACCTCCTTCAAGACATAATCAGCAGTGGCTGTGAGGGACGTAGCTGGTGTTGCTCCCAAGTGGAGACCCTAAAATGGACTAGAAACTGAAAACCAGAGACATCTTTCCATGAAGCTCCCTCCAAACGTGCACTTCTCATGTTTATAGGCTCCTATCTACAGCCATCAATACGCAATGGATGCTGTCATGTGACATTCATCAGTAACTACGGAATTCAAAGCAATGTTAACAGCATCATTGATTTAACTTAAGAACATTAAGCTGGATCCCTCTCTTCAGAAGATAATTTCTGTTTGAGCTGACCCTGAAATCACTCACAGGCCATTTCTGCCTGCCACACAGCAGCTAAATTACTTGAGTGTGCATCTCATAAACTTTAGACCTTTGGCAGTCTTTGATTGTTTAATTATTTTAAAAGCCAGCGTCTGAGACATTTTCCCTTAATTAGTTACGCTTTCCTCCTACATTATTTCTCCAGGAACAGACCCCTGACATCTGATACAAGCACAGGTTCAATTCAGTTCAAATTAAACGCTTCCACTGACTGTCCCCTATGCACCAAGCTCAGAGGGGTCTCTAAACTGGTAAAATGCAATCCTGATTCCCAAGGAATTCTACGCCATACCCTTAAAAAGATACACTTAAACGTCACCCCCTGTTTCCTTCTTAGCGAATATCCTAACTAGTTATGTCAACTTCAGGAACTGTAGCTTTTTCATTCTGAATGCAGGGTTAAGCATATTGGCATCTCCAGCTCCTGGGCGGAAGGTAATTAAAATGGAGGGTCAGAGCGGCATCAGCACTCACACCCATGCCCTCGTGGGCATCACAATCCATCAAGGCAGTGGCCCCTCAGAGTCTTCCTCCACGCATTCCTAGGGAAAGACACTGTCATGGGACGTGACACAGGAGAGAAAGCTTATCTGCCAAGACTGACACAGACCAGCCGTCTCATTTACAGACATTATGACACAGCCCAGATAACCTGTGGTTTGCTACCTAACACAGGAGAGAAAGCCTGTCCGCCAAGACTGACACAGACCACCCGTCTCATTCACAGACATTATGACACAGCCCGGATAACCTGTGGTTTGCTACCTAGTAACTTGTTCCGTAGTAACTTGCTGCAGTCAGGGAACACCCACCCGGGGTTTGACATAGCTTTTAACATGGTAGCAAAATCAACACACACCCGAGTGTGATACAGAGTAATGCACTCCATGGTAACAAGCATCCATCAGAGCCCAGGGCTTGCAATTCCCAGCCCTGGGCACCTCCCTCTATATTCCAAAACTCCTGGTCTCATTTCCCCTCAAGAAACATTTTATTTTCTTTCATTATTTGTGCATCAGTGCTTAAGATGCCTGCACATTAACCCCAACTCACACCTGAGAGAACAGTGGCCATAAATCAAGTCTCTCCAATTTGATTTATGTGCCACCTGAATACCTGTTTAGCAATGAAACTGCCACTGCTAAATAAGCAAAGCTTTGCTGGAAAGATCAATCACTGTCTTTATCTGACACTTCTGTTTAAAGGGAGGGTATTAAAATACATAGTAAAACTATTTCTATTAGATATGGTTCATGGTTGCAAATAATCAAAGCTTCTCAGAACACAATGCACACTCCCACAAAACCATCCCAGAATAAGGTGCTGCTTAGAAATAATTTTAATTTATTTTAAACCCAACAAACAACAGTTTTCATCAAAGATGAAGTAAGTCATAGTTTTAAAAACCTTTCCCCTTTAGTGCAGAGTCTTCTTTTCAATAAAATGCCTTCCTGGAATTACTTTTAAATTTTGGGGGCAAATATTAAAACTGTCTTCCATCTCGAAATAAGAAATTCGGCATGACTTGAATAACCTCAGGGATTCATTTTCCCTCCGGAGGGGTCCGCTGTCCCTTTACCGCAATTAGCACCTCTCTCTCTCAGAATAAAGTGAGCAGGACTCATCCCATAGAGATACGGTTAATGGGTTAGAGAAGAGAGAAGGCTTCCACTTCCAGCTTAAAGTATTATCTGGCTCACACCCTTACACAGCCTCCACCAACTTCCATGAAAACACCAAAAACTCGGCGCCTCTGAAAACAAGGACAGATCGTCATTTGCTGCAAGAAACAAGGAGCCGTTTCTCCCAGGAAAGTGGCGCCAACTGCGCACACGGCACCTGCCCAGCTGTGCCACACCCGGGCCAGCATGCCACACACCTGTGTCCCACCCAGATATTTGCCGTTTCAGAAATGCAGCCTGCAGCCGGCTCCCACCCATAGGATAAGGCTGACATCACCCCAGAAGCAGCTGTCCAGTTCTTCTGCCCGAACGTCTCGCCGTCCACTGGAAGATGCACGTTCTCAGAGGAGAGCAGAGACCAGCGGTGGGTGAGGACCCTGGCCCGGCTCCCTTGGCTGGCCAAGACCAAGAGCAGAAGAGCCAGGACGTGGCCAGTGGCTCAATGGGAGGCGGCCCGACAGGACTGGCAGTGGGAAGCCTGCTCTGAGCAGCGCAGCCACCTGGGTGGAGGATGGCTGGGTGGCAGTAGCCGTGACAGGTACAGAACAGCATCTGTAACAGCTGCGCTGCCAGCGGAGGAGTTTCCAGGGTCCTCCAGGCAGAAGGGACACGGGACCAGGACAATCCCACAGACTGTCTATGGGAAATGCCAGTGAAAGGGAGGTCTCCTCCCGTTCCGGGATGCATGGGTCATGTGAAAGCACGTGGCCACGTGGCCACAGAAATGCTCATAGACGTGCATCCACACTCAACACTGCAATAGGGAGGTCGGGTCTGTGGACACGTGGACACAGAAATGGCCATAGACGCACATCCCCACTCAACACTGCAACAGGGAGGTCGGGTCTGTGGACACGTGGACACAGAAATGGCCATAGACACGCATCCACACTCAACACTGCAACAGGGAGGACGGGTCTGACCAACATTTAAACCCTGAGCCCAGGAAAGTGTGCGCCACGGAAATCAGGGGAAACAAGTCTAAAGAGCCATCTAGTCTTGGGAAAAAAAGTTATAAAAAAGATTCCTAGGACTATAAACAAAAAAGGAAGAAAAGGGCCTGAGATGAAATCTCGCAGAAGGAGATGGAGATGGTGAGTTAAAGAAGGAAGACAAGGCAAGGATTAAATCTGCATCAAGTTGCGAAGTTACAAAGAGTGAAATGTACACTTAGGTAAACCTGTGATGTGGAAGATGGAGCTGCAGGTGGAAGGTTTCCAAGAGCACCCGGGGAATGAATGATAGGCAGTAACAAAAACGAGGGAAAGTGGGGTGAGGACCAGGATTCAGCTCATCCTGCCAAGTGCTCAGCATGAAGCAAGCACACAGTAAACCCGGCCCTCATCCTCACAGAGTTTTTCGGGCAAAGTGTATCTGAAAATCATTTTTGCAATTATTTTTATTTATTTTTTTTTATATCTTTTGAGACAGGGTTCCGCTCTGTCACCCAGGCTGGTGTGCAGTCCCGCTCTGTCGCCCAGGCTGGGCAGATTGCCCAAGCACGATCATGGTTCACTGCAGCCTCTGCCTCCTGGGCTAAAGCACTCCTTGTACCTCAGCCTCCTGAGTAGCTAGGACTACAGGCGGGCACCACCACACCTGGCTAATTGTTTTTAGTAGAGATGGGGTCTCACCATGTTGCCCAGGCTGGTCTCAAACTCCTGAGCTCAAGCAATCCACTCACCTCTGCCTGCCAAAGTGCTGGGATTACAGGCATCAGCCACTGTGCCTGCTGAATTGTTTTTAGATTTGCTTATTGTTATTATGCACCCAGGATTCACAAAGCAGGCCTGAAA
This sequence comes from Homo sapiens, assembly GCF_000001405.40. NCBI lineage: Eukaryota > Metazoa > Chordata > Mammalia > Primates > Hominidae > Homo > Homo sapiens. The sequence goes on along the minus strand of NC_000008.11, from coordinate 920,412 downwards.
CTCTGCTCCGTAGAAAGGGAAGCTTCTACAGTCCTTGAACCTGGGAATGTGGATTTGGGGGCTATTCCCTGATAACAGGGGCTTCCTGTGCCTAAACTGTGCAAACATATGGTTTATACCACACACCTGCTGTCCTGCTGGGAGCCCAGAATTTGGGTAAGTGCCAGGCAGGGGTGCCTCTGTGGGCAGAGCCCAGCACGACCCTGGGCACCATGTCTCTCACAAGCTTCCTGTTGGATGACATGCGTGGTCACAGCCTGATGTGTGTCCCCTCCTGGGACTCTGTGGGGAGCAGCTCTGGAAGCTTCCACCTGGTTTCCCTGGACCTCTCTCCTCCACCTTCTCGCTCTGCTGACCATGCTCCGCGTGCTTTCTCTGTAACAAATCATGGCCATCCTGCTGGGCATGAGCTCCAGGAGTCCTCCCAGTGAATCGCTGAGTGGGGGTGCTCCTGGGGACCCCAATGCTAGTTATAGACATGGGGTGGAAGGGAGTTATTAAAACTGCTACCCAGGTTTCAAAGACATTTCCATTTTAAAGGCATTTCTTAGTAAAGGGAAAGATTTCAGTAGTGAGGAAATGGAAGAAAATATTCCAGACACCACAGAGAGCACAGCCACATGGCAGAGCCTTCTGTGTCCTGCAGAGGAAAGAGAGGCGGGTGGTGGCGAGCACGGCCCAGCAGCTCACACCCCATGCAGGCTGGTCTTTCTGACCATCTTCCCTGGTGCAGTTTCCTCCAGGGACTTGCTGCTTCTCGGCCGGACGGATCCCGGGCACACCGGGGCCCCATCCTGTACTGGCGCAGCCTCTCCTATTCTCAGGACCCCAGTGTGAACAGTGGACTCTATTCTCAAGGCCAACCTGATGTTAACTGGGTGGATGGTGGCAGCAAATGAACACTGCCCAGCAGGACTTGCCTTTCCTTGGAGCTCATCAGCAGTGGGGGAGCTCATCAGCAGGGGGGACTCACAGACTCCACCAGCTTCCCTTCCCCACTCACGCTGCCCAAAACCTAGTACTTTAGGCAAACAAGAAAGACTGAGAACATCAGAAAGCACAAGCATCCTGCCCGTCGCGGCCTGATGTCGGCAGCTCTGTCTCAGCTACCCCAGCACCATGAGGGCACCTAGGACAGGACGGCTGTTTTTCCTTCCTACCAGTCCTACCATATTATGTGCACAACTCCTTCCTAATACATTAAACCAGTTTCAATTACAATGTCAAGTCTTTCCATTTCGGGTCAAATAATAATGTATTTTTAGATGCCAAGTACTTTTTACTCTCAAAATAGAGCAAAGCTTTTTGGCCAGACACAGTAGCTGATGCTTATAATCCATGCACTTTGGGAGGCCAAGAAGGGAGGATCACTTGAGCCCAGGAACTTGAGGCTGCAGTGAGTTCTGATCGCACCACTGCACTCCAGCCTGGGCAACACAGTGAGACCCTGTTTCAAAATAAACAAACAACAACAGCAACAAAAAACCCTACAGCACTGAAAGCTCAGTCTTCAGATTTGAATGTTTAAAAAATAATGTTTAGATCTTTCCAATAACTCAAAAAATATGCTTTGATGTCTCCAATAGCTCATAACTATATCAGTTTGTCTTCAATTCAAGCTAGTTTGTCTTACCCGTATATGTCTACGTGCCTCTATGTCTAAAAAGCTATAAAAGAAAAGGATGGAACAACATTATCTTAGTTAAGAACTTAAGTTGAATAACAGGGTGGGTTAACACAATTGTCTTCCCAGAAACAAATCCACAGCAACTCGTATTTTATCCACAAGGTATCACCACAGTCTTGTTCACAAAGACAACAACACAGAAGACTGCGGTGAACACCAAGTACACCTGTTCAGGATCGATGCAGACACAGCGGGGCACAGACACAGCGTGGCACAGACACAGCCGTGCCTGTCTCACTGTCTTTCACTAAGAATCACACTGTACCCAGTCTACACAATCAGAAAACAGTCTAGAACTAAACGTGCATGGTTATAAAAGCCCATCTAAGCGACACAGGTTGTCAGACGACTGGTAAACCCTAATTCTACGAATGGCTTAAAAACAAATTACCAACACTCACCATTTTAAGGGGCCTTGACTGGCTGAAACCAAATAACAGAGGCATATTTTAAAACAGGAGGCTTAAATCTAAAATGTTTTGAATTTCCAGTAAGTGCATGCACAAACACACATTTCCATGCCCCAGTCTCCTGCACACAGACCCACACAGACCAGAAAGAATGCCTTCGGAATTCAGACGAGGTTGAGATTCCAGAGCTGGGGAAGGCACAAAACTTAGGTAAATTCACTTAGATTTTACACCCGTAGCTCCCAAATTGCAGGGCTGAATATCTTCAGCTGCTCACATCATCCACAGCCCTAGACATGCAACCTACCAAATAATTTGTCTCTGCACTCTACAAATTAATCATTACATATCTCAGAAAGTCATGAGGCAGTCTCATTGTCATCCAGCTTGTATTTATTCATTTTGATCAACTTTACCTCACAAAAGAATACTCTGGAGGCCGGGCGCAGTAGCTCACGCCTGTAATCCCAGCACTCTAGGAGGCCGAGGCAGGCGGATCCCGAGGTCAGGAGATTGAGACCATCCTGGCCAACACGGTGAAACCCAATCTCTACTAAAAATACAAAAATCAGCCAGGCGTGGTGGCACACCCCTGTAATCCCAGCTACTCAGGAGGCTGAGGCAGGAGAATGATTTGAACCTGGGAGGTGGAGTTTGCAATGAGCTGAGATCGCACCACTGCACTCCAGCCTGGCAACAGAGCGAGACCCTGTCTCAGCAACAACAAAAGAATATTCTGGAGACGCTGTCCAGTAACAACAATAACAAAAGAGAATCAGTCTGGGTGCAGTAGCTCGCACCTGTAATTCCAGCACTTTGGGAGGCCAAGGCAGGAGCACAGCTTGAGCCCAGGAGTTCGAGAGCAGCCTGGGGATTATAGGGAGACTTCACCTCTATAAAAATTCAAAAATTAGCTGGGTGTGGTGGCGCACACCTGTAGTCTCAGCTACTTGAGGGGCTGAGGTGGAAAGATTGTTTGTGCCTGAGAAGTGGAGGTTCTAGTGAACTGTGGTTGCACCACTGCACTCCAGCCTGGGTGATGGAGTGAGACTGTCAGGAAGAAAGGAAGGAAGGAAGGAAGGAAGGGAGGGAGGGAGGGATGGAGGGAGGGAGGGAACAATACTGATGTCCAAACCTTAGTGGGTAAAATAGGCAAAAGGGGTGACTCAACAGTCGCTTTACTATCCCCGGCCCTTCACTCCTGAAAATGTATGTGCTTCACTGGTGTTTTACTTTGAAGCAGGACAAGCTATGAAAAAGCAGTGGCTCCACAAGCTTCCTGCCTCTCACACCTTCTTCTCTTCCCAGGAAGGGGCAAACCCTAGAGAGGAGGCCCTTCCAGTCCTGAGGAAGGCTATGGCCCAGGCTGTCCCCACAAGAGGCTGAGCCCTGGGTGTGCCCTCCCGGGCATCAGTGCCAGGATCATCTTGGTCTCAACGCAGCTCTCTAGGAGCTCAACTCCAGGCTTCCAGACCAAATTCCCAAACCAAGATGCACGATCCGGCTGCTTGATCAACATTTTCACTTCCACTGCCCAACAAATCAGCCATTTGCCTTGAAATCACAACAAGTGGGTGACTTGGGTGCCCCTCTGCATTGACACTGGAGAAGCCTGGATTGAGTTTCTTTTTTTTAAATTTATTTTCTTTAATTTTTTTTATTATACTTTAAGTTCTAGGGTACATGTGCACAACGTGCAGGTTTGTTACATATGTATACATGTGCCATGTTGGTGTGCTGCACCCATTAACTCATCATTTACATTAGGTATTTCTCCTAATGCTATCCCTCAACAGGCCCCGGTGTGTGATGTTCCCCTTCCTGTGTCCAACTGTTCTCATTGTTCAATTCCCACTTATCAGTGAGAACATGTGGTGTTTGGTTTTTTGTCCTTGCAATAGTTGCTGAGAATGATGGTTTCCAGCTTCATCCACGTCCCTAAAAAGGACAAGAACTCATCATTTTTTATGGCTGCATAGTATTCCATGGTGCATATGTGCCACATTTTCTTAATCCGATGGTTTCATGAGTGACATCAGCATTGGTGTCAACCTTGGGTTTTGTCATCAATTTCATGTATATATGTAGCTTGTCTTACACTGGAAAGACTTTAAGGTAACCTACAAATACGTGGGTGGGAAAACTGGGGTGGATAGGAAAAGAGAGTGCGGAGCGTCTACAGTGAGGAGGACTCATGGTTAACACAGATGGAAACCACGCCCTGGGACAGATGGACGGACGGGTGAACTGACGGACAGACAGAAAAAAGAGAGTGCAGAGAGTCTACAATGAGGAGGACTCATGGTTAACACACACAGAAACCACGCCCTGGGACAGATGGACGGACGGGTGAACTGACGGACGGGCAGAAAAAAGAGAGTGCGGAGAGTGTACAATGAGGAGGACTCATGGTTAACACACACGGAAACCATGCCCTGGGACAGATGGACGGACGGGTGAACTGATGGACGGACACAAAAAAGAGAGTGGGGAGAGTCTACAATGAGGAGGACTCATGGTTAACACACACGGAAACCACGCCCTGGGACAGATGGACAGACGGGTGAACTGACGGACGGACAGAGAGATGAATAGATGGGGAGATTTAACAAATGACCACACATTTGTTTCATTTTCCAAAAGCTAAGGCAAACGCATGACCAGCCGTGTGATTCGGGAATTCCAGGGGAGTGGGTGGCGGCTGTGGCAGGTGCCACCGAGACTCTGACAACAGTCTCATTCCAGCGATGGGTTTCTTTTTTTTTTTTAGAGATGGAGTCTTGCTCTGTCGCCCAGGCTGGAGTGCAGTGGTGCGATCTCGGCTCACTGCAAGCTCCGCCTCCTGGGCTCACACCATTCTCCTGCCTCAGCCTCCCGAGTAGCTAGGACTACAGGTGCCAGCCACCACGCCCAGCTAATTTTTTGTATTTTTAGTAGAGACCGGGTTTCACCGTGTTAGCCAGGACGGTCCCGATCTCCTGACCTTGTGATCCACCCACCTCGGCCTCCCAAAGCGCTGGGATTACAGGCGTGAGCCACCGCGCCCAGCCCAGTGATGGGTTTCACAGATGTTCCCTCCTCCCAAGGGAGGGCAACGCCACAGCACCACAGCACCATCCACACAGATGCAGGCTGAGTTGCAGAAGACGTCTTCAAGACAGGGCTCTCTCTCAATTTAGGAAGAGATTTCAGAGTCTCCCAATGGGAGGCTTTGCCCGAACCATCCTTCTCTAAGGACCTGGCGTAGACCCTCTCACAGGAACCTGTGGCAGTGTGCCCTGTGTCGATAGTTACACACAAAGTTACAGGATGGTGGAGAGTGGGGTTTGGAGAATCAGAAGATGTGACAGAAATCTACCCTCCTGACACCCCCAAGGATGAATCCTCAGACAAAGCCAAAAATCTCCCAAAAAGTAACTGTAGGTCTATTTCCAGCCCCACAGATCTGCACCACACAGAAAGGTCCCAGGAATTTACACTGGTATATCATTAAAACAGGAGTATCACACACCAGGTTTAGTCATGAACCCTCTCAGCACAGAAGCATCCACAGAACATGCAGCCTTGAGCTATTAAACTTCTTTATGTCTCCACATTAAATTGGCTGTAAACCACAAACCTAGATAAATACGTACATTAACCTGCTCTGGGGTTAATAGGGCCACCATCTATAACCGTGCAATCCTTGCTCTGCACAGAAGTGCCCGGCCCAGAACGGATGGGGGCTGACCCTGCTTCATTTAGAGGCTGCATTTTCCCCAGGGGGTCACATTTTTCCACTCAGCACAAAGACAGCATCCATGCTAGAAGCAAGCCTCATGAAATAAAAGACCTGTGGTCCCAACACTATTGATCCACACCCCCTTGTTCTAGCAGGAATTAAATAGCATGACCAATTTTCTAATAAAGGCATTTCCAGATTATGAAATGAAGTCCTTTCAAGCATATGAGGAACGTGGCTTTTTTTCTCTTTAGCTGGGCAGAGAGAGAGAGGATGCAGGAAAAGAGCGCCCCAGCCCATGGAAGGTGGCGCTGGGTCATTAGAGGCGGGTCACGGGGGAGGCTCCGGGGCATCTGCCTTCGCTTCCTCCCTCCAGCTCAGCCCTGACTTTGCTTTTGCTGTTCTCACTGCGTGAATCACATCGTATGGAATTCTGTTCGCACAACTTGAGTGCTTTTTGGAAAGAGAAAAGGCATTATAAATAATTTTAGTATCTGGGTAAAAAGAAATTTACTTGAAGTATTTGATCTTTCAAAGAAATGAGACCTCATATTTAATCTTGTATGTGTAAATACCACTCCCTGGCCTCCTGAAAACAGGTAACCAATCCACACGTGGAGATTTCCCACTTATTGTGGCAGCAAACCCGTCTGAGGTGCCTGCATGTCTCAGTCCCGGGGCTCCGGGGGCCGTGCCCACAGCCTCCCCATCTTTCGGCTCCCACGTCAGGGTTCCCGGTCCACACCGTGCTGTTCTGCCTCATATGAGACCGGAAAGTCACATGTGGATAATTCAGGACTTATTCAGGGTCATATAGTATCACATACTGACTTAGCGCAAACCTGTATCTGAGGCACAGCTGTGGGACAATGAAGTCACAGGTACCTCTGGATCTGTTTTCTCTTCTGCAAAATGCACACACATTTTCTATCTCACAGCAAAGTTACAGGACTAGTCAAGATGAATGTGAAAGCACCTTATAAACTGGAAAGCATTATAAAAAGGCATGTAACATCTACTATTAGTATAAGCATTCAAAGTAACAATGTCATTGTCTACATAGCTTTAGGAATCCTATGCCACAGAGGTGTGACACTAATGGAGTCAAGACTCATTTCAACATATACGCTCACGCCAAACTCTCACTGCCAGCAGCTATCGCAAACTGTTGTCCTTTGAGACAGGCCCGTAGGAGAGAATGCAAACTTGGCCACTGAGTTTCCTTTATTTGTCCATCATGAAATTAAAAGCTCTTTAAAACCTTTAGCTCCCAAGAAATCTAGGGGATTTACAATTATCAAACAGAACCTTTCCTAACATTTCAACAATGGTGTCCCTCTGCCGTTTTGAACTAAACCTCCAAAGTGCTCCAGTGGCTACTCTGTTTCAACAGCTCTACATGCAGAAACATTAATAAAGTATAATTAGGTCTGCCAACCTGTAGGCTTCCAAAATCCTACCTTGTAATACAAATATACTCAACATCCAAATATAAATCACAAAAAAAATTTGCTCAACCTATGTAAATTTTTAAAAATGAAGCACTCTGTTACAAAGGTTACATTTCAATCCAATATTTCATTTTGCCAATGCACAACTAAACAACTCGCCACCCTGCAGAAAGCACACAGCAACTGCAGCTACTGAGGGGAAAGACCACAGGAAAGTTACACAGAGAGGAAGGCGGGCACCACAGTGCGGGGATCCAGCTCCACAGAGAGGAAGGCGGGCACCGTGGTGCGGGGGTCAGCTCCACAGAGAGGAAGATGGACACTGTGGTGTGGGAAGCCGGCTCCACAGAGAGGAACGTGGGCACCATAGCGCAGGGGTCAGCTCCACAGAGAGGAACGTGGGCACCATAGCGCAGGGGTCAGCTCCACAGAGAGGAAGGCGGGCACCACGGTGCGGGGGTCAGCTCCACAGATAGGAAGATGGACACTGTGGTGTGGGGCTCAGCTCCACAGAGAGGAAGGCGGGCACCACGGAGCAGGAGCCGGCTCCAATGAGCTGGAGACAACTGGTGGCTGCCAAGAACTCACAACTCCATGTCCAGGAACTTCATGGCAGCAGCTTGAAACTGGACCACAGAAATTGGCAAACACTAGAACGAGGCCTCCCCACCCACCCTCTCACTCAGCATCGGAAAGTCAGTTGATAAACGCGGACCAGCACATTGCTGCGGGGACCTGATTTCAGAGTCAGGAGTTTCCATTACGTATTTGCAAATAAGCAACCGTCAGTTCCACAAACACAGGGAAGTCACGTGAAACCTTTCCACCCAACTTTTATACATAACCTGTTTCACAGTCATTTTACATTCATTGTCAATTAGAAACATAATGTATCTCAAAAACCAAACATAGTACTCCCGCATGCTTGATCTGTTTGAGGTTTCATTATTCACTTCTTATTATCAAAGTTTGCATGGGTAATTACTGCTGCCATATTGCAAAATCAATTCATTCTTGAAACTTCTAATTATTCGTGGCAGTAGAATGGGCTGTCTCCTGAAAAACTCAGGATAAAGGCTGTGTGAGGCAGCTAAGCCCGAAGTCAGAACCCCGCCAATTGTGCAGCCTAAAGAAAAGAATGTATTATGCTTACAACTGTGTAACTTAATTTTCCCAAATGTCATTGCAATTCTGAAGTGAAGGTCATTAATAATCAAGGGAAGGAAGCCAGATCATCTAGGAACTGAACAGCTCCCAAAGTTTTCCCTGCTTAGATCTCACTGTCAGGGAAATGTGGATTCAATGGAAGGTGGCTTCTGATGTGTTCTCCAGCATCCTTCCAACATACATTATACACATATCCTTCCAACATTCTCCAGCATCCTTCCAACATTCTCCAGCATCCTTCCAACATACATTATACCCACATCCTTCCAACATTCTCCAACATCCTTCCAACATACATTATATACGCATCCTTCCAACATTCTCCAGCATCCTTCCCACATACATTATACATGCATCCTTCCAACATTCTCCAGCATCCTTCCAACATACATTATACACACATCCTTCCAACATATGTTATACATGCATCCTTCCAACATGTTATACACGTCTTTCCAACATATATTACACACACATCCTTCCAACGTTCTCCAGCATCCTTCCAACATTCTCCAGCATCCTTCCAACATACATTATACAACCATCCTTCCAACATTCTCCAGTATGTTTCCAACATACATTATGCATGCATCTTTCCAACATATGTTATACACATATCCTCCCAATGTACGTTATACATGCGTCCTTCCAACATATACACGCATCCTTCCAAGATTCTCCAGCATCCTTCCAACATACATTACACACGCATCCTAAGAAACAGAATCCATAATGGAAAACGCACCGCTTAGGCCATGTCATCTCTTCACCATGGAGCCAAAGTTCTCACCCCTCCAGTTGGGTCAAAAATACTAAAGCAAGTGTAAGAGGTCTCTGTTGCTAGGAGGAACACCTGGCTATAAAACTTTAGACGGGTTCACTTTGCCCCAGAAAACAGCGACTCGTCATGAAAGGATGTTTGTGAAGAAGTCACTCCTTAAATGAGGATTCCAGCTCCAAGCAGGAATGGGCAGGCGTCTGGGACTATTTTAACTGCACGATGCCTTGAGTTCCACCAGAAACTCGACAGCCCAAGTCCAGCAGCAAGTGGGCCCGCCTTCAGCCCAAATGTGGTGGCGCATCCAGGACACCGCGCCCAAGGCCTGCTCTGCTTGGCGATCCTTTTTATAGCCCGCTAACCAAAAAAAAGGTGCTAAGGACGGAACCCCCTGCAAGGACACCAATCCTAGTAAAAGATGGTGCTGGATTCAAGCCAGAGGCAGCTGCAAAAATCCAGACACCTGAGACGTCCACTCTTCCCTGAGTCACTCCAACTTCCCGTGTATCTCGGCTTCAACGCTCACTCCAGGTAGGTTGCAAACCAAAGGCCTGTGAAAGGCCAATCAGGGGTCACCAAAGCAAGAAAAGGGAAGAATGCTTAGAAATAAAGACAGGCATAAATGTGCTTTGGGTTTTTATTTAAAGGCTTAAAAGTCACATATGTATTCACGTTTGTGCCTTCATGAAAAGGATGGTCTCCTTGGTCGCATTCTCCTCCACCAACAAACACACTTTTCTGAGAACAAGCAGCTGAACAAGACCGTATGGGAAAGTAACCAACGGAATTCCCTCTGACGCTTCACAGCATTGCCTAAAATCATCACAAATAATCAAAATTGCAAGAGAAAACGATAGGATATTTATCTTTCACAAGCAGCCATGTTTAATTCAGAAACATGACATGTATAAAGTTAATGGAGTATAAAGCATTTCTAAAATAAGTAAAAACCAAACGAGAAAAAAGTGATGATTCATCCCAAAGTTAATCTTCTTTCTAATTGTGGTCAAGCACCCGTAATGCAGAATCCGCCATGGTGATGCTGCCTAAGCGCCCAGTTTGGAGCATTCGCTACATTCTCACGGCCGGGCAGCCGTCCCCACCCTCCATCTGCAGAACTCGTTTCGTCTTCCAAAACGGAAACTTGGTGCCCATTCCAAAGTTAATCTCCTTAATGAGAAACTGCGAAAACTCTTCCACAAAACCATTGAGGTAGAAGAAAATTACAGTCGCCCTTACAAGGACCTTTATATGCCACTGAAATGCAAAAGTAATCACCAAGAACCTCCGCTGTGTTGAGGTCTGAAGACATTTCCAAACAAGATCTCCTAAATCATGAAGCAGCTTCGGACATACTGGAGCAAACTATTTGCTAAAAGCTAGAATTCTCCCCATCTTTCCATTCTGCATGGACTTACACTTTTAAGAGTTATAATCTCAACCAACACCTCTCTCTTCTCTGGAGCCACTCCTTCCCTTATCCACACCGAATATTAAAGCCTATGGTCTTCCACAGCTGACATGACAGTGAAACATTCTATACTATAAAAATAATTTTGAGGAAATTGCCCGGCTAATGTCCTCTGCGTTGAGGCCCCAGTGGAAGGCAGCTCTCTTGGTTCTACAGATTGATTACTTGGAGTCTCATGAAAAGTAAATAAAACATCTTCAGTTGGCAATGTTTTCCAAATTAACTTAAAACCATTTACAGAACAAACTGTCAAAAAAAAAAAAGACAAGGAAAATTCATTTCCATACTTAATACCCACTGTGATGTCCGCAGTACAGTAGTTAGCTTTTAACTTATTTTATCGTTATTCCTGATGTTTCTTAGAGTAATGATTCACCTGAATCAGGAAAATTAATTTCTTTTAAAAAATTGTGTGATGCTGACTTTGATGGACACAGTTGCAAAAATCTTTTTTACACATGTGACTTTTTCATACATTTTTACTCATAACCAAGACTTCCAGAAAATAAAAAGAGGCCCAAAAATATCTGACACACTCAACAAGCTTCCCTGTAAGCAGATATGCTCAAACTCGTAGCTGAGACACACTTGACTGGGTAAAAGAAAACAAAACAGGGACAGTTCCTCATTCTCAAGAAGAGTTCTATCAGTAATGTCATCCATCCATGCTCGTAATTAATAAAGATTGTATTTTTCTCAATACACCTGGTGTTTTACTCTGGAATGTATAATACAGACAATGTTGGCTACTGAGATACCATCATTCTTAGTGGTGAGTCAACAGTAAATCCCAACAAATTAAATTCTTCTAATTACCATAGAAGAGTCTTTGTAATTACCTTGTTATAGCTAGAAAACAAGTAAGAAAATGTCAGCAAACCTCTGTTTCATACCCAACTAAAACATCCTGGGACACAAATACATACTTGACAGCACACGATTGCTTTTAGAAATGAATCAGCTTGCAGAGCCCCTCACACGAAAGAGGCATCTTCTCCATACTTTCCTCAGGACTTGCAATTTCTTTGATAAAAATAAATCAGAAATCTTGCAGGAGGAAAACAAAAATGCAGATCCATATCCACAGGATAACAAGCCCTGACTGATTCTTTTTTCCCCTTAATTGTAATGATAACGAAGTTTTTTTTAGACCTTCTTTTTCTCCGTCATGTTTCCTTAAAGGTCAGGCAAAACACTTCCTCACAACCACCAGCCACACACGCCCATCCTGCCATGAGAAATTACACAGAGATGCATCTCCCACTTCAAAACATTCATGCCAGTGTTTTATTCACTGAGACCTTGGGGGTTTCCAGAACATAACATCTAGCCGATTCCCACCCTGATCACAAAGAAAGGCCTTGACTGCAAACAGATTCCAAACACATTTCTCTCTAGCCAATAAGAATGGTGATTTTCTTTAGTAAATAAGTATAATTAGCAAAATAAACAACTTTGAAACCAACAAACTCAAGTTTATAAGACAACCAGTTTCCCTTAAAAACCCAGGACAACAATCATCTATTAATAAAACTATTTCCTCTGTCAAATAAAAACAGATCTCTGGGCTCAGCTCATAAATCACCACAGAACTAAATATCCTACTTTCAGGTCTTACAGTTAGTTAATACGCAATCTTGCACTAAAAACAACCCACAAAATAAAAATGCACAAAATATCTAAATTAGGTAATCACATTTCTCACTTTTGCCACTGATACGAAACATATAATCCCAAATCAGAAGAATGAAATGTATTTACCTGTATTCCTGTCTGGTAAGATACAGCAATGCTTCTGCAGAATGCCAGGCAAAACCTGTTTTAAAACAAATAAATAAAATACATTTGTTATCATTCGCGTGGAGGAAGGCATCTCATTAACTGTTGCGAGTGTTTCTTCTAATAAGGTAGTTCAATGTTGCACAAAGTCAGCGTGCCCAGAAAGGCCTAACAAATTAAACGGTACAGAAAAATCTTGATGACACACATTTTTCATTGAAAAGGTTAATCAGGTGAGTGTGATTATCATCTATGCCGTTTCTGGAATGGGAATGCAGCCGGGTTTAATGGATGCCCCTAATGGGCCATCAGGGTCTTGAAAGCTGTACTCCAGGGGCTCCCACAATAAGGTAAATGGACCCACCAATTTTTGTGATGGCTTTTAAAATATTAGGCGCAATTAGAGCCTGGAAATGGAGGGCTGTTGGAACATTGTGCTGGGTCTTCCAGAGTCTGAGCTTCCATCAAGGGTGAATCACAAAGAAAAATGTGAAAGTAAGGGCTGTATTTACATTCATACTTCAGTAGTAAAATGGGAAGAAAATATCTTATTTGGTAAGTGAAGGAGAGGTGAAAATAACAGAGAATGGCTTTCCCAAGATTCAGCAACATAAAACAAATTGCAAAGCACACACTCCGGTAACGTGCAGCTGAAGAGATGTCTGTGGGAAATGTGTGATTATTTTTCTAAACTCAATTAGAGGAAAAGCTGAACTTTTATCCTAAATACTCCACACGATGAACTTGCAGCCATTCCTCAACCCTCCATGAAGACAGCATCTACAAGTCTCTGCTTATTACCTGTTCTAGGGCAATTTACCCAGGAGAGAGGGTGATTAGAGGCTGTTGCAAAGAAACACCAGTCATACGTTTGCCCTCGATCGACTTTCAGTCTGGCTGAGTATAGAGCAGGCTCTCATAAATGCAATGGATGAAACCACAAGAGATGATCTGGAATAACCACTCCCTTCTCCTCCATCCCCCCTCTCCCCGCCAATTCTTCTATATTGAAAAAAGAACAATTCTCTCCCAAATATAATCAATTGAAAACAAGACAGTATCACCAATTTTCAACTCTGTGCAAATCAACAGAGACAGAAAATAAAACAATAATGAGTTTTAGTACCTAGCAAATGCTGTGCAAAATGTGGAATTAAAAGTTCAATCACATGCTTCTCATGTGCACAGAGCTGCCTGTGTGGCTGAGGCAGAGAACAAACCGCGGTGAGACAGTCGGGGCAGGGAGGCGCTAAGCCTTGTGATAACCATGGGGTCAGGTGCTGGCCCCGTGCCACGTGGAAGCTGTCGGTATTTTTCATCAGTGCAGTCTGAGCCTCTAGGGTCGTATCTGACACTGTTTCCCTGATGAGCTCCTAGCCCCCATGCCCAACAGTGCAAGAACACACACACACACTCAACTCCCGGGGTTTGACGCCTTCGAGGGCTCCTCGCAGATCTGCCCTCTGTCTCATTCCACAGCCATGCCCATTCACTCACCTTTTCCAGCACTTTCCAAAGGGCCTCAGGGATCAAGGCCAGGCCTCAGAACCCACCCCCTCAGGAGGGATTCAATGATCCACCAGGTCTGAAAAGGCTACTGCCTCCACACCCCACGTGGAGATCAGAGACACACGTTTCCACAGGGAGGCTCCGCCACATCCTTCCCTAAACTAAGTTGCCCACAAAATACTTTTCTGTGCCAACGTCCCATTAACAGCCAGAGTGGAAACGCTGACCTAGTCAGCTGCAGACACCACCTAAGGGATCTCTTCCCTCACGGTCTCCTCCCGGCTGAAATCACAAGCTGCTCTGCTGGGTGCTGCTCCTAAGGAGGGGCTGCCCATAGGTAAGCCCCACGCACGTCCACAGTGGAACTTGGGGCCCTGCCCCGGCATCCCCAGCACCGACGGTTAGCTCCAGACTAACGCAAGTGCAGGCAACCCCATTCCACAGACATGTCTTGAAGAAGCGGGAATAAAGTCTCAATCAATCAAATCAGAGCATGGGACTCTATCACCATCGCTGCCCTTTCATGGTCTCAGCCACGTCTCTATCACGTGCAGTGGCGACAGTATTGGAAAGGGCCGCGAGAGGTCACAAGACATGCATGTGAGGTCAGTAGGACACGTGCTTGGGGGCGGGAGGGTGGGGCTGGGACCCCAAGCTATGGTCTGCCACAGCAGGACCAGCCCAGAATGTCACCTCCATGGGAGCTGGCGCCCCCCTCAAATGCCGCAGCTCCCGTGACCACCCCTCCAAACCCTGGATTCTGACGATACACAGAACCAGAGCACTGGAGGTGCTCACGGGAGGCCCACATCCTGCCTGTGGGACTCCTTTAGGGTCAGGGACAGGCAGGGCCCTCACTCCACAGAACTGCAAACCTCAGACCTCATCCCTGGACTCAGGCAATCAGACCTCACGCATGACACAATTGCATCTGCCAGGGCCTGTTTTATGCCGTCTCTGTTCGATTTGAAAAAGGGCTGTGGGGGGGGAATCGCTTGAGAGTCACCAGTTCAGACGCATGGTATGACGAATGATCCCACAAGCCAGTCATGGGGTTCCCGGGGCAGCTGTGCACTGTCCATTCTCATGGAGCCAAGTACGCCTGACCCCTGGGGTCCTTCCAGCCTCTCACTCTCCCCAGGAGACAGCCCCTAGCAGCACTGACCAGCAGAGCCACTCACTGCACCCTGGGATCTCGTCGGATGGTCCCACAAACACAGTGCCCACCCTGCGGCTCCCACAGAGCTTTCCTTGAACCCGCCAGGTAGCTCTTTATACTTGAGGATCCAAGACAAATCATCAACCTTCCAGGGTAGAATCCACGTGTGACTTTCCTAAAGGCAGACAATCTGTGTTCGAAAAAGGCGCTCACCCCTAACGTTGACAGCATTCTACCCGCCACAGTCACAGGCAGGATAGTGCATTAAATCCAGACCAGCCACGGCCTCTGGAAGGCTGAGCACACGTCGCTTGCCGCACCGGCTCTGGCTGGAGCAGGAAGGCAGGACCATAATAGGTTTATTTCTTCCTCTCTGAAGGATTTACAGAAGGCCGCAGAGGAGAATGAAATTATCCTTATTGCCCAAAGGCACTTTTAAAAGTTCAATTCCACACAACCTGCCTGTTCTACAGCAGCGTTTAGCAGCTGAGAAAGATCAGGAGGCGTGAGTTCTGCCTGCCACGGGTGCTGGGGCCACAAAATATACTCAGCGGTCACCCCGAGGTGTCTGTCCACACCCAGCCAGCTGCGAGCACTGACATGTGTTCCCGAAATACTGATTTCTAACCCCTCCGTGGCATCAGCCTGAGCAGGGCCCTCCTCATCTGAGGAAAGCAGAATCACAGAACGTGGAGAAGAAGCACCCCCGGGTCAGTGACCACACGTCCACTGGGGCCGTCACATGCAGCCATGTAATTTTTTTGAGACAGTCTTGTTCTATCGCCCAGGCTGGAGTGCAGTGGTGCGATCCCAGCTCACTGCAACCTCCACCTCCTGGGTTCAAGTGATTCTTCTGCCTCAGCCTCCCTAGTCACTGGGATTACAGGCACCTGCCACCACGCCTGGCTAATTTTTATATTTTTAGTAGAGATTGGGTTTTGCCACATTGGCCAAGCTGGTCTCAAATTCCTGACCTCAAGCAATCCACCCACCTCGGCCTCCCAAAGTGCTGGGATTACAGGCATGAGCCATCACGCCTGGCCAGCAATGTAATTTTAATTAATGAAAATCAGTTAAAACCTGAAATCTGGGTGCCCGGTCACACTGTCCACACACCACATGCTCACAGGCTACGTGTGGCCAGTGGCCTCGTCATATGCAGTGGATGTCAGACACGTGACTGATTTTCAGCTGAAGAAACTCGGCCCCAGCTAGGGTTCCCGACACCCCACCAGCGTCCTCTCTGTCCACTCAGGGCCTGGACCGCGTGTGTCCCCTGCGTCCAGAGGCCCAGGCCCGGCCACGCCTCTTCCTCACCCTCCCTGATGCCTCCCGTGCAGCTCCGCCCTCCAGGGGAACAGAGGGTCCCTGACGAATGTGAGTCTGAGCTGGGGAAGTGTTCCTGTGGAACGCGGCAGTCTGCTGCGGCTGCATAACGAGCACCGTAAGTCAGGTGACTTAACAGAAATGTGCCGACTTGGTTTCCCCCAAGACTCTATTTCCAAATAAGGTCATGTCTGGAGGCGCTGGGCTCCATCACACACTTTTTGGGAGACACGTTTCAGCCATAACATCACCGGGGTGCGGGCGGGAGAGCTTGGCGTCCTCCATGGCCGTGCCATTCACCAAGTCACTAAGCTCTTGGTCTCAGTGGCCCCATGAACAGAGTGGAGGAATAACACTCATACCAAGCAGGGGTCCAGCAGTAGAAACAAGCTGCCTCGCGATGACGTCCTATGGGAAGTAATCTGACACTGGCAGCTGCTGTATTCTGAGATGGTGACCGTCGTTACTAGCTCTACACAAGCCATAGCCACAAAAATACACAGGCCTGTTGTGGCTGATTTTATGGACACGGCCTTGCACATGTATTGAGCTGACATCACAGCCTTCAAAGGTGCTGCCCGGGGGGCTCTGCAGTTATTTCTACCGCCCCTCCCTGCTCTCGAACTGATGTTTGAACCAGTGGGCAGGACGCCTACAACTCGCTTATCCTACAGCCAAACCCAGCTATTCCCCAACCTGCTGAGTAGCTTCATAAAACATCCTTGTTTGTAATCTTTGGCCCCAACCAACCTGTGACTGCCTCCAGAAAGCAAAGGATAAAAACGTCCTGACATTAACGAGATTAAAGAGCATGGAGGCGACAAGATAACTCATAGGGACTCTGACGGCCGCTTGGGGATCCCTTGCCTGCTGCGCCACAACACTGGTCTCAAACCGCCCCACCGCCCCCGTCCACCCGCACTCTTTCCACCCCCCACCCCTGCCCACCCACACACTTTCCGCCCCCCCGCCCCCACCCACCCGAACACGTTCCACCGCCCCCGCCCCCACCCACCTGCCCACGTTCCACCGCCCCCGCCCACCCGCACACGTTCCACCCACCCACCCCTGCCCACCCACACACTTTCCGCCCCCCCGCCCCCCTACCCGAACACTTTCCACGCCGGCGGCCCCGCCCACCCGCACACTTTCAAGCCCTCCCCCGGCCCCGCCCACCTGCACTTTCCACCGCCCCCGCCCCCGCCCACCCGCACACTTTCCACCTCCCCCGGCCCCGCCCACCCGCACACTTTCCATCTCCCCCCGGCCCCGCCCACCCGCACACTTTCCATCTCCCCCTGCCCCGCCCACCCGAACACTTTCCACCCCCGACCCCTGGCATCCATCTCCTCGTGCCACCAGCCCTCTTCTTCCTTCCCAGCCCCGCTGTTTTCTTGTGATTCTCGGCTCCCCAAGGCCGCCGGGGCTGTATCTCAGTCACCCTCACGCAGGGCACCCAGCGCCTCTGTGACTCACGCTAGGCTACCTGGGCTCAAACCTTGCACACGCCTGGACCCCCCACTCTCCACCAGCACGAACTGCACACCGTGACTCCTTCCATGAACCCTCCGGCTGCCCTTGGAGTGCCCCCCCAGCCCCCGCGCCCGCCAATGCAAGACCGCGTGTCCCCCTCACAAATTAAAACACAGTCCCAGAACACACGTCCGCTCTGTGCCAGATACCATGGGGGCTCAGCGAGGACTCCTATCCAGTAGGAATGATCAGAGCCCGAGAGGAATAAATGAACGTGGCTGGGCGCCCGAGGAGGGGAGCGGCCGGGCTTGGATCTGTGCCTGGGCACTGTCCCCAGTCTGCTAGCCCCAGCCTCAGTCCAGCCTGTGTCTTGCTTCTGGCGCAACATTCCTGAGCAATCCCTCTGCGGTGGACCCACCAGGGTTCCTCGGTTCCGATGACCATGGCTTGGAACCCCCCTGGGTTCCCCTGACCACAGAACCTCACAGGTGGGGTCCAGTGGGGGTTGCACGGCTCCCACGCTGCCCTCCAGCCAGTTTCCTCCCTGCCCATCCCGGAGGATCCAAACTGAGCCACAGATGTCCAGCGAAGCCCTGGAAATCTCATGCCCAGCCTGCAAACGGGAGCAACAATGTTACAGGGCAAGTATTAAATGGCTGGCAACGTACGAGATGCTTGTTGATGAGCCTGGGAGGGTTCAAGCTCAAGCGTCAGGAGAACGACGCTGCCACAGCAATGGGGCAATGGGGACGCCCCGTGCTGCCATCGAGGCTGTTCTTGCTGGATCTCCCTCTCCACTGATCAAACAGTTTCAACTTCCGGTCCAAACCCTCCCTGCACAACTTTACTCCACATGCTTACATACTGCTCTCCTCTGAACCCCTACCCGGCATTTCTCAAGCCCTCAGAATACACATCTCACCGTGATCATTTAACGTCTCGCTCCTCTCTGGATGTTCCGCCTGCGCCCCTGCCTCTGCCCCTCACACTCAAGGGTCAATCCTCTCTACCAACCAAAAGGTGTTTCCACACTTGCTTTGTTTCTTAGCAGATAAACACTTTACTTTTTATCAATAAAGAGATTCACCTGTTAACTTTCTTTGGAAGAAATTCAAATAATAGAGAAATAGATGGATTTGTGCAGTGGAGGACTGCATTACTGTTTAAGCCTTTGGACCTACTTTTTGTATGAGACAGGGTCTTGCTCTGTTGCCCAGGCTGGAGTGCAATGGTGCGATCATAGCTCACTGCAGCCTCAACCTCCTGGGCTCAGCTCAAGCAATCCTCCTACATCAGCCTCCTGAGTAGCTGGGACTGCAGGTACACAACATCATGCCCAGCTAATTAAAAAACAATTTTTTTTAAAGATATGGGGTCTTTACCGGCTGGTCACAAACTCTTGGCCTCATGCAATCTTCCTGCCTCAGCCTCCTAAAGTGCTGGGATTTCAGGCATGAGCCACTACACCCAACCTACCCCGACTTGTCTTTTAAAACTATGTAATATAGTTTTGACAATAAAAACTCATATCCTTCCACTTTTGGAAGTTCAAAATACTTCTTCTCTGTTCTCTTCTCCTGGAACTTCTATTATTCAGCTGTCGGACCTACGGAGCCCATTTTCTTTTAACATCTCATTTCTGTTTTCTGTTTCTCTGTGTTTTTGTTCTACTTCCTGGGACATTCTCTTGCCTTCACATTCCAATCCTTCAGTGAATATCTCAGCTCCTGCCATCCTGCTGTTAACCTCCCCGGAATTTCTCTCTACAAATGCTCCTTTCGGGCTGCAGCCGCCTCCTGGTGATGGATTTAACGCCAGCTCCTCCCTTCCAGTTTACGTGTAGCCTCATAAACATGGGATGGGGCAGGAGCCATCCATGGGTGCTGAACCGGGGGAAATTCTGATGGGGAACAAGGTACCATGTGGTTTAAAACTATTCCCCACACACTGCATATTTGCTGCAAGGGGAGACAAAGAATAGTAATTATATGCCGGCAAGACCACCACCTCCAAGGTGTAACCAAAATGAACACCAGGAGTGAGAGGATGTGGGCCTCGGAGCTCCAGGAGCAACACCGTGAAGAGGAGGGCGCCCACCATCCGCCCGGGAGCAACCCCGTGAAGAGGAGGGCGCCCACCGTCCACCCGGGAGCGACACCGTGAAGAGGAGGGCGCCCACCGTCCGCCCGGGAGCGACGCCGTGAACAGGATGGCGCCGACCGTCCGCCTGGGAGCAATGCCCTGAAGAGCAGGGCGCCCACCGTCCGCCCGGGAGCGACCCCGTGAAGAGGAGGGCACCCACTGTCTGCCCGGGAGCGACGCCGTGAAGAGCAGGGCACCACCGTCCACCCAGGAGCGACGCCGTGAAGAGGAGGCCGCCCACCATCCACCCAGTGCCCTCTGTCCTCCTTTATTTTTACAACTTTTACATGTGAAGTTATTTCCAAACACAAAGGTCTTAAAGACATATTCTGCTTTCTCTTCGGTCACCCATCCTCCATGTCTTCTGCCTTCTGGGATGGTGATTCTCGCTGTTCCCGCTGGCCTCGGGAGGGAGGGTGCATGTCCCACGGGGCGTCCCACAGTCTCACCCTCTGCAGTTCACATAACAAATAAGTGGTGTGTCTGTGAAATACGTGCAGTTACACCACGCCACTGAATGTGCTTCTCCAGCCACATGAGCCTGAGATGTGAATACACGCTTTAGAGTGTCAAGAACATTAATATATACTCAATTAATTCTTTCCAGCTAATTCAACCTAGAAGAAACTGCCTTAGGTTTGTTTCTAGAATATGTGGCATTACAAGCTATGAGATGAGATGTATAGCATTTTAATGTTTGTGATGCCAGGACTTAATGATTTCCATATTTGTTTGATAATGTCTTCTATCTCTGGCCTCCCTTCTATGGCATTAAAAGTAATTAAGAGATGAGGTGCCTGCCACCACACACACAGCCAGAGAGGCCAGGACCAGAACTCCCCTCTGCCTCTCGCAGGCCAGTCATGTACCCCGTGTAACACCCATGCCTCTGCATGCAGGGCCGGTATCCTGGGTCTTGCCAGCTCTAAGGAGTCACACTCACCACTGAGGCCCTTCTCAGCAGCGTGGCCCAGGGAAGGCAGGTGCAGGCATCAGATAGGCTGCTCAGGGGACGTCTCAGCTCTGCCACCACGGGAAGGCCACCTTTGGCCAATGGCTCACAGGCTGTGCTGCACCTTCCGTGTTCAGGCAAAACCACAGCTCGTAGGGCAGCTGAGGACTGAAGGAGTCCCATGTGGAACGCACTATGGGAGCAGGTTGGAGAGAGGAACCATCCAGGGGCTGGAGATGCGGCGTCAGTGGCGTGAAGACATCAGGCTGCTGTTCCGCTGGATCTCACCAGCACTGGGATGAGCTGCCATCAGTCAACGGTTGTTATCTATGAGTCAGAGGTCTTCACACTTCCACTGGCGTCAGAACCGCCTGGGGGGCTTGTTAAACACCTTCTGCTGGACCCACGCAGGAGTTCTGGGGCAGGGCCCAAGAGTCTGTTTGTCCGTCAAGCTCCCAGGAACTGTCGGCGCTGCTGGTGCAAGAAACATTCTCTGATGCGCAGGGCTCACCCTCCAGTGAACAGGGATATCCACTCCATTAACCCCCTTCAAAGCTGCAGCTGAAACTCCATTTTACACGGGAGAGTGACCAAGGCAAAAACTCACAAGCACCAGAAGAACGGTGAGCACAAAGCAACAGCTTCCACGTGCTTTGTGAGATAAAGAGCAGATGGAGGGCCTTCTTAGAGCTGGGAATGCAGGACCAGAGGTCCCCACAGAGGCATCTGAGTGAGGACCCAGCAATGAGCTGCAGGGGCTGGAAGCACGCGGAGTCCCAAAAGGCAGGCGCCTCAAAATCCACGTCCAAACCTGCGGCTTCTCCAGGCCCCTTCCCTGCACACAGCACCCCCAATCATGTCTCCGTGACTAGAGAAATGGATGAGAGGGAACCAGACGCTGCATGGGCTTTGGATGTGTGCCCTGCGGATGAAGCGTCTCAGTAAGTGCAAAGCTCGCACACCAAACATCGCTGCCCCGGCCAATGACCGCCTTCCAGGGACCACGCCAGGGTGCACTTCAGCCCGAGGAGATGCGTGTGCTTTGTAAGAGATTTGGGGAGTGAAGTCACCCCAAGGCCTCTTGGGTGAAGTCGCCAGACCTCACCCAAGCAGGAGGCTACAGCCCTGGCCACAGTGGGTTAAGTCATGGGATAAACATTTCCAAAGCAAACACCATGGGGAGCACTTCTGCCCCCACACAGGTCACAGACAAGAACAGCCCTCAGCGGCTGACTGAGCGCTTTCCTGCTGTACGGTTTACTGCCCACTTGTACGGGTATCGTAGACCTGATACATGTTTTTACAAAAATTTATATTCATTCATTCATTCATTTTCCAACCCACTTACTGCAGGTCAGGGTCACACGTGGCGGGAGCTCACTCCAGCAGCTCAGGGTGCCAGGCAGGATCCAGGCCTGGATGGAGGTCACCACAGGCACTGAGACAGCAACGGAGGGAACACAGCAACTCGCTGCACGTGCAGGGCTTTGGGATGTGGGAGGAAGCCTGGTCCCCAGAGAAACTCACAGCCCTGGGGGAAGGAGCCAACCCCGCACGGAGAGCACCCCAGCTGGGATCAATGTTTTCCTCATCAGTGTCATAAGGAAAAGCCGTTGAACAGAAGAGCATCTGCGGTGCTCGCTTCTGGCTCACCCGAAACTCAGGATGCAGCCCTGTGAGCCCGTGGGGAGGGGGAGGGGCGGGAGGAGAGCGGCTGCCGGGGCAGGGAAGGGGCGGCAGAGGGAACAGAAGATGCAGGGGGTGCCGGGTCTTGGGAGTGAGACGCAGCCCTTCGCGCTCGCACACACCCCCGTGACTCCTCGGCTTCTTACCGGGCGCCCATGTTTATTAGATGAGATTAAAACAGACTCATGTAAAATAACGTCCAGCTAGTCTGCACAACAATTTTTACAACTGTGAGGAAGCATCGCTGAAATGTCCTTAAGAAAAAATGTAAAATGACCGTGAAATTCATCTG
The DNA here is from genome assembly GCF_000001405.40 of Homo sapiens. Taxonomy (NCBI): domain Eukaryota; kingdom Metazoa; phylum Chordata; class Mammalia; order Primates; family Hominidae; genus Homo; species Homo sapiens. The sequence continues at coordinate 897,409 of NC_000008.11, read as the reverse complement.
GAGTTGAAGTCCTCCCAGGCCTTCCTAAAGCTTTCCAGTTACAATGCAGATACATCGGCACAATCGTGGTGTTCACCTTCTTATTTAAAACATGCATCCAGCAAACCCAGACTAGAGCAAACAGGGTTTGGAGAAAGAAGGGAGCCTCAACATGGCCTGGCAGGACCAGGGTTGCTTGGTGACAAACACCTGTGAAATAAGGGATTGAGTGCGAGGCCACGATCATGTTTTACACGAGATTCCAGCATCTCCATGAAACATCAGCGTTTGTCACAGTGAACAGAGACCTGCTGCTGAACCCCCACTCCAAGCGCAGGAAGGGGGCTCCGATTCCACACCAGTGAGGGGGTTTCCTCCGATGATTCTCCCTTGCGCCACTGACTCTGGTGGCACTGAGGCAAGAACAGTCATTCAAAGCCTGTTACAGATGTAAAACTTGGGGCGACTTCACCCCTCAAATCTCTTACAAAGCACACGCATCTCCTCGGGCTGAAGTACCATCCATGAAGACTCTTCAAAACACAAAGAATTCATCAATTCATTAAGAGACACCACTTGTCTTAGTCAGCTGGGGCTGATAAAACAAAAGCCACAGACTGGGGGGCCCATAAATGAACAGCAGAATTCATTTCTCACAGTTCTGGAGGCTGCAGGTCCAGCGCGGAGGTGACGGCAGTGTCTGGTGAGGACCCACTTCCGGGCTCAGATGGTGCCTTCCTGCCATGCCCTCCCATAGAAGACAGTACTTGGTCTCTTCCTCTTCCTACAAGGGCACGAATACCAACATGGGGGCCCCACCCTCGTGACTACACCTCGCCGTCATCGCCCCCCAGGGCCCCACCCTCCAAGCACCATCCCACTGGGGACCAAGGCTTCAACATAGGAATTTGGGGGGACATGTTCAGTCCATGGCACCATTTAGATGTCGGATGGGTACCCCAAAATTAGTGTGACTTCCCCAAATACATCATCTCCCCACCACCCAGCCCCCCCGCCCTGGTGTCACACCATCCCGGCAGCTCAGGGTGCCAGGTGGAACTGGCAATGGTACCACCATTCCACTCCCCGGCCAGGTCCTGCACAAAACCCTACATCCTCTCCTCCAAACCTGCATCCCATCCATTATCCCCATCCAACAAACCCTGGAGATTGACACCTCTCACCACTGCCCCACACCTACCTAGCCACTATCATCCCCATCCAACAAACCCTGGGGATTGACACCTCTCACCACTGCCCCACACCTACCTAGCCACTATCATCCCCATCCAACAAACCCTGGGGATTGACACCTCTCACCACTGCCCCACACCTACCTAGCCACTATCATCCCCATCCAACAAACCCTGGGGATTGACACCTCTCACCACTGCCCCACACCTACCTAGCCACTATCATCCCCATCCAACAAACCCTGGGGATTGACACCTCTCACCACTGCCCCACACCTACCTAGCCACTATCATCCCCATCCAACAAACCCTGGGGATTGACACCTCTCACCACTGCCCCACACCTACCTAGCCACTATCATCCCCATCCAACAAACCCTGGGGATTGACACCTCTCACCACTGCCCCACACCTACCTAGCCACTATCATCCCCATCCAACAAACCCTGGGGATTGACACCTCTCACCACTGCCCCACACCGACCTGGACAGCAACCATCCTCCCGCAGCCTGACTGGTTCAGCAGCCTCCTGTCCCATAACCCTCCTTCACACCACCACCGAAAGGGCTCTCATAAACCTCGTGAACCCTAAGTCACACTGCATTATTCTGCTCAAAACCCACTGCAATGGCCCCAAACATTTCATCGTTAAAGGGCCTGAAGGCCCCATGCAATGTGGCTCTAGCTACCACTTCCAGCCTCCTCTCAAGCTCTGGTTACACAAACCCTTCCTGCTCCTCATCAGCGCCAAGCGTGTGGTCTCAGAAGGGGGGACGGGCAGCGTCCAGAGACCGACAGCCCCCTGCTCCCCGGAAACAGAGGTGGAAAGAGCTGCTGTGTCTCAGCACGGGGGATGCTGCAGATAAAACAACACTGCAACTGCAACAGCTATTACATTATACACATCCATAATTTTAAGTTTTATTTTTAGTTGACATATAATGACTGTGTATACTTATGGAGTCCGATATGATGTATCCGTCCTGCATACATTGTGGAATGACCAAATTGAGCTAATTAGCATATCCATCACCTCAAGGATTTACCATTTCTTTGTGGTGAGAACATTTTAAATCCCCTCTTCTGGCTGTTCTGAAATATGCAGCTCTGTGTTATTATTAACTGCAGTCACTATACTGTGTAGCCTCCAGAGCCCACCAGCCCACCCAGCTGACTCCCCACACCCACCCCAGCCCTGCCAGCCACCACCCCACTCCCCCACCCTGCCCTGCCAGCCACCACTCTGCTCTTCCCATGCCACCCCTGCCATCCGCCACCCCACTTTCCCCACCCCGCCCCTGCCAACCGCCACTCCACTCCCCCCACCCCGCCCCTGCCGGCCGCTACCCCTGCCAGTCACCACTCCGCTCTCCCCACCCCGCCCCTGCCAGCCTCCACTCTGTTCTCCCCACCCCACCCCTGCCAGCCACCACTCTGCTGTCCCCACCCCGCCCCTGCCAGCCACTACCCCTGCCAGTCACCACTCCGCTCTCCCCACCCTGCCCTGCCAGCCACCACTCTGCTCTTCCCATGCCACCCCTGCCATCCACCGCTCCACTTTCCCCACCCCGCCCCTGCCAGCCGCCACTCCACTCTCCCCACCCCACCCCTGCCAGCTGTCACTCTGCTCTCCCCACCACACCCCTGCTCCGCCTCCATACATTTGCCTTGTCATAGATTCCCACGTGAGTGAGATCAGCTGTGCTTGTCTTTCTGCACCTGGCTTATTTGTCACGGTGTCCCCCAGCTCCATCCATGTTTCCACAAATGACAGGATTTCATTCTTTTTTAAGGCTAAATAGTATTCCATTGTGTACATGCCACATTCTCTTCACCCACACATCACTCCTGGGCACGCAGGTAGATTCAGCATCTTGGCTGCTGTGAACGCATCAGAGGGGAGGGCAGCCCTGTCCCTGTCACACCAGTCTCTGTAACACAGAGATGTCTCGACCGTGCTGGAGTGACAACCTCCAAGTCTAAGGGCTGGAAGCCACAAAGATCACTCATTCCGTGTCCACCTCAGGCTGCAGGGAGGCTGCTCTGGGGGCGTCTCCCACCCAAGGGCTCAGCTGACTGAGCCTCCAACAGCAGAAACATTGCAGTGGCCATGGGAGAGGGAGACGCACACTGCTCCGAGAGGGCCCTTCCCACAAGGACGTCTCACGCACGAGGGGAAGAAGCCCCTGCCTGCCAGAAGGGAAGAGCAAGAGGGGCCTGAAGCCTGAGCCACACGGCCTGGGTGACCTCGAAGCCTCGGGCCGACAGCCAAGGAGAGAAGGCTGAGCTACTCGGAGACGCCGAACCTCCCAATGCTTCAACAGTAACCATGGGAACCTCTGCACTCCGAGACAACCACATCCGCATTGTCACAGCAAGAGGAGGGGCTCGGGCCCCATGCTGCTGGCCGAAGGGGGTCTCGTTCTGTCAGGACACACCTTGGAGACCCCCATGTCCAGAGCCTAGGACAGCACCTGGCAGGGCTGGTGCTCTGCAAACATTTTCCAAAAGAACGACGGTTAACAGAGTCCTGGATAGACCTGCAGGCAGGAGGGCCGCTGGATGCTGTCATGAAACCACAGCATGCCTAACGGACTTCCCTCACTGCAGAAAGACCCTCCTGACAGCTTCCGGGCTGAGGGGCGGCCCCAGGGCCACACTGGATGGAAGGGCAGCTTCATCCAAGACCGCAGGACTGGGCTCTAACCCCACCCTCCCCTTCATGGGACAGGTTTCCTGCCTATCTGCTGCAGACAAGGGTGCATATTTGCTCCATCTGCCTAATTAAATCTAATTGAATGGATTTGCAATGTGAGAAATTAGATACGACACGTAAGTTAGATGAATCACAGGGCAGCCTCATCGAATTGGTCATCCTGGCAGGGTCAAAAGGCACCCAGCAGTTCAGGGTCTTCCACCGTGCCTGCCTTCCTAGCTGTCGGACATTCTGCAAAACGTCATCATTTTACCCAAAGGGAAAGTGACTCTGGAGGGCAGGACTCTCCCATGACCCCACATCGCATGCCACTCTGCAGGATCCGGCCTGCCCTCGGTTCCACTTCTGCCCCACGTTGCACGCGGCTCAGCAGGAACCAGCCTGCCCTCGGTTCCACTTCCGAACTTGCAGGCAAGGGTGTCTCACTTCAGGTCATCTTGTAAAAGGCAAAGGCAGCCTCTTTAGCCCCGGGCTTTCCTCTGGACGTGCAAAGTACTTCTGTGAGTCCAGAGCTTGATCCTGGAACCAACCATTGTTTGCACAACCACAGACCAATCCCAGAGGCAGGATGCAGACCAGGAGGCACGGGATTCCATGGGGGTGGGTTGGGGGTGGGGACCTGTCCATGCCCTGGCTGGCTAGGGATGCTTAGAAACTGCATTCATCTAACATTTCTGTAGGACTAAGAAGCTGCAGCAGGAAAAACCCTAAATTCCCTCCTAAACCTGAGATGTTGCTGCTACTGCTGGAGCATGGCCTGCCTGGCTCGGCCTCTCCTACCCATCCCTCTGCCCCGCCTGGTGGTTCCCGGTCTCCCCCGCCTCTCTGTTCTGCAGCAGAAACGGAACTGTGCTTCCAGCACAGGGAACAGACCAGGGAGCTGACCTACCCAGGGAAGCCACGCAGCTAAACCCTCCATTTTCTTTAACCACACATTTGCTTTCTCCATCTAGCTGTGTTGTCCTCCCACGCCCCCTCCCCAGCCCCTGGCACCCCCCATTCTACTTTCTGCCTCTATGAATCTGCAGCCCCAGGGGCATTGTATGAGTGGAGTCACACAGCAAGGTCTTTCTGTGACTGGCTTATTCCACTCAGCATAGTGTCCCCAGGGTTCATCCACCCCATAGCCTCGTCGGGATTTCGTTCCTCTTTGAGGCTGACTCATGTTCGGCTGTGTGGATGGGCCGCTCTTCACCCATCCTCCCATCCATGGACGGACACGCTAGCTGCTGCCACCTCTGGCTGCTGTGCACAAGCCGCTATGAGCCTGGGTGTGCAGGGGCTGCCCCGAGACCCCGCTGTCTATCATTTGGATCAACTCAGGAGGGGAACGGCTGGGTCACAAGGTGGTTCCGTCTCGAGTTTTTGATGAATCTCCATACACCATTTTCCACAGCATCTGCCCCATCTTCCATTCCCAGCAGCAACACCCAGGACCCAATTCCTCCACATCCTCCCAACACTTGCTATTATCTGCGGTTTTGACAGTGGCCATCCTAAGGGGCAAAAGGGGCTTTCTCGGCACTGACTCATGCACACTTACGTGCAGTGTTACAGGAAAGCATCACCTCCATGCTCTGTGTGGCGCAGCCCCCAGACACCTGTGGATGCGGCCCCAGTCACTAGCCCGGCTTCCCTGCAGCAGTGGAAGCTCTCCCAAGGTCCTCCCCCTCCTCGGCTGGCTGGGATGCAGGCTTTGTATCCCCAGGCAGTGAGAATCTCTCCCAGGCCCTCCCCGTCCTGGGCTGGCTGGGATCCTGGCGTGCTTTGCACTCCACAGTGTCTTTTAGAATTCTCTTTGTCTCTTTGTCATGGGATTCTTCTTTCTCAAGGGTCCTATTTATCATTTAAATTAGATCTTCCTGTCCACACCACCCATCCTCTACTCCCAGAACCAGCCACCTTCTGAATCCCGGAGGCTCTCGAGGCCGGCCTCACGCTCTCTGAGATGGAACAGTCCTGCGATCAGCCCTCCCCAGGCGAGGCTCCCATCCTGTGGCCCAGCAGCTGCCCACGCACACACGGGTGCAGGGAAGGTGCCACCTGGCATCACCTGAACCCCAAGAGAACAGCTTCCGACCGCAGGGAGAGCGCATCCCCTCGTCTGCCATGTGTACACCTCACCAGGGCTGTACCACTCACATTCTCCACAGCCTGACCTTTTGGGCCTCTGCTGTTTCTCAGCCCCCACCCCTGGCCTTTCTTCTGCTTTTCTATTGAAATCCTGAGCATTTCTCAAAATTAAGATGAAATAAAATACCCTTCCTGACATGCACACGCCTGGTCCTGGTCGCCACACGGGTCCTTGTCGCCTTTCACCTTCAGCCATGCCCTCAATCACACCTGTGGCCTGGAAGCCCACATCCTTGGCCTTGGCAACTGGGGGGGGGGTGCCTTATTTACCCCGAATTCCTCACAGCCTCTGAAAAGCACCCCCCAAGGGAGGGGGAGCCAGAAGAGGATGCCACACCCTGCCCACCATGAAGGGATGAGGGGAGGGAATCAGGGACACAGCCCTGCAAACCCAATAGCACTGACCCAGGTCCTGGGGGCAGTGAGGACAAGGGGGAGCCAGTAAGGGGCACAGCCGGGTGGGCGGGAAGGTCACACAGCGAGGATCTCCCAGCTGGGGTGCCAAGAACATCCCATGCAACAGGGTTGTCATGCCCTAGAGTTTAGGGGGGTCGGGAAACGCCCCAGGGTGGCTTGGGCACAGAGGGGAGGTTTGCAAAGGACAGGGGGCTGAGGCCGGAGACACACAGGAAGCAGATCCCAGCCACACTCTGCCAAGGGGATCTGTGATAGGACAACATTGAATCTGCATCTGGACAGGTGGCTCTGCTGGTGGCACCGGGTGGGTGAGGGCAAACCTGCAAGTCCCCACTGTGAGGCTCCTGGGGTAGAATCAAGAAAGCGCAAGGAGGAATTACGCAGCCGCAGAGGGAAGGGGAGGAGGGAAGGGAGGAGGAGGCGCCATCGAGACCCAGAAGAGAAGGGCCATCCTGGCAAGGCGGAGCAGAGGAATAAGAACGAGAACCAGAAGGGAAGACAGCGCACATCCCCAACCTTCCATCAGGCTGGAGAGGCAATTCCCGAACTATATTCCCATGGGGAAAAAAAACGTTCCATGGTCAAGGAAGTCAAAGAATCACAGAATAAACACTCATCCAGGCGCCTGCAACGACAAGTGGTCACAAACGCTCTGAAAAGTCCTGCAGCAAACCACGCTCTGCCATGCGCGTGCACGTGCATGGCTCATCCTAGACGGCTTTTCTTAATGTCTGTATCAGAAACTAAACGCCCAAGGATGATTATTCTGGCCGAGATGGCTGACTAGAAGCAGAGCCGTTTGGAGGCTCCCATCGGAAAAAAACAAAATAAGCATGTGAATCCTTCACCGGCAGCCAAGGTATCCAGGTTCTCTCATCAAACTTCACTAGAAGGCTGGCGTGACCCACAGAGAGGAGGAAGAGCAGTGTGGTGAGGGGGCCACCCGAGAAACACACGGGGAAGGGGAGTCCCTTCCCCCAGCCAAGGGAGGCGGTGAGTGAGCACACTACCCAGCGGGGGAAACTTTGCTTTTCCCACAAAACCGTGCAACCCACGGATCAGAAGATCCCACTTGCAAACTCACGCCACTGGGGCCTACAGTTCCAGCCCCGGAACGTGAAGATTCTTACAGCCTCTCTGATGGAATCTGCTTAAGCCTACAGAACTCCTGGGGGGAGGGGTGACCAGCACTGGCTGCAGCGGCCTGCTGTCTAAGCTGTTTTAACTCCCTGGGGAGGGGCAGCAGCCAGCACTGGGGCTCACAATGGCCTAACATGCTAAACTCCCCGGCACCCATTTCTATAGCTCCAGGCTGCGCTCTTCCCCTACTGGAGCCAGGGAAGCTGAATGGCTTGGTCCCAAGACTTGTCTGCACAGCGCAACACACCCTGTGGCCGTCTGTGTCCAGAGTGCTCTTCAGGCTCGACCCTGACCCATCCTTCCTCAGTGGGTGGCTTCCCTGCAAGAACTCCAATAACTCCAGCCAGAAGCTCAGGGACAGACCCCAGAACTCCCTAGGCCTGAGCCCCTAGCTGCAGGGTGGCCACAGTCTCTGGACCAGCAGACTTAGCCTCTCCTCCTGGGAGTTCTGAGGAACCCAGGCAGCCCAGACACATGTGCTTCCCTGCAGTGAAACACACCCTCTCCACCAAGGGACAAAGTGCTTCATTAAACGGGGCCTGCTGTCAGGCCTCTGAGCCCAAGCTAAGCCATCATATCCCCTGTGACCTGCACGTACACATCCACATGGCCGGTTCCTGCCTTAACTGATGACATTTCACCACAAAAGAAGTGAAAATGGCCTGTTCCTGCCTTAACTGATGACATTGTCTTGTGAAATTCCTTCTCCTGGCTCATCCTGGCTCAAAAGCTCCCCTACTGAGCACCTTGTGACCTCCAGTCTGCCCGCCAGAGAACAACCCCCCTTTGACTGTAATTTTCCTTTATCCACCCAAATCCTATAAAATGGCCCCACCCCTATCTCCCTTCAATGACTCTCTTTTCGGACTCAGCCCACCTGCATCCAGATGAAATAAACAGCTTTATTGCTCACACAAAACCTGTTTGGTGGTCTCTTCACACGGACAAGCATGAAACCTGCTCCTCGTGCAACCCAACTCGGTGAGACCCTCCAACAGGGGTTGTCACACACCCTGTACACAGACACCCTACTGGCAACAGGTTGGTGCCCCTCAAGGTCAGAGGTCCCAGAAGAAGGAACAGGCACCCATCTTGGCTGTTCTCCAGCCTCCCTGAGTGACATCTCCAGGCACAGGAGTGAGTCAGATGAATAGGGCCTGAAGTGAACCCCCAGCAAACTGCAGCACCCCAACAGAAGAGGGACCGGATTATTGAAAAAAAAAAAAAGCAGAAAGTGACAACAGCATAAACAACAACAAAAATGGCCCCCACAGAAACCCCATCCAAGGGTCAGCAGCCTCAAAGACCAAAATTAGACAAACTCACAAAGATGAGAAAGAATCAATGAAAAAAAATGCTGAAAACCCAAAAGGCCAGAGGGTCTTATCTTCTCCAAATGATCACAAGTCAGCGTGCAGAACTGGATGGAGGATCAGGTGGACAAATTGACAGAAGTAAGCTTCAGAAGATGGGTAACAAAAAACTACGATGAGCTAAAGGAGCATGTTCTAACCCAGTGCAAAGAAGCTAAGAACCTTGATAAAAGGTTAGAGGAATTGCTAACTAGAATAACTATTTATAAAGGAACATAACCTGACAGAGCTGAAAAACACAGCACGAGAACTTCATGAAGCATACACAAGTATCAATAGCTTAATTGACCAAGTGGAAGAGAGGATATCAGAGTTTGAAGATCACGTTACTGAAATAAGGCATACAGACCTTACATAAGGCAATAGAGAAAAAAGAATGAAAAGGAATGAACAAAGCCTCCAAGAAATGTGGGACTTCATAAAAAGATTAAACCTACGATTGATTGGAGTACCAGAAGGAGACAGGAAGAATGGAAACAAGCTGGAAAACACACTGCAGGATATTATCCAGGAGAACTTCTGCAACCTAGCAAGACAGGCCAACATGCTAGGAATTCAGGAAATACAGAGAACACCATTAAGATGCTCCATGAGAAGATCAACCCCAAGACACATAATCATCAGATTCTCCAAGGTTGAAATGAAGAAAAAAACGTTAAGGGCAGCCAGACAGAAAGGCCAAGTCACCTACAAAGGGAAGCCCATCAGACTAACAGCAGACCTCCAGCAGAAACCCTACACGCCAGAAGAGACTGGGAGTCAATATTCAACATTCTTAAAGAAAGGAATTTTCAATCCAGAATTTCATATCCAGCCAAACTAAGCTTCATAAGTGAAGGAGAAATAAAATCCTTTCCAGACAAGAAAATGCTGAGGGATTTCATTACCACCAGGCCTGCCCTGTAAGAGCTCCTGAAAGAAGCACTAAATATGGAAAGGAAAAACTGGTACCAGCCACTGCAAAAACACACCAAAATATAAAGACCAATGACACTATGAAGAATCTGCATCAACTAGTGTGGAAAATAACCAAATAGTATCATGATGACAGGATCAAATTCATACATAACAATACTAACCTTAAATGTAAATGGGCTAAATGCCCCCAATTAACAGACACAGACTGGCAAATTGGATAAGGAGTCAAGACCCATCAGTGTGCTGTATTCAGGAGACCCATCTTACATGCAAAGACACATGTAGGCTCAAAATAAAGGGATGGAGGAATATTTACCAAGCAAATGGAAAGCAAAAAAAAAAAGCAGGGGTTGCAATCCTAATCTCTGACAAAACAGACTTTAAGCCAACAAAGATCAAAAATGGCAAAGAAGAGCATTACATAATGGTAAAGGGATCAATTCGACAAGAAGAGTTAACTATTCTGAATATATACGCACCCAATAAAGGAGTATCCAGATTCACAAAACAAGTTCTTAGAGACCTACAAGGAGACTTAGACTCCCACACAACAATAGTGGGAAACTTTAGCACCCCACTGTCAGTGTTAGACAGATCAACAAGACAGAAAGTTCTCAAGGATATTCAGGACTTGAACTCAGCTCTAGATCAAATGGAACTAGTAGACATCTACAGAACTCTCTACCCCCAATCAACAGAATATACATTCTTCTCAGTGCCACATGGCAACTATTATGAAATCAGCCACGTAATTGGAAGTAAAACACTCCTCAGCAAATGCAAAAGAACTGAAATCATAACAGTCTCTCCAGACCACAGTGCAATCAAATTAGAACTTGGGATTAAGAAACTCACTCAAAACCACACAATCTCATGGAAATTGAACAACCTGCTCCTGAATGACTCCTGGGTAAATAATGAAATTAAGGCAGAAATCAAGAAGTTCTTTGAAACTAATGAGAACAAAGAGACAACGTATCAGAATCTCTGAGACACAGCTAAAGCAGTGTTAAGAGGGACATTTATAGCACTAAATGCCCACATCAGAAAGTTAGAAAGATGTCAGATAGACACCCCAACAGTGCAATTATAAGAGCTATAGAGGCAAGAGCAAACTAATCCAAAAGCTAGCAGAAGACAAGAAATAACTAACATCGGAGAAGAATTTAAGGAGATAGATGAAAAATGGTCCGAAAAAAATCAACAAATCCAGGAGCTGTTTTTTGAAAAAAATTAACAAAATAGACTGCTAGCTAGACTAATAAAGAAAAAGAGAGAGAAGAATCAAAGACACAATAAAAAATGACCTCAAAGAAATACAAACTACGATCAGAGAATACTATAAACACCTCTATGCAAATAAACTAGAAAATCTAAAATAACTGGATAGATTCCTGGATGCATATACCCTACCAAGACTAAACCAGGGAGAAATTGAATCCCTGAATGGAACAATAACAGCTCTGAAATTGAGGCAGTAATTAATAGCCTATCAACCAAAAAAAGCCCAGGACCAGACGGATTCACAGCTGAATTCTACCAGAAATACAAACAGGCACTGGTACCATTCCTTCTGAAACTATTCCAAACAATTGAAAAGGAGGGACTCCTCCCTAACTCATTTTATTAAGCCAGCATCATTCTGATACCAAAACCAGGAAGAGACACAACAATAAAAGAAAACTTCAGGCCAATATTCCTGATGAACATTGATTGTTAAACACTCTCAATAAACTAGGTATTGAAGGAACATATCTCAAAATAATGAGCTATTTACGACAAACCCACAGCCAATATCATATTGAATGAGCAAAAGCTGGAAGCATTCCATCTGAAAACCAGCACAAGACGAGGAGGCCCTCTCTCATCACTCTTATTCAAATAGTATTAGAAGTTCTGTCCAGGGCAATCAGGCAAGAGAAAGAAATAAAGGGTATTCAAGTAGGAAGAGAGGAAGTCAAGTTATCTCTGTTTGCAGATTACATGATTTTATATTTATAAAACTTCATCACCTCAGCCCAAAAACTTATTGAACTGATAACCAACTTCAGCAAAGTCTCAGGATACAAAATCAATGTGCAAAAATCACAAGCCTTCCTTTGTACCAACAATAGACAAAGAGCCAAATCATGAGTGAACTCCCATTCACAATCACTACAAAGAAAATAAAATACCTAGGAATACAGCTAACAAGGGATGTGAAGGACCTCTTCAAGGAGAAGTACTTAAACCACTGCTCAAGGAAATGAGAGAACACAAAGAAATAGAAAAACATTCCATCCTCATGGATAGGAAGAATCAATACTGTGAAAATGGCCGTACTGCCAGCAATTTATGGATTCAATGCTATTCCCAAACTACCACTGACATTCTTCACAGAATTTGAAAAAACTATTTTAAATTTCATATGAAATCAAAGAAGACCCCATATAGCCAAGACAATCCTAAGCAAAAAGAAGAAAGCTGGTGGCATCATGCTACCTGACATCAAACTATACTACAAGGCTACAGTAACCAAAACAGCATGATACTGACACCAAAACAGACATATAGACCAATGGAGCAGAACAGAGACCTCAGAAATAACACCACACATCTACAACCATCTGGTCTTCAACAAACCTGACAAAAACAAGTAATGGAGAAAGGATCTCCTATTCAGTAAAATGGTGGTGGGAAAACTAGCCAGCCATATGCAGAAAACGGACAATGGACCCCTTCCTTACACCTTATACAAAAATTAACTCAAGATGGATTAAAGACTTAAATTTAAAATCCAAAACGATAAAAATCCTAGAAGAAAACCTAGGCAACACCATTCAGGACATAGGCAAGGGCAAAGACTTCATTGAAAAATGCCAAAAGCAGTGGCAATAAAAGCCAAAATTGGCAAATGGGATCTAATTAAACTAAAGAGCTTGTGCAGAGCAAAAGAAACTATCATCGAAATGAACAGGCAACCTACAGAATGGGAGAAAATTTTTGCAATCTACCCATCTGACAAAGATCTAACATCCAGAATTTACAAGGAACTTAAACTATTTACAGGAAAAAAAAAACATCGAAAAGTGGGCAAAAGATATGAACAGACATTTCTCAAAAGAAGACATTTACACAGCCAACAAACATGAAAAAAAGCTCAACATCACTGATCATCACAGAAATGCAAATCAAAACCACAATGAGATACCATCTCATGCCAGTCAGAATGGCAATTATTAAAAAGTCAAGAAACAAGAGATACTGCTGAGGCTGCAGAGAAACAGGAAGGCTTTTACACTGTTGGTGGGAATGTACATTAGTTCAAACATTGTGGAAGACAGTATGACAATTCCTCAAGGTTCCAGAACTAGAAATACCATTTGCCCCAGCAATCCCATTACTGGGTATATTCCCAAAGAATTATAAATCATTCTACTGCAAAGACACATGCGTATGTATGTTTATTGCAGCACTATTCACAATAGCAAAGAGATGGAACCAACACAAATGCCCATCAATGATAGACTGGATAAAGAAAATGTGGTACATATACACCATGGAATACTATGCAGCTATAAAAAGCAAAGAGATCATGTCCTTTTCAGGGACATGGATGAAGCTGGAAGCCATTATCCTCAGCAAACTAACACAGAAACAGAAAACCCAACACCACATGTTCTCACTCATAAGTGGGAGATGAACAATGAGAACACAATGACACAGAGAGGGGAACAACACACACCAGGGCCTGTTGCGAGTTAGGGAGTGGGGGGAGGAAACTTACAGGATGGGTTAATAGGTGCAGCAAACCACCACAGCACCCGCGCTCCTACGTAACGAACGGCCGCGGCACACGCGCACCTACGTAACGAACCGCCGCGGCACACGCGCACCTACGTAACGAACCGCCGCGGCACCCGCGCTCCTACGTAACGAACCGCCGCGGCACACGCGTTCCTATGTAACGAACCGCCGCGGCACACGCGTACCTGTGTAACAAACCTGCACATTCTGTACATGTATCCTGGGTTTTTTTTTTTAAGAAGAAATTAAGGGAAAAAAAAGAATATGCATTTGCATATCAAGTAATAAAAGCATTATTGTATTTTTTTTTAAAAAGGATCATTATTCTAAATTTCTATGTGACCAGGGAATCAAAACAAGATAAGCTTCACAACTGTCCCTAGGCCAATGTAGGCCCAGGCTTACCTCCCAGGGCAATGAATCCTTCTATCCGCCATACAGTGCCTCAGGTGACTCACCCACAGCGAGACTGTGACAGCTGGTCCAGACAGCCTGAGACGCTGCCAAGAGAACGGTCACTGCACGTGGAGGCCGTGGCCAGCAAGGTCTGCCCAGTGGTGGGTACAGCACGTGACTTCCACTGAGATCACAATCAGAAAGCTATTCCTCACTGAGAGAGAAGAATCCACTCCATTCCAGCAACACAGGACATCACAGGACATACGCACTGCTCAGGAAATCATCTGACCTGGCCCTGCAGAGCACGGGACCCAGGAAGATTGTGTTAGAGGACCAGAGCCCGTGTGGAGCACAGGGAGGGAAACAAAGCTTGTCAGTGTCACCAACAAAAACTCAACTTCTGACATTAATCCTGAGTAGTTACCCATGCCCAGACCGATGCAGAGATCCGACCCAACAAAACAACGTCGCAGCGTGAGCAGCCGAGAAGTGACGACACCACGGGGCGGAGGGGAACGGAGAGGAAAGCTGCTGACGCCAGGGAGAGATGCCGCTGGGCCAGGCACGGCTGCCCGCAGGAGAGGCCTCCGCAGGGAGAGGTACCGCTGGATCAGGCGAGGGTGCGCGCAGGAGAGGCCTCCGCAGGGAGAGGTACCGCTGGATCAGGCGAGGGTGCGCGCAGGGGAGGCCTCCGCAGGGAGAGGTACCGCTGGATCAGGCGAGGGTGCGCGCAGGGGAGGCCTCCGCAGGGAGAGGTACCGCTGGATCAGGCGAGGGTGCGCGCAGGGGAGGCCTCCGCAGGGAGAGGTACCGCTGGATCAGGCGAGGGTGCGCGCAGGGGAGGCCTCCGCAGGGAGAGGTACCGCTGGATCAGGCGAGGGTGCCCGCAGGAGAGGCCTCCGCAGGGAGAGGTACCGCTGGATCAGGCGAGGGTGCGCGCAGGAGAGGCCTCCGCAGGGAGAGGTACCGCTGGATCAGGCGAGGGTGCGCGCAGGGGAGGCCTCCGCAGGGAGCGGTGCCGCTGGGCCAGGCACGGGTGCCCGCAGGAGAGGCCTCCGCAGGGAGAGGTGCCGCTGGGCCAGGCACGGGTGCCCGCAGGAGAGGCCTCCGCAGATCTCTGATGATGTGCTAACTAAATTAGATAAATCCCCGTCATGTCTCATTCATGTCTCAGGCCTCAGCTGGGTCTCACGTCTCATTTGGAGCATCACTGACGCCTCTCTTAAGTTCTCTATTAAGGAGCCATTTCAAGTATTTACAGGGAAGCCTCTGGACTGGGTGATATCATGTGACCAATGGCACACAATTCAGTGCCCAGAATGAACAGGACACAGGTGAGCACTTATGCCCTCTGGAAAGGTGGAATATACCACACGAGGCTATGAGTTTGCATGGCAGGGGACTCAGATATCCTGGAATGAATAAATTCAACCAGACTGGATATTGGGTGGGAGAATTTATATTTTCTCTGTGACACTTCACGGTTTATTTCTGGGAACAAAGTGACAGGGCATATGTTTCCAATAAAAAGAGAGATGGACTGGACACAGTGGCTCACACCTGTAATCCCAGCATTTTGGGAGGCTGAGGCGGGTGGATCACAAGGTCAGGAGTTCGAGACCAGCCTGGCCAACATGGTGAAACCCTGTCTCTACTAAAAAAAAAAAAAAAAGTGTGTGTGTGTGTGTTCAGCCACAAGTGGTGGCGTGCGCCTATAATCCCAGCTACTTGGGAGGCTGAGGCAGGAGAACTGCTTGAACCCAGGAGGTGGAGGTTGCAGTGAGCCAAAATCGTGCCACTGCACTCCAGCCTGGGCAACAAAGCAAGACTCCATCTCAAAAAAAAAAAAAAAAAAAAAGAGAGATGAAATGGTAAGGAGAGGATGAGAAAATAAATGTTCTTTTGCATTTATTTCTATTGGTGCATTCAAGTTTTCTCATTGTAATTTTGTTTCCAAAACAGAACAATCTGAGAAATAAGAATCTCTATTTACAGAGATAGAGATACAACCAGTCAAATTATCGGGGCAAACGTCCTACATAAAACTGAGGAATAAATGAGATTCACAGCCAAGCTAACTCCATGTAGATGTATGACTACTCTGAGAGAGTTTTATAGCTCAAATGAAGATCGCCTATTAATTTTCTGAAAAGTAAAAATCCCTATCCTAGGTCGCTTAACTTTCCTGAATTGTTTTAAGAAGAAAGATTCTACTTTGCAATAAGTAAGATTAAGTGTATTGCTCTAAGTCATTTTTATGTAATCTTCGCAAATTCTTGTGAATATCACCTGAGCTTTGCAAAATGAAGGTAGACCTTACTCACTTATATATAAGCCACTTACTGAGCACCTATCAAGCATGAGCTGTTGTGCAAGTCCTGGAGATAGAAAGTTGGCTGTGCAATTAGATATTAAGTGATACGACTAGTTATAAATTAACAGAGTGGAGATCAGGGCATTATGTTTATGCATGGAGGAGGCACCCACCCTAATTTAGGAGGGAGGAACTTCTTAGCAAAAATTACATCTGCGTTGAGTCCATGAACGAGCAGGAGTTACAGTGGCAAGTGGGGGATGGGGACATTCTCAGGAGAGAAAGGACCCACATACAAAGTCTCCCCAGCACAGATACCATGTCGCAGTCAAGGGCTGGAGAGGGGACACACACTGGACGGTCACCCCGACCCACCTATAAAGTCTCCCCAGCACGGATGCCATGTCGCAGGCAAGGGCTGGAGAGGGGACACACACTGGACGGTCACCCCGACCCACCTATAAAGTCTCCCCAGCACGGATGCCATGTCGCAGGCAAGGGCTGGAGAGGGGACACACACTGGACGGTCACCCCGACCCACCTACAAAGTCTCCCCAGCACGGATGCCATGTCGCAGGCAAGGGCTGGAGAGGGGACACACACTGGACGGTCACCCCGCACAGGAGCCAGATAGCAGAACCCTCTGTGTGTGAGTGTGGACACTTTCCTGGGGAATGATTTATGGTGTCTCATGTGAGACAGAAGCACATCTACATTCTAGAAGACGCATGGCCTCGGTGGCAGGATGCACAAAGTGTGTGCATGAGGAGAATATTAGAAGCACAGAAATTGATTAGGAGGATGTGGTCAAAAAGAGGGACGGAGGAACAAACCTAAGAGAAGGAGATGCAAGTGCAGTGGAGGGAGAAGGGGCGGGGCCAAGAACACAGGTGAACACAAACACCACGGATGCAAAGAAAACTTCCCCTCACCCCTCTCAAAGGAAAGACCAGTTCTGATGAATTTGGAAGCAGCAGGACAAGAAGGCCAGGACAGAATTTCCTGAAGACCTCTACATTTCTTACACAAAACAAGGGCACCCACTGGTTGCTGAGATCAAATGAGTAAAGAAGGAGGCTGCAGACTCGAGGGATATGGTTAAGATATAAAATTCCATTAGGGAGGAGAGACACGGAAGGAGAATGGAGAAGTGCTTGACAATGACATGGAGAAGACAGTCCAGGTAACAATGAGAGCTCACATAAAGTGGAGGCTGTTGTTGCTATGGTTTTATTTTTAGCAGCATCCACTGCCCAGATACATGGTTCTCCCTAGGAGCAATCAACTCTTTGGGGTATAGAGTGATAAAGGTCAATGATGAAAAAATTCAACAATGGAATTTTGCCAAGTGACAAAATGATAGATTAGGGAGGGAAGTGAGTCAGAAGGGAGGTTGTAGCACAAGTAACTAAAGAACGGATTTGTGTGTTCTTGGCTCCTAGGAAACTAATGAAGACAACGGGGAGATGGAGGAAGGAACCAGAGATGTTCAAAGACTAGATCGTGGGTCAGATGGTAATGACTCTAACCTAAGGCAGGGATGATGGCAGAAAGATGCCTTCACAGGACAAACTGAGCCTAGCGCTCAACACCCCCACCTGGGGAAAGTGACACCTGCATGGGAACTTATCCATGGGTACCACCAGACCCAAAGGACCTCTATCTTCAAGTAAACCCTACGCTCCCCAAGCAGACAGTGTCATTTCGGTGAATGTCCTAACAGCAAAACAAATTTCTTCTCCGGGGAATGGTCTTCACAAATTATTGCCCAGAGAGTGAATAATTCTTCTCTAGTCAGTGGCTAACAGGGAAATTATCTATGTGCCTCTGGACTTGTTCTTGTATCACAGTGAATAAACTGGTCCAACCCAAACTGACACATCCACAAACTCCCTTTGTGATCCTAGGTAAGATTTTAGATGGCATTTGTCAATGTAAAAAATAAAAATAAAGAACATAATGTAATCAAGTTGCTTTCACACACAACCTAGTTGGTTTTGGCCAATTAGGATATTGGTAGGCTCCTTCATTGAGCCCAGACCAGAGTACCATCAGTCCCAGGACTCTAAAAGCCATCTGTCTTAGTCCCTTTTGTGTTGCTATAACACAGTATCTGAGGCAGGGTAATCTGCAAAGAGAAGAGGTATTTAATTCATGATTCTAGTGTCTGCGAAGTCCAAGAGCATGGTGCCCATGGCTTCTGGTGGGAGCCTTGTGCTGTCTCACAACATGGTAGAGAAGTAGGAGGGGAAGTGGGCCTTGTGAAAGAGAAGCCAAACAGGAGAGGTGGCCTCACTTTATAAAATCCACCTTCTTGGAAAGCAACCCATTCCCAGGAGAACTCACTCCTGAGAGATGGCATTTAATCTCTCCATGAGGGTCCCTCGTGGACCAAACACCTCCCACCACTCAACACCATTACACTGGGGACCAAGCCTCAGTGAGTTTTGGTGAGGACCAACCATACCAAACCATAGCACCACTGGAACAACAAGATTGAGAATGGCTATCACAACATGGAAATCCTAACCCATTTTCCTAGAAATATACTCTCTCATTCATCCCAATAGCTCTGCAGTCCCCACAACCTCTACTTATCGTCCTCTGACCCACAACCCCACCACCACCTTCACAAGGAAGAGCAAAGCATTCATCAAGAATTTTCTGAACTTTGAACCACAAAACCTACCGTGTGTTCCTCTCTGATTTCCGTTACATTCAGAGGGTCCCATGGATCTCAAACTAAACACTCTAGCTCTGTTCTATATCCCGTATTCTCCTAAAAGAATTTGTTTCTATTAATTATTCCATCTCTGTCTATAAATTCAACTTTCCTCCCACCACTGACTTTTTCCCATGAGTACTTAAATATATTCAAGTCTCTCCCATTGTTAAAAAATGGGAGAGTGACTTCCAGCATGACAGTATGAGGACTCCCAGTACTCTCAAGGAAAACTGTTGAAAATTATAGACAACAACAAAACATCTACAGTCTCTGAAAATGGTCCATTGGCAAACAGCAAATGAAGAAATATCTTTCAAGAGAAGCTACGAAAATTCAGGGAGACAAGTACCTGTGGGATTTGAACCAAGTCTGCTCTCTCCTATCCCTCCCAGCTCAGAAAGTCAAGAGACTCCACTTGGGATGTCTTCATTTTTCTGCTGGAGAAGCAGGACAAAAGCAGATGGTTATGGGCCATCGCTAGCATTCAGAGCCGTGGAACACAATCTCTTTCCAAAGGAGCCAAACCTCATTTGCACAGAATATGAAGAAGCTTAAACCTAAGGGAGCTCTCGGGAGCATTGGAATTTGTGGTGAAATGCAACTGGGAAGAGATTCAAGACACAGGTGAACCTGTAGGTTACTGGCTTGCAGGGAAGAACTAGGGAATAAGACAGCTGGGAGGATCCTTCTTGTGTCAAAGCAAGTATCAAACAGGAACCTCAAACTATTCCTTCAAAGAAGCCACAATTTGATTAGATTTATTTGTGAAGCAATGTATGCCCACAATTGCAATCAGCAGCAATTAGTGGCGTTTAATAGCTGCCTGGGTCAGGGACAGAGAGGAAGAAAGCCTGCCCATACCACTGTCAACCAGGTAAGGGGGTCACACCCAAAGCTGCAACCCCTGCCCCCAACAAGGAGCCACATCAGAGGCTAAACACCATGGGGGACAGGGCAGAGAGTCTAGACTCCTCTAAACAAACCCAGCCAATCACTGAACGAAGAAACAACAAAAACAAGCCCAGGTGTGGGGGAAGGACCACTATCACTGGCAAGAACTGTGACATTATATATCAAAATGTCCAGTTTCTGACAAAAAATCATGAGACATGCAAAGAGATAGGAAAGTATGATCCATACAATGAAAAAACAATAAGAGGCAGGCAACACAAACTACCTGTGGAAGTGACCAGAGGCCAGGTTTATTAGAAAAAGATTTCAAAGGAGTCATAAAGATGTTCCCAGAACCAAAGGAGACTATGACTGAAGAGGTAAAGATGGTAGAAGAATGTTGCAAAAAATAAAAAAAAAAAAAACCTGGTAAAAATATAGAAATAACCATATGGAAATTCCGCTGTTGGAAAAGTAAAATAACTGAAATAAAAACTCATTCGTGGGGTTTAACTGTAGATTCCAACATCAGGAAAAGGAATAAGCAAACTGCAAAACAGATCCATAGATGTTCTGCAAGCTAAAGCAGAGACAGGAAAGAAGACAGAGACAACTGAAGGAGCTCAGAAGCATAGGGCACCTAGAGCACACAAACACAAGCACAATGAGAACATCAGAAGGAGGTAAGAGAAAGCAGCAAAAAAGATATGCAAAAAATAATAGCTGAAAACCTCCCAAACATACTGAAAAACAATAATGTACACATCCAGGAAGCTCCACAAACTCCAACAAGGATAAAAGCAAAGAGAGTTACAAACAGATAAGTCACAGTACAAATACTGAAAGTCAAAGAAAAGGTGAAAATCTTAAAAGCTACAAGAGAAAAATGACTTGTTACTTACAAAGGAAATCCAATCTGATTAATAGTTGACTTCTCAGCAGAAACAGTAGAGGCCAGAAAAGCAGTGGTATAACATACTGAAAGTATTCAAAAGAAAAACAAAACTGTCTATCACGAATGCTGTATCCAGAAAACCTATTCTTCAAAAATGAAGACAAAATAAAGACATTTCCAGAAAAATAAAAACTCAGAGAATTTATTGCTAGCAGATCAACCTTACAAGTAATTCTAAAGAAAGTTCTTGAGGCTGAAAGCAAGTGACCCCTGATAATATTAAAATCCACATGAAAAATTAAGATAACTGGTAATGGTAATTACATAATTATAAAAGACTGTATTAACATATTTTCTGTCCTCCTAACTGATTTAAAATAAAATTGTATAAAATAATACATATGAAAAAGCTTGGTGGACCTATCAAACATAAAAATATATGTGTAACATATTTGTCAATAACAGCACGAAGAGGGTTAGTGGAAGCAAAGCTATGTTATACTAAGAACATAATTACAGGTGGTAAAGTCATAATTATAACAATGTGCTGTTGCGTTTGCAACATTAAGAGATGTAATAAGTATAATAATACCACAGAAGAGGGGAAACATAGTATAGCTACATAGAAGTAATGCTTCTATTTATTACTAGAATTATGCCAGCATAAGTCTGAAACTGATTTTAATAAGCTAAAACATATATGGGAAACTCTAGAGCAAACACGAAATAAATGACTCAAAAATATAGTGAAAAAATCCTTAAGTAACTTAAAATGCTACAGTGGAAAATATTCACTTAATGCAAAAAAATGAGTAAGGAGGGATGAAGAAATAAAAAAGGTATGAGACTATATTAGTTCATTCTCACACTGCTATAAGGACATACTCACGACTGGGTAATTTATAAAGAAAAGAGGTTTAATTGACTCACAGTTCAGCAGGGCTAGGGAGGCCCAAGGAAACTTACAATCATGGTGGAAGGGGAAGCAAACACATCCTTCTTCACATGGCAGCAGAAAGGAGAAGAATGAGAGCCGAGGGAAAGGGGAAGCCCCTTATGAAATCACCAGATCTCATGAGAACTTACTATCACGAGAATAGCATGGAGGAAACTGCCGCCATGATTCAATTACCTCTCACCGGGTCCCTCTCATGACACGTGGGGATTATGGGAACCACAATTCAAGATGAGATTTGGGTGGGGACACAGTCAAACCATATCAGAGACATATGAGGGGAAAAAAGTAAAACAGTAGATGTAAATCCAACTATATCAATGATAATATTAAATGTGAATGGATTAAATAATATAATCAAAAGAAGCATGTTGTCAGACTTAATTTTTAAAAAAGATCCAACTCTACCCTGCCTAGTGGAGATACACTTTAAAGATTAAAAGATACAAATAGATTGAAAGTAAAAGGATAGAAAAATATATTATGCTAACAGCAATCACAAGAAAGCTAGAATAGCTACATTGATATCAGACAAAATTGACTTTAAAACAAAAACTGTTACTACAGATAAAGAGGAACTAACTATAAAAGAGACAACCCATCAGGAGCAATAACAATTATAAATATATATGTACATGTGTGTATGCATATGTAGACATACATATATACACACACATGCACCTTAACAACAGAGCACCAAAACATGTGAAGCAAAAACTGACAAAAATGAAGACACAAGTTCAACAATAGCCGAAGACTTTAATACCACACTCTTAATGATGGATAGATCAACTAGACAAAAGATCAACAAGGAAAGAGAAGGCTTGAACAACACTGTAAACCCATTAGACCTAGCAATCACCAATACAACATTCCATCCAACAACAGCAGCAGAATATACGATCTTCTCAAATGCACATAAAACATTCCCAGAATATACCATATGTTAAGCCATAAAACAAACCTATTATTAAAAATAAATTTAAAATGATACAAATAACACAAATTGTTTTCTCTAATCACAATGGAATCAAATTAGAAATCAACAACAGAAAAAAGTTTTGGAAATTCACCAGTTTGTGTAAATTAAACAATGTACTCCCAAATAACCAATGGGACAAAGAACAAATCCCAAAGGAAATTAGAAAATACTTTGAGGTTACTGAAAATGAAGACTCAACACATCAAACCTTATGAGATGCAGCCAAAGCAGGGTTCAAGGGAAATTTATAGCTGTAAATGCTTCTATGAAGGAAAAAGAAAGACCTCAAATGAAGAAGCTAAACTTCCACTTTAAGATACTGGAAAAAGAAGAACAAACTAAATGTAAAGCAGGCAGAAAAAAGAAAAAATAATAATATTAAAACAGAAACTAATAGAGAACAGAAAAAAAGAGAAAGTAAATGAAATGGAAAGGTGGCTTTTTGAAAATATCAACAAAATTGACAAACTTTTAGCTAGATTGACAAAGAAAAAAAAGAGAAGTCTCAGTTTAATAGAATCAGATGAAAGAGGGGTATCATCACAGACCTTACATAAATAACAAGGATTGTACAGGAACACTATGAATAATTTTACACTAACAAAGTAGATGCCCTAAGATGAAATGGACACATTTCTAGAAAGACACAAACTACCAAAACTGACTCAAGAGAAAACAATCTAAACAGACGTCTCGAGAGTGAAGACTGCAAATCAAAAAACTGTCCTCCCAAAGAAAAGCTCAGGCCCAGACGACATCTCTACTGAATTCTGCCAAATCAAAACAAACCTTAACTAAGCCACAAAACAAACTTTCTTTATATCTATTTAAAGAACAATTAATAACAATGCTTCATAAATTCTTCCAAGAAATGGAAAAAAAGCAGGTACTTCCTAATTCATTTTATCAGGCCAATATTACTCTAATATCAAAGCCAGGCAAATACATCATAAGAAAAAAAGGCTAAAGATGAATATCTCATAAATATAGATTAAAAAATCCTCAACAAAATATTAGTAAAATGAATGCAGCAATTATATATAGAGAATTATAAAGTATTAATTAAAAACAAGCAATAAGTTAGAAATAGAAGGAAAGTTCCTTGACTTAATAAAAGGCATCTATGAAAACCACATAACTAACGTCATACTTAGTGGTGGAAGACTAAATTCTGTTTCTCTAAGATCAGGAACAAGACAAGGATGTTGGTTCTCACTCCTTCATTTCAAAATTGTGCTGGTGGTCCTAGCCAGGGTAATGAAGAGAAGTAAAAGGCATTCAGATTTAAAGTAAGAAATCATAAAACTACCTCTATTTCCTGATGGCATGATATCATATACAAAAAAATCTAAAACATTCACTAAAAATTATTAGAATTAATAAATGAGTTTGGCAAGGTTGAAGGACATGAGGTCAATATAGAGAATCAGTTTTAATACTATTCATGCAAAGCATTTACACTATATTAAGTTTTATAAATAATCTAGAGATGATTTAAAGTATGTGGGAGCATGTGTGGTCAATATAAAGAATCAGTTGTAATACTACACATGCATACATGCACATAGTACTTACACTGTATTAAGCTTTATATGTACTCTACAGATGATTTAAAGTATGCAGGAGGATGTGTGTAGGTTATAGGCAAAAATAGCCTTTTGCCATCAGGGACTTGAGCATCCGTGGATCTGCGTATCTGTGGGGGTCCTGGCACCTGCCCCACCCTGGATATTGAGGACTGACTGTGCTGATACAGGAGGCAGGGGTGGAGGACAGAGAGGGTGCCTAAATAGTGCAGGGCTTCAATTTTGGGTGAGGAGAGTGTTCTGAAATTGACTGTGGTGATAGTTGCATGTACCTCTTTGAATATAATAAAAGCCAGCGGATTGTACACTTTGAATGGGTGAGTAGTATGGGGTATATGAATTATATCTCAATAAAACTGCTTTTAAGAAGTGAGAGAAGGCCGGGCGCAGTGGCTCACGCCTGTAATCCCAGCACTTTGGGAGGCCAAGGTGGGTGGATCACCTGAGGTCAGTTTGAGACCAGCCTGGCCAACATGGAGAAACCCCATCTCTACTAAAATACAAAATTAGCCGGGCGTGGTGGCACATGCCTGTAATCCCAGCTACTGAGGAGGCTGAGGCAGGACAGTTGCTTGAACCCGGGAGGCAGAGGTTGCTGTGAGCCGAGATCGCGCCGTTGTACTCCAGCCTGGGCAGCAAGAGTGAAACTCTGTCTCAAAAAAAAAAAAAAAAAGAAAAGAAGTGAGAGAAAACTTTCCTCTGTTGAAAGGAACTTTAGCTGTCATTAAATATAAGTGCAGCATCTTTTCATCTGTCCTAATAGTTCTGGCTTTGAAGTTGAATAATAAAAAAATATAATTTAATTACATTATTAAAAATGAACCTTAGAATAAATTCCTTCTAAATTTCTGGAGAAAAATGAGAAGAAAGCTCACTAAATACACACATAGCATAAAGAAAACCACATAATTTTCTTAAGTTTCTAAGCAATGAAAACAATGATATAAACCTAAACAAGAACAGCACAAAAATATCTGTTATAATCATATCACAAAATCTGTTATATGTGTGGAAATAGCTAACGCAAAAACTGTAGAGTATGTAAGAAGAAATTCAACAAGAACAGCCCAAATAACACCAAGTAGACAAAAAATGCATGAAGGGATGAAGACCTTGAAAGAAATATTAATAAGAATTACTTAATATACATGCCAACAAGTAGGTGGGCCCACCTTTCTCTGTGAGACGCCACATCCTTAACAGAGGGTCAGTTTCTCCCATTGATCTGTAAATCCAGCTCAGGCTGAGTGTCCCTTACCCAAAATGCGTGGGACCAGAAGTACTTCAAATTGGTTTTTTTTTTCATATTTTGGAAGATATGGACTATACTTATCTGGTTGAATGTCTCAAATCCAAATATCCAAATCCGAAATGCTCCAATGAGCAGTTCCATTGAGCATCATGTCAGCTCTCTAAAGGTTTTGGAAGCTGGAACACTTTGGATTTCAAATTTTAAGATTTAGGATGCTAAACCTGGATAATCCCAATCAAAATTTCACACATAATTCTTTAGAAACTTGAAAACTGATTTTAAAGTTTATCTGGATGAAGAAACATGTAGGAAAATGAGCAACGGTGGACTCAGAAGCAGGATCACCCTGTCAGATTTGACAAAACTCGTTCTTAGAACAGCAAAATACAAAAGTAACCCAAAGTGCAAATGGAAATGTAGCAGGTGATAAAGGTTCCATCCAAAACTCAACTAACAGTTTGGACAGAAGATAGTGCAGCCAATTAATTCAGGTGTGGACACTGGATGGCCATCTGAAGAAATGCACGGGGGACCCTGGACCGGGCCTGCAACCGGCCTTCTCTGTGGGAAGGGGTGCAGGCTGGGCAGGGCACGGCACCCAACGGTGGCATAAATCCTCACAGGCAGACACCTGCACACTGGTGCCCAGAGGTGGTCAGGCTCTGACTGATGTCAAACAGTGCGCACTGCCACAGAACATCTCAGGGAAGGTTAAGGGGACCACTGAGTCCCTTTTATTTATTCTGAAGAACCAGGGGAAGGAAAATGTTGAGCTCAGGTGCCAGATACGTCTACCACAGTTACGCATTTTGGAATTAGGGGAATGACCACAGGATGGTCACAGAGACCTGCTGAGCCCCCAAGACGTGATTCTCAGATTCCCGAGTTCTGTCCTTATCAGCGGTGAGGGAAAGAGAGCCAAGACTCCAGGCCCGGCCCGGCAGCCCTCCACTCCCTCATTCATGGATGTCACCAGGGCACGAAGACATGCGGAGACCCACAGCCCACTCCAGGGGCTCAGGGAATGTGCTGGGGTGCTGAGGAGGTTTCTGGAAATCTCTCACCAAGAAGCGGCAGATCCAAAAGCTGGATAATAGTCTGGATTAGGGCCATGGCCACAGGAAGGAAAACCAAAAGAATGAGGCTGTGTTGTGCCTGAGGAGTCCAGGAACCAGAGCAGGAAGTGAGAGGAAACAGAGCAGGAAGTGAGAGGAGACAGAGCAGGAAGTGAGAGGAGACAGACGGCAAAGGGGTGAGAAAGTGCAGGAAATTTGAATTCTCCAGGTTTTCAAGCCGGGGTGCCAAGGAGACAGACCCACTAACATAAGCAGTGAGTCTTCAAGGGCAGCTGCGTGTTTAGGGTCCTGGGAGGGAACAGGAATGCCGGTTTTAAGAGCTGTCAGTACCTCTCAGTGAAGATGTCCAGTACTGGAAGAGAGGTCAGCATGGAAGACAGAGGTTTATAAGCATCATCTGCATGATTGTAATAACCGCACTTGTTAAGTGATGACAGCTCAGGGATCCTGTCAGGAGAAATATCGGCGAGAAAACTTTGGAAAATATCCACATTTTGGAGGAAAGAAATAGCCATAGAATAAAATCAAGATAATGGACTATTACAGAAGCCAGAGAGAAAATCTTAAGAAAGCAATAGTTTTGTAGCTACAAAATGGTTAAATGTACAATAAGAAATGAAAAGACGACCCAGAATTTGACTTTAAGTCTCAAATCATTTTTTTTTTTTTTGTAAATTAGGCACGGTATCTTTCTCAGCCAGTTTCTAAATGGCCCTGCTCTCCTGAAGAAACCACCAATAACCTCATTCTGTACTCCCTGATTAGTCCTCTTTCCAGAGCAGAGTCCCGCTGCTCAGAATGTGTCCTTTCCTGAGCAGAGTCCTGCTGTTCAGAACGTGTCCCGCTGCCGGGGTGCCCATCAGGCCCGCCCACTCGTCACCATAAACCACCACATCCAGCTTCTGTGACCCAGATTTGGGGAAACAGGCTTGCCAAAATATCACGGGTTCTCTCCCAAGCACTTCCTGATCCCCGAATGTTCCAACTACGGTTCAAAACATGCGCATATTCATTAAGACTAAGGAGTCTTTTATTTTTCTTATGTTGATTAAATTCACCTTTATCCAGCTGCCAGCCTTGGAAAAGACAGGGAGGTCTTGGAGTTATTAAAAAGCCCATGTTTGAGAGCTTTTAAAGTGATTAATTGTGACATGCTATCACTTTCCACGGAGTAAAATAAAGAGACGTCTATTTTAATTACTGTATATTTGAGCCCTCAGCGTACAAACGTAAACCAAATTTTCTTTTGCTGAAAGAGAAAACACGCAGCATTCTTTCAGCTAGAGAAACAAAACTGCAAATAAATCTCGGATTCAGGATCTGACAGGGAGGGCGTGACTCTTGTAACGGAAACAAGTACCTTCAACTCACTTCATCAAATGTGGTGCAAGAAGGACGCGAAAACAGCTTAACAGTAACAGAAGATCCACACTGTGACTTCCAGCCACCGAGGAACCGTTTAGGGGTGGCTGGTTGGTAACCACAGGGAAAACAAATGAACTGACTCAAAATTACACTAAGCTGTATATGTAAATAAAGGGGAAGAAGAGAGGCGTGAAGCAGGGTCTCGAGGAGGAGAGGAAGGAAGGGAGGGCCCAGGGCAGCCGGCCCAGAAACTTGCTTTCTGACTTGGTACTCAGGACGCCTGTGGAGAAACCCGGCAGCCTTTTCTGTGGATCAAAGTTAGACCAAACGGTAATCAAAGCTTTTCTGAGACAGCAATTTCAGTTTTTAAATTGTCACATATTCACTTCATTGTGGAGAACGCAAAACACCAGGAGACACAATGACTGGAACCTGCGCGGCCCCCACTTCACCCTCACTCTGGGCTGCCTGACGCGTCCAGCCTGCAGTGACCGCGCTCTCTAGGCCCGGAGGTGCGGTGGCCTCAGATGAACACGTGATCCACCTGAAGAGGGAACACTGTTTGTGCAAGAGGACTCCAAGGTGACAGACAGGGCTGCAGACGCCTCAGACACACCAAAGCCCACACCAGCACCTTCTTCAAGGTGCCGCGCACCCTTGGAAGAGCACATGAATGCTCCAGCGAGGCAGACACTAACGTAACCTGCAGCTCTTCTTTAGATCATCTCAGAGATGATGGACACTTTTTCTGGATTAGTGACACATCACCGTCTCCGGTCACTTGAGACTGACTCTGAGCAGTGTGGCTGTGGGGCTGTGAAACAGTGCACGGCTCACCGTGCGCCAACCAGGGACCTTCTCACAGCGAGATGTTTCTGTGAGTGTCGTGTAAGATGACAAAGATGGCTCATTTTTCTGTAGATAAACCTCTTCTGGAGGAACAGGTGCTAGGTGACCTTGTAAGTACATGCATCCACATGTGGATACAAGAACAGGATCAACAGCAACACTAACAACGAGACACACCTCCACAGCTGCTGACATACAAGAGCCACAGCTATTCCAGAACATGTGACCCCACAGGACAGACAAAAATAAGTGCTCAGAATAAAAAACAATCTTCTTCCTCTCATAAACCCTTTACTCACTGTATCCATAGGGTTAATTACACTCCTTAAATATAAATAATAAAGAAAAAATGCAACATCATTTTTAATTAGCTTAAAGTATATAACCATTTTGAAAACTGACACCTACAAATAATTTGTAAGTATCATACATTTTAAGCAATGGATGCATGATGGATGAAGCCATTGCTGAATTTTTTAATAATACAAAAATATTAAACTATCACCTCAGATGTTAACAAATCTTTTCATAATGAGTATAAAATTGGCACAACTGCCAACAGAAAGTTGAGCAAATATGTTTGTCATAAATGCGTTACGTGGAAAACTAAACACACCGCTTAAATAATGCTCAGCTCACATCTCATAATTTTGAGGTTTATTCAAAACAGAATCATTCAAAGCTTCACTTCCCCTATAAGAAACCAATATGAACAGGAATTACGCACTGAGAAACCTGCATCCACTACCACAGCAGAAAGCACAGGTGGCCAGGTGACAGCAATGTCTCACATTAAATCATGAGGCTACACCCGAGCCAGTGTCAGTGACTTATTCATCATCAGTAATCCCAGATCCACAGCCTTCTCAGATGTGTGCATGTCCCTAGAGCGTGCTACCACCAGGTCCAGCCTGAATGCAGCATAGAGAAAGCCACGTAATGACATAATCACAACACTGTTCCCCTTTTGTTCTCAACTAGTTTGGGTATCGAAAGAAGGTAACATCTCAAGGATTAGCGCCTGTTAGAACCCTCTGAAGGACCTTCTGTCTCCTCCTCCAACCAGGCTTCCTGCTGACTCCAGCAAATTAGGATAATCACAGCTTAAAGGGTTTATTTTTGCTAATTAAAACAAGGAGGGCACGAAGTTGGAATAATTATACATACTTGAGTTCAACATATTCCAACATAAAGCTGCAAAAAGCAAAGAGCTGGTTGCATCCAGGAAAGACCCAAAGAAAACTCAGCATTTTTCTTGCATAAAGCAAATAGATCCCCGATCAACAAAGATAACATTAATTTACGAACTCCGTGTCTGAACTGAGAAGTCTGTGGTCACTTTGCCCACGGTGACGGCCGGTAGGCGGCACACGAATCAGTGGTACCGGGTTAGACAGCTGACAGGTGAACAGCACAGAACGGCGGAAACCTGGATGTCTGACTCATGGGGAAGGACAGAGGCCCTCGATTTGGAGAGAGAACAAACCCCAGCACAAGGCAGTGAGCCTGTAAGGGATGAAGACACCATCTCCAGACCCTGGGAACGTGGCTTCCCTGGGAACGTGGCATGTTGGGGCGACAGGAGAACACCGGCTCTGAGCAGCTTCTCCCAACAAGTCACAGGGAGCGGGAAAGGCCCAGGGGACCTGGAATGAATGGCAAATCCCAGTCTGAGTCATAGAAAGGGAGAAACGGTCGATTCTAGAAAGGAATATTTATTATTTTGATGCTCACAGCACACAGCGTCTGGGAAAGTATTTAGAAGGCCCTGGCGTGGTGGCCAGAAGCTGCACAGCTCCCAGGAGCCGTCACAGGTGGCAGCAAGCGCTTCCCGATGGCCACATGGACCAAGGCCAACTCTCCAGCCCCACAGAGACACGACCCCCAGCACTCTGGTCCTTCAGACCCTTCTTTTCAGAATCAACTGACAGGCCAGGCCCTCGAGAAGTGAGTTTACCAGAAGGTGGGGACTGATCAGCTACCCTATGCAGACGGGAACTGAAATGAAAGCACTGGAAGACAGGCCTGAGGAGATGCTGCCCTGGACCCAGAGACATGGTTCCCAGGCCCTGGGCTCTCCTGGTCTGGTCACCTGCGCCCGCCTGGCACTGACTTCCAACACAGAGCACATGCCCCACGCACGTTTCCTGGACAAGACACTGGAAGGGGGAATCAGGGCCCCTTGTAGAAGAGAGTCCATGAGAGATACCGGCACGGCCCCGGAAGATCTGGACAGGCCTGGGGTAAGAAGCCTGGCCAGGCGCGGGGTGTCAGGGTGCTGAGGGTATGTGAGAGGCACCGAGGGCCCCGGCCAACCGTGCTGCAGGACACACAGAGCAGAGGACTCTGCCCGCCACTGTGCCTGAGATAAACCAATAAGCACCATGGCTCCGAAACACCATCCTGTCCCAAGAACACAGTTTCTTCCCCATAAAAAATTTAAAAAGAGACCCATAAAAGTAACTGGATTAGAATACCATACCCAACTAAGCACTCCCCTTGCCCTGTTTTGAATGTAGGCTGAACAGGGAGGGCCAGAAAAAGATGTTCTTATTTCAAGTGAATGCATTCAGCAGCTGTTCCCTACTGCCCTGCTGTGAGCCGCAGACCACACCTCTCTCTGAGGGGGCAAGCTCAGGACCCTGTAGCTGGGCAGACCCATCCAATGAGCTGGAATGTACACGAAGGTCCATCCCTGCCAGGAGAGAAAAGGGCTCCATGGCAGACATCCACGCAGCTCACAGCGGCCTTATAAAAAGAAGAGCACGTTGTGAGGGCGAGTGGCCATTCCCACAACCTTAAAACCGGATTTAGCTATAAACCTTATCTTTCCTAACAGTAAATGCCACGGAAGTGCATATGCTGGAGAGAGGTGAGCAATTTGGAAGGAAAAGGATGAGAAGGCAGATGAAGAATTATAGATTTTGGAAGTCACACAATGGCTCACAAAGTAAACTCAGCCCCGGGGAACATCACAGAATCTGATCAACACTGAGAACAGCACGAGGCTTGAAAGGAGGCTGCAAGTAGACCTGACGCCGCAAATCAAGACACATCCCAGAAAGTCTAACTCTAGAGCACAATCTTAAAACCCATCTTCTCCGCCAGAAGCTAATATAAAAGCATGAGCCTGTGGCATGAGCTCAGCGTTTAGTAGCAATAACTCTCCTCTCTGTCATTTGGTATTAACTGGAATTTAACAGAAACAGCTAGAAGATCCCTTAAAGGAAATTTCCATACATCAATCTTGCTGGAGCCAAGATGTTGCAGACAGCGTGTCCAGCGAGGGCACCCGTCGTCCTGGTGGGCCAGGTGAGCCTGTGGAGATCTGGAAGGGGCCCCCTTGTTCCCTGGGGGTCCTACAGGGACAGCGGCCATGAGACCGCATAGCTGAGATTGAAAACAATATCATTTCCAAATCTGAGAATGGAAACAAGGTTACTCCATCTAGAAAAGATTCAGATGTTCAACAAGTTTATATCTGAGATTCCTAAATCCACTTCCCAGTTTTCCTATATCTAAGAATACATTTAACTTGAAATATTAAAGAAGAAACATTTAAAGAGGGAGGTGTATAATTTGTCTTATAATTATCAATGACGAGAACACTGACCAATATAAATATTAATATTTTATATTTTAATATTTTCAGCCATCCCTTTTTAAAAACAAATTCTCAGTGTTAACGCAGGACCCTGGCAGCTCCCATGGGCCTCCCATCGACAGGTGCACCTGCTTCTGAAACAGAGAACACTCAGCATTGTGCAACGGCAAAAGGTTTACTGAAAGTGCACCGGTGACTGTCATCCTTGAATCCTATGCTTGTAGCTCCTCACTCCCAGTCATTTGAGCGGAAGTGAATTAAAATATCGTATCATGTGGAAGTAGCTTGATAATCCAAGTCTCTCCCAAAACCACTGCAGAGATTGGCCTTATATATTTTTCTGGCCAAAAGATGTCCCAGAATAGTGAGGTTTCTAAAATTTTCTAGTTGACTCACAATAGTTGTACTTATTCATGGGGCACAGTGAGATGTTCCAATCCACAGAGACTTTGTGCAATGGACAAATTAGGGTGTGTAGTGTTTCCATCATCTCCTACTTTCATCGTTTCTTTACGTTGAGAACATTCCAAATCTTTTCTTCTATTTTGGGACATACCGTACGATATTCTCACCTGTAGTCACCCTTCTGCACAGCAGCACACAAGAGCTTCTTCCCCTACCCAAGTCCCTGCACCTGCTAACTCATTTCCTGCATCCCTGTCCTCCCACCTCCCCTAGTCCCCAGTAACCATCACTCTACGCTCTGCTCCTGTGAGATCTGCTGAGATTCTGCACGAGTGGGATTATGCGGTGTTTGCCTTTCTCTGCCTGGCTCACTTTACTTAGCAAAGCGTCCTCTGGGTTTATCCACGTTGCCGCAAATGACAGGATTTCATCCTTTTGATGGCTGAGTCATATCCACTGTGTACCATATTTTCTTTATCCATTCACCTGTTGATGGACACACAGGCTGATTCCGTTTCTGGGCTGTGGGGAAGGGTGCCGCAATGGACCTGGGGGCCGA
The DNA here is from genome assembly GCF_000001405.40 of Homo sapiens. Classification (NCBI taxonomy): domain Eukaryota; kingdom Metazoa; phylum Chordata; class Mammalia; order Primates; family Hominidae; genus Homo; species Homo sapiens. Next base: position 863,896 of record NC_000008.11, on the reverse strand, counting down.
TTCTCTTCCACACACCAACCTCATTTCCTTGGGGTTGTAGCCAGTAGTGGGATTGCTGGATCACAGCATTTTGAGAAACCTCCACACTGTTTTCCATAGCGGCTGTACTAATTTACATTTCCATCAACAGCGTGTAAGAGTTCCCCTCCCTCCACATCCGCACTGGCATCTGCTGTCTTTGTCTTTTTGGTGAAAGCCAGTCGAACAGGGGCCAGGGGACAGCTCGTTGTGGTTTTGATTTGTATCTCCCCGATGATCCGCGGTGCTGAGGATTCTATCAAACTGGAGCTTCTGCACAGCAAAGGAAACAATCAACAGAGTGAAGAGAAAACCCACAGATGGGAGAAAATACTAGCAAAGCATGCATCTGACAGCGGTTAATATCCAGCATCCTGAAATTTTAATTCCAAGTGGTGTGCGCACCAGTGGAATGCCGAAACACAACAAGGTGCTGTATCTGTTTACACAGAAATGAGAATGGAGAAATTATTCTTCACAGTGAGTCTAAGGACAGCTAACCTTAAATATTTGGGATGTCATCAATATTTGTTGTGTGATGCAATCTAGCACTCCATCAATGACTTGAGGGTTTACTTACAAGGAAATCCATGTCATTGGTATCAAAGCACATCCTTAAATAACCCTGGTGCAGAGCATGTCCAGACCCCAATTTCCAGTCCAATCCTGCCACTGCCCCTTCCACAAAATAGGCTGGTCCCTTAACCACTGTGTCTCTGAACCTCCTTGGCCGTGAGCAACAGGAATAATACGCACCAAAGAAACCTCACAGGATTCACACCTTCCAACGGAATCGTGCATGCATAGACAATTCACAAATAGCAAAGTACAAGATTTCACAGCATGTCCCTGAAATCCATTTCACTGCCATATTCATATCTGTATTTCTGGAGAGAGACACAAACTGACTCAGATATTCAAATAACCCATATCCTCTGTGGCAGTGGAAAAGTACTATGATTTATTTTCCTGATTTTGTGGATCAATTATGTATGTTAATAAGTAAAATATAAAACAACATCATGATCAGAGACCTCCCACAGTCCCATGTCAGCAGTGCATCCTCAGTCAACACCAGACTTTGGGGCCCTGGGGAAGCCATTTGAAAGCTGAGGCTTCAAGTTCAACCACGTCCAACTGGACTCAAAACACCTGAGGTTCCAAGTAACGGTGGACAAGATCTGTTCTCACTTGCTGATTTCACAGGTGAGAAAACTGAGGCTATGGTGGAGTCAAGAGGTTTTCCCAGGATCACACAGTTATTTCCAGGAATAAAACTGGAGTCTGGCCAGGCGAGGCAGCTCACCCCTATAATCCCAGCACTTTGGGAGGCCAGATCACGAGGTCAGGAGATCGAGACCAGCCTAGCCAACATGGCAAAATCCCGTCTCTAGTAAATATACAAAAAATTAGCCAGGCGAGGTGGTGGGTGCCTGTAGTCTCAGCTACTCGGGAGGCTGAGGCAGGAGAATGGCATGAACCCGGAAGGCGGAGGCCGCAGTGAGCTGAGATTATGCCACTGCACTCCAGCCTGGGCGACAGAGTGAGACTACGTCTCAAGAAAAAAAAAAAAAAAAAACTGGAGTCCAATCCTCCTGACTGTCCAGGACTCGCTCCAAGACACCTGAGAAAAGGGTACCGTCCACCACAGGACACGTGGGAATCTGGGTGCGACTCAGCCCGTGGATTATTTTTGTTCTGGACGAGGCCCGGAGCCTTCTCCTGGCCATGACACGGTGCTCACTCCACAAAAGAGACCCCACCATAAACTCATGAAACCAAGAAATGACTGTTTCTACAAACGGTTCAGGAGAATTACAGAAAACTGTGTTAGAAACACTGATGCAGAAGGTTGGAATTTCTTTCAAAAGAAATTTAGTCTAAACAGTTGGTGGGATGAGAATTTATGCATAAGTGCCTTTTAAAATAATTTCCTAATGAATTCAGAGGACAATTTGCATTTACTTATACTGAGCCCTACAATATTACCTAATGGATAAAACAACATGTGAATCATCAACAAAGAATAAAGCCTTGGCAAAAACAGCAGAACACCCACCAGCAAACACATTTCCACCGGGAGGTTAGGTGTGTCCTGCCTGCAAAATGGGACAAGCTGCGCGTCAACGCTGCTGTCCCTTGAGTAGGAACGGAGGCCTCGCCAGGTTTGCAACCGCCATAGCTAACACTGTGAAATATGTTTCTCGTCATTTCCTGAATTATTCCTGGGTTGTTTGGAATTCCATATTTGATTTCACATTAAAGGTAAAAACTTTTCAAAAGCGCTGTTAAAATAAAAGCGGATAAACTACCTGACTGTTTATTAATTTATTCTATCATTCGACAAGACCCTACTAAGCAGTAAGAAATACGACAGGAGCTACGGATCCATGAAATGTTTGGTCTCTTGGTTTCTGTTAAATGGCCAGAGCAGATTCCGTGCTAGGGGCTTCAAACTTCTTCTACTGCGAGCATGAGGAGAAGTACAGTCATCCCCGGTATGTGTGAGGAGGGGTTCCAGGACCCCGTGCAGACACCAAACTCCACAAATGCTCAAGTCCCTTATATAAAAAGGGGCAGTGTCTGTACCTAACCTACGCAGCTCCCAGATACGCAGCTCCTAGCTCCCGTGATAGCTAGGACATTGTAAATGCTATGTCAATAGTTGTTATACTGTATCGTGTAGGGAACAATGTCCAAAAGAAGTCTGTGCATGTTCAGAACACACACAATCATTCATTTTCCCAGATTGAGCCCTGCACCACCCGGTCCCGGCTGCCTCCCACCTCACTGCCCCACTCCCTCTCCTCATGTCCCCTCCGCTCCCGCTGTTCTCTGGCCACTTATAAACACATCAACCTCAGGGCCTTTGCACGTGTGGCCCCCATGTATGGAATATTTGTCCAGCAGGGGACAGGCACGGCTCTCACCTTCAGGTCACGAGCAGCCTTCCTACCCAAGAGAATGCCCATTGCTCCTCCACCCTAGTCCTACTTTACCATTTCTTCATAGGCGTCATGATTTGGTATGATATTACGGCATGATTTGTCTGCTTCTTCTCCGTCTTTCTCACTGACTCCCCGCCACACAGGGTGCACACGCTACCTGCCGTGTCTCCATCACCAAGAAGCATGCCTGCCACACGCACACGATTATGTTTTTGTGGAACAAATGAAAAAGTGAATGAAAGGACATTTATCATCTTTACATTTTTTGCCAATAAATAAAAGTTGAAAATGGTTTAAGTCCAGGATGACAGGTTAGGGATTGGAAAAGGAAGACTCTGTCAGTCCCCACAGTAACCACTGAGTCACTGCCATGAGTGTTATGCAAATGCAGACGGTTTGCCGGGAGGCGTCCACCCTTCCCATTCTCTACGGCCCCAGCGAAGTCATTTGGTCCAGGACAATGAAATTCATTCCATTGGGACAGAAAAGCCAAGGCGATGGATAATGGAGAGCCTTGAAAGTGTTTCTGGAGCCCAGGGCTGTTTTCATTTCTCAGCCGCAGCAAACAGGTCAGAAGCTCTGCTATTCGCTGGTGTCAGCAGAGCTGGCAGCGGCAGCCAGTGGTTGGTCACAAAAGAGATTTTTCTGCAAAACCCGGGGTGTCATCCCAAAACCCCATTCTAATTTCTAAGCTGTGGGTTTGAAAATTTACATAACGAAGGCCACCTGAAAGGCCGTCTGTAAGGCTACCACAAGAAGTACGGAAAGCTCCTGGAGCCATGACAGCATCTACAGCAAAAACCAAAAAGGCCAAAAATCAGAAATATTTATCCTTCTTATTTCTTTAATTTGGAAACAACAATCTAAACCTAAAACCAAATTTAGTATTTAAAGAAATCATCTTAATTAGCAGTAACTTTAATCTACTTTTTACCACCATTAACACTAATAAGCTCCAAAAACAAACAAACAAACAACAGCAACAGCAACACCTCAATACTGGAAATGTTACGGGAAGCCCACATAAGCCCATGTGTCTCATGTGTGCGTTTATAAACCCAGCCACGTCTTCCGTCTTCCATCTCGGCTGCCTGTGAGGTGGCCCCTACACCGCACCTCACTCTAATTAGGGTTGCCAGTTAACCCCTTCACTCCTGCTACTTGAATAACCAAGGCCCTGGAGAAAAATCACCTGCCAGAGTGAATGCAGCAAATCCAGAATTCTAACAACTTCTCGTTCTGCTTTGTTGACCTGGCTCCTCACCGAAGGCAGCCAGAGGCCTGGTGCTGAGACAGCTGACTTCATCCCCAGACTCTAACGTCCAGCTAGCCAGCCTCCCCCAGCAGGTTTGGGCAGGGGGCGATGGGCCATTCAGTCCCTGTGTTGTAGAAATAAACTAAGCCACAGAGTTAGAAGAATGGAGATCAGCTCACACGTGCCGCTAACCAGCTCTCAGGCAAGGCACCCTCTCTTCCCTAAACTCCAGTCACCTAAACTCCAATTAGAAGACTAAGACAGGGCCAGGTGTGCTGGCTCACACCTGTAATCCCAGCCCTTTGGGAGGCCAAGGCAGATGGATCAGCTGCGGTCAGGAGTTTCAGACCAGCCTGGCCAACATGGTGAAACCCTGCCTATATTAAAAGCACAAAAATTAGCCAGGCTTCGTGGCGTGCGCCTGTGATCCCAGCTACTTGGGAGGCTGAGGCAGGAGAATCACTTGAACCCAGGAGGTGGAGGTTGCAGTGAGCTGAGATTGCGCCACTGCACTCCAGCCTGGGCAATAGAGCGAGACTCCATCTCAAAAAAAAAAAAAAAGAAGACTAAGGTGGGGCTGGTCTATGTCTCAGGTTTTTAGTGACAATAAAATAAGAATGTCGATGTATTTTTTAATTAAAATACTATTTTTTATAGGCTTACAGAAAAGTTGAGCACAAAGTTCACAGAGTTCACATATAACCCCTCCTCCCCACCCCAGTTTCCCCACCATTAACAGCTTATGTTAGTGTGAAACATTTGCTGTAAGGAGCGAATATTGATAATTATTAAGTCCACTGATTACACGAGGGCTACTCTTGGTGTTGTCCATTCTGTGGGTTTGGAGAAATGCACGGTGGCATGTGGCCACAATGACAGCATCTCATATATGCCCACGGTGACAGCATCACACATGTGCCCACGGTGACAGCATCATACATGTGCCCACGGTGAGAGCATCACACATGTCCCTACAATGACAGCATCACACATGTCCCCACAGAGACAGCATCTCACGTGCCCACGGTGACAGCATCACACACGTGCCCACGGTGACAGCATCACACACGTGCCCACGGTGACAGCGTCACACATGTCCCCACGGTGACAGCATCACACATGTGCCCACGGTGACAGCATTACACGTGCCCACGGTGACAGCACCACACATGTGCCCACGATGACAGCATCACACAGAGGCGCTTCCCTGTCATAAAATTCCTCTGGGCTCCGCCCATTCACCCCTCCCTCCCCACAGCCCATGGCAGCCACTGAACCTTTCCTGTCTGCACAGTTCTGTCTTTTCCAGAATGCCATGCAGTCGGAATCCTACATTGCGTAGCCTTTTGCGACAGGCTTCTTTCACGTAGTCACGTGCATTTACGGTTGCTCCACGTCCTTTCACAGCCTGGTAGATCATTCCTTCTCAGCACTTCTTGTCCAGATAGGCCAGTTTGGTTATTCATTCATCTTTTAAAGGCACGTTGGTTGTTTCCAAGCTGCTATAAACATTCATGTGCACTGGGCGCGGTGGCTAACGCCTGTAATCCCGACACTCTGGAGGGCCAAGGCGGGTGGATCATCTGAGGTGAGGAGTTCAAGACCAGCCTGGCCAACACGGTGAAACCCTAATACAAAATTAGCCGGGCATGGTGGCGTATGCCTGTAACCCCAGCTACTCAGGAGGCTGGGCCCAAGAATCACTTGAATCCAGGAGACAGAGGCTGCAGTGAGCCGAGATCACACCACTGCACTCCAGCCTGGGCAACAAGAGCGAGGCTCCGTCTCAAAAAAAAAAAAAAATCATGTGCAAGTTTTTGTGTGAACAGAAGTTTTCAAGTATCTGGGTGAACACCTAGGAGCCTGACTGCTAGACGGCATGGCAAATGTGCACTGTTGTAAGGAACCACCTAGCGGTCTTCAGTGTGGCTGCACCATTTTGCACTCCCCACAGTGAGGATGAGAGTTCCCGTTGCTCCACATCCTCACCAGCACTTGATGGTGTTGCCAGTGTCTGGATCTTGGCCATTCCAGCAGGGGTGTGGCACTGTCTCCTTGCTGTTTTATTTTTCATTTCCCTGATGACACATGACATGGAGTATCTTTTCAGTGGCTTGTCATCTGTGTATCTTTTTGATGGTGTCTGTTAAGATCTTTTACACATTTTAAAAATCAGGTTGTTTTCTCACCATTGAAATTTGAAAATTATTTGTATATTTTGCATGCTCGTCCTCCATCAGGTGTGTGTTTTGCAAATATTTTCTCCCGGTCTGGACTTTGTTGTTCCATCCTCTGAAGAGTGTCTTTGCAGAGCAGAAGCTGTTCATTTTAATGAAGTCCAATTTCAATTTTTCTCATGCATCATGCATTTGGTGTTATATCTAAAAAGTCACCAAATCAAAGCTTACCCAGGGTTCTCCCACATTGTCTCCTAGGACTTTTATAGTTTTGCATTTTGTGTTAATTTTGTAAAGGGTGTAAGGTCTGGTTCTGGGTTCATTTTGTTGCACATGGAGGTCCCATTGCTCCACACCATCTGTTGATAAGAGCATCCTCTCTCCATTGAATGGCCTTTCCTCCTTCATCAAAGATCAGCTGGCTGTATTTACGTGGGTCTGTCTCTGGACCCTCTGTTCTGTTCCATTGATCTATTTGTCTATTTGTTTACCAGTGCCACACTGTCTTGATTACTGTAGCTTTCCAGTAAGTCTTGAGATCAACTGTCAGTTCTGTGACTTTGTTCTCCTTAAATACTGTGTTAACTTGTCTGGGTCTTCTGCCTCTTCATGTAACCTTTAGGATCAATTTGTTGATATCCACAAAATAACATGCTGGGATCCTGATGGGGACTGCGCTGAATGTATAGAACACGTTAAGAAAAATGGATATCTCAACAGCACGGATTTTCCTGTCCAGGGATATGGGGTGCCTCCCCATTACTTAGATCTCCTTTCATTTCTTTCAACAGAGTTTTGTAGTTTTCCTCATATAGATCTTATGCTATTTTGTTCAACTTTTACTTAAGCATTTTACATTTTTTTGGTACTAATGTAAATGGTTCTGTGTTTTCAATCTCAAATTCTACTCATTCACTGCTGGTATAAAATGAAGTAACTGACCTTTGCATATTAACCCTGTATTCTAAAACCCTGCTAAAACTGTTTATTAGTTTCAGAAGATTTTTCCACTGCTGGGTGCCGTGGCTCATGCCTGTAATCCCAGCACTATGGGAGGCCGAGGTGGGCAGATCACCTCAGGTCAGCAGTTTGAGATCAGCCTGACCAACACGGAGAAATCCCATCTCTACCAAAAATACAAAATTAGCCAGGCGTGGTGGTGTGTGCCTGTAATCCCAGCTACTCAAGAGGCTGAGGCAGGAGAATTGCTTGAACCCGGGAGGCGAAGGTTGTAGCGAGCTGAGATTGCACCATTGCACTCTAGTCTGGGCAACAAGAGCGAAACTCCATCTCAAAAAAAAAAAAAAAAAAAAGAAGAAGAAGAAGATTTTTCCACTAATTCTTCTTTGGGATCTTCTACATAAATAATCATGTCATCTGTTGACAAATGCATTTTTATTTATTATATCCCAATATGCATATCTTTTATTTCCTTTTCTTGTCTTATTGCATTAGCTGGGACTTCCAGTATGATCTTGAAAAGGAGGGGTGAGAGGCTACGCTTCCTCATTTCTGATCTCTGCGGGATGCTCCAAATTTCTCATCATTTAGTAAGAACTTAGCTGTTGGGGGGTGGTTAGATTTTCTTTATTGAGTTCAGGAAGTTCTCCCCCATCCCTAGCTCACTGAAAGTTTTTATCATTAATGGGATTGGATTTTTTCAAATGCCTTTTCTGCATCTATGAATATGACCACAGGACTTCTCTTCTTTAGCCTGCTGATGCGATGATTACATCAACTGATTTTTGAATATTGAACCAGCCTTGCATAGCTAGGGTAAAGCTTCAACCTGTTTTGTAGGGCCTCAAAAATCAGTAACCGATGATCCCACTTCCTGCACTTCCATTCTTTCCCCAACCAAATACAACCTGGCTTCACTCTCAGGCACCTGAAGCTTACGTGGGAACTTACAGCACCAGTTTTACAGACCTATCCCCCTCTCACTCCTCCTGATGTGTCTGTGTGACACGTGGTGCTGTTAAACACCCTCCTTCTTGAAATTGTTTTCTCTTGGCACCCTCAATATGCCAGCCTCCTGATTCTCCTGCCTCTCTGGTCACTCCTCTTTAGTCACTCATTCATTCATTCAGCGGACATTCCTGCAGCTCACACTCAGCTTTGGTCCCAGTGTTGAGTGGGGAGCACAGAGAACGCTCCTGACCGTACACACCCGCTGGGAGCACATGAATTAATAGAAAACAGAGGCATTCATGCTGAAAGTGCCCATGGGAATACACGGTTCTGAAAAAAGAGAAAGGAAATGAAAAGCGTAACATAGCTGGAGTCAATGATCCCACATAAATGCCTGCAGGTGTCTTCTCCTAAAAATCTTCGTGCCCACGTTTTCAACTGCCACCCACACGAAGACGCTGCACACAGCAACCCAATCGCACATCCCAGACTCAAGGACCTGCTCCCGCCTCCTCCCCACCACTCGGCAAGCGCCTACCATCACTCCCTCCCGGACCCACTACTGCCGGACCTCTGACTGCCAGACCTCTGTTTTGACCTCTTTCTTTTTTAACCTGCACTTTGCCCAAACCGCTCCTCGGTTGCTGCCAGCACCACCTTTCCACAAAGAAAATCCGGGCATGCCGTTCCTCACTACTGTTTCCTGATACCTGTGGGAGCATTTCCCATGTGGGAAGCTTTTCTCCAGAGCTTCATCGCATCTCAGGGACCTCATCCTGAAGCTCAGTATTTCCAAAACCACATTCCTGCCACTGAGGCAGGCCCTACAACAGCTGAATCCAACCTGCCATTGCAGACTGCAGACAGCCCTGGCCCTCCATGTCCCCTCACCCCTGCATGAAAGCACATATGCACACACATGTGAACACACACAGACACATGCACACACAAAAAGACACGTACATGCATGAACATGCACACACATGCATGCACATACAACATGAACACACAAACATATGCAGACACATGCACACATGAACACACATGTCAGTCCGGCCCTCTCTCACCCACTCTCTCACTCTCACCCACCTCCCCCCTTCTGCTACAGGACAATACAGCAAGGCCCTCACCAGACACAGCCTCCTGGCCTCAGACTGCAGCCTCCAGCCTGTGAGGGTCTCAGGTATTGTGTTATAGCCACACAAATGGACCAAGACAGAGCCCACTCTGTCCTTTTTGCCTCCTGAATAAAAGGATAAGGATACCCACTGAAGGCCCCCACTCAGCAGCTCCTCCTTGCTGGGCCTTGCTCTAAGGTCCCCTACACAAGCCCCACTAACCCCGCAATGCGCTGTCCCCCTCATGGTGGTGAGCCCAAGTCCCCTCTGCTGTGCAGTCCTCCTACAGGGTCTTAGTCTATGTGGCTGCTAGAACAAGGTATCATAGACCGGGTGACATACAAGAAACGGGAATTCATCTCCCACGGTTCTGGAGGCTGGAAGTCCACCAACCAGGCACAGCGGATTCCACTCTCTGCCGAGGGCCTCTTTCCTGGTCCAGAGACAGCGCCTTCTCACTGTGTCCTTGCTAGGTAGGAGGTGCAGGGAGCTCTCTCAGGTCCCTTTTAAAAAGGCACTTATCCCACCTGTGGCGGCCCCACCCTCATGACTTCATGACCTCCCAGTGGTCTCTCCTCCTAACACCATCACATTGGGGGTTAGGGTATGAATCTGGGGGACAAACCTTCAGCCCACCACAGAGAGAATCAACATAAAGAGAAAACTGCCTTGTTTCTGTAATGCCCTGGTTCAGTCCCTAGCAATCAGGGCATGAATACTGAATTCTTATTAAATTAAATGACAAACACATCCTCCAGTGATTTAAAGTAGTTAAGCCTGTGCACGGGGCGGTGTGGCTGCAGGCCTGAGACTGCTCCCTAGAACGGCTGCTTGCGAGGCTGGCCCTGGGCTATATCTGAGAACTTGGATGTCGTGGGGGGTCCCACCATTCCCTAACTGATGAGGGGTGAGTCTGGCCCTGGGCTTCATCTGAGAACTTGGATGTCGTGGGGGATCCCCATCATTCCCTAACTGATGAGGGGCATCCTGTACCTAAGCCATCTGTGCAGATGATGTTTATACCACACACCTGCTCTCCTGCTGGCAGGGCTGTCTATCTGAGCAGACCCCAGCACAACCCTGGGCACCGTGTCTCTCACAAGCTTCCTGTTGGACGACATGCGTGGTCACAGCTTGATACTGGCAGAACCAAGCCCCTCCTGGGACTCTGTGGGGAACAGCTCTGGAAGCTTCCATCTCGTTTCCCTGGACCTCCCTCCTCCACCTTCTCCCTCTGATGACCATGCTCCGCGTCCTTTCTCTGTAACAACTCACAGCTGTCCTGCAGCTGTGCCGAGCCCTGGGAGTGCTCCCAGTGAATCACGGAACTGTGGGTACTCTTGGGGACCCCAACACACACCTAAGTGCAATGTTAGACTCATACTCTAGCACCCAGCTATTATAAACTAAGCACTGAATTTCCTCTTTTGCTCCTAAAGTATCTGTAACTATTTAATGTGTCACTACAAAGCCCACTGCCCCAAAGCAGCCAGTCTGACCCATCTGCGAAGATCCAGCGTCATGCTGCACATAAGAACAGCCAGTTTTACCAAAATCTGTTGCAGAAATAACGGAATCGGCCAGGGGATCCATAAACAAAAACAGCACAAAGGTAAATGAGGTCCTTTTGTGAAGCAACAGTAATTCTACATCAAGGACGTTGTCATTCAGAATGAAACTGTGCTACTTAGATTTCCCAAGGAAACACTCGCCCGAGAATGCACTCAGCCTTGCTGGGTTTGGGTGGATATTTTACCCTTTACAGAAACGTTGAAGTAGCCAAGGTGTTAGCATGACATCTGCGAACATAATCAGTACAAATCCCGTCTACTGGGAACATAACACTCTGTCCGCAATTTATACAAAAGCCCACGAGGCTGAGAGATGTTGATTTGCTCATTTACCACAATCAGACAATCGATTAAGCTGGCAAGAGAAAGAGGAAAATGACCCACAGAATCTTGAGTAAAATCAAGCTAATAATTCATTACAATTTACAGCTGATGAGCAGATAAAAGACGGACAAAAGAATCATGATGGTTTCATTGGATTTGCCATTAGTGTTCTTTCTTCCATCTGGAAAACTGAAGATCACGTGTGAAAAGCCAATCTCAGATTTCAAACAGGAGGCTACTGTGGTTTCATGACAGCTCAGTGGAGACAGGAGGCAGAGCCCCAGGCCTGTGGCCTCCAGATCCACGTGCAGGGAGAGGGGACACGGAAGTCTGTGTCATCCACCAAGACAGAGAAAGGTGAGAGAGACAGATTTCCTATCCCTCAGAGCAATTCTTTAAACTGTTTTTGACATGTTTTTTTTTTAGCTTCCAATGTGTCCCTTCTCAAAATCTCTGCACACACATAAGAGGAAATCAAAATTTACACCAAAGCCAATTCTCACAGCTGGCAGGAGGCTGCATGCCTTTGTTGTCCACAGGGCAGGTGGGAGCTTGGGTTTAGGGGCTGAGTCCCAGGACCGCCGCCCACTAGCTGAGTGCCCTGACCAAGTCACTGCACCTTCCCAAGACCAGTGTCCTCGCTAATAAGAGAGGAGTAATAATAAAGACAGCTCCAGGTATTAGTGAAGGTGAGAGGGAAACGCAGCGGGGGCCCCCTGCAGCTCCCGCCACCCAGCAGTCACGGAACAGTCACTGCTTCCCAGCTCCGAGTGTGGTTCCTGGCATCTAGCAGGCTGCGGGGCACGTGGCGTGGTCTCCGTGAATCGTGTTAAATGAGGGAGGAAATCTATGCCCCTATCCATAGCCACAAATCACACAAAACTGCATGCTTTCTGGCACTTGATCTGAGCAATTCGGCAGCTGGATAAATAAATGTGACAAGTTTTTTGAACAGAGGCTGAACTGACTAGTCCACAAATCCCAGGAACTAATCTCAGAACGGTGTTTGTAAATGTACACAATAAAATACACAAAAAATTATACTGAAATGATCAAATAGTCTTCATCATAATATACTAACATAGGTGCTTCCTATTAACACATTATTTTAAATTACCTAGTAGCAGGGAAATAGCAGCACCCATTCCAAAGCAGCGATGAGCTTACATGTCGCTCACAGGTAACACAACACTGACGTGATAAGAAAACACAGTCAGTCATACGTCGCTTAGCAATGGGGCTACGTCCTGAGACATGCGTCACCAGGCGACTTTGTCAGGGTGCGAACATCAGACTGTACTCACACACACCTGGATGGTGCGTTCTACCACACCCCTGGGTTGAATGGCACAGCCCACAGCTCCCGGGCTGCACACCTGCACAGTGTGTGACTATACTGAACACCAAAGACAACTGTAACACATGGCACTTGTGCATCTACATACAGAAAAGTCTTCTCTCAACAGCAAACACCTATGGCACAAACAAACAGAAAAATCATATGTTAAAAACATGTTGTTTTGATACAGAGAACTCCATCTGGACAGTGCATCTTTCATCTTTTGCTGCGTCTCTACTTGTTCATCACATAGCTCTGTACATGGCCTCTTTGCAGCATTTTCTAAGGTGTGAATCTTGGCTATTTCAAAAGTGAAAACAGAGAGAGTGAAAGACAATATTTTGTGAGAAAAATTTGTTACCAAACTTTACTAACTTACCTCTGAATTCTTTAAAGTGAAAAAAAAAATTTTAACTATTATTTTAGGAAAATTGAGACAATCACAGTGCATTACAACACTGTGGCATACTTTCAGGATTAGCCTAATAGTAGCCAGATAGTTTCGCAACATTTAAAATTTCATGCTATTATAAAATAATTCTAAAATACATAAAGGCCAATAATGCATATATTGCTTTCTGGGGTCTAATTTTCTTCTAGGTAAAATAAAGCATGCCAACATTTAATTGGGCTATTCAAGCAACAGCCTCATTTCATACACACAGACACACAAATATACATAAACATAGATACATACTCTGACAAATTGTGAAAAGAAGTGTTTCCCTATTCCAAAATATTCTTATTAAGAATTAATTTAAAGCTTTCTGTGAAACAATAAAAACACTTAAAAGCAAATTTGATGATTTTTTTTCTTAAAATACATTGTAAATTGGAAATAAAATTTCTGCACAAAGTGCAGAAATCTTTCAAGAGGCAGCGTAACTTTTAACTTGTAGCAACAGGTGGAAGGTTCAAAAAATTGCTTTGAGATAAACTCCAAAAGCACAATGCATTTAAAAATGTGATAAACTGGACATTATGAAAATTAAAATATTCTATTATTCAAAACACTGTTTTGACACACTGTTAAGAAAATGAAAAGACAACGCAAAGGTGGGGGAGATATATCTGCAAATGTCACATCTGACAGGGGACTCAGACCCAGAATACAGAGGGAAGTCTCAAAACCAAACATTAAAATACAAACAACCTAGTTTTTTTTTTTTTTTTTTTAGACAGTCTCCTTCTGTTGCCCAGGCTGGAGTGCGTGGCACAATCTCAGCTCACTGCAACCTCTGCCTCCCAGGTTCAAGCAATTCTCCTGCCTCAGCCTCCCAAGTAGCTGGAATTACAGGCCCACAGCACCAGGCCCAGCTAATGTTTGTATTTTTAGTAGAGATGGGGTTTCACCATGTTGGCCAGGCTGGTTTGGAACTCCTGGCCCACCTTGGCCTCCCAAAGTGCTGGGATTTCAGGTGTGAGCCACCGTGCCCGGGCAACCTAGCTTTTTTAAGTGAGAAAAAGATTTGAACAGACATTTCATGGAAGAGTAAAGATGGAAAGCAGGCACATGATAAAAGTTCCTATGTCATCAGTTATCAGGGGAAATGCAGTAAAACCTTGAAAGAGATACAACTCTCCACTATTAGGACGGCTGGGAGACCATTAGCCCAGGCTACAGGGGTCCTGGAAGGATGTTGCACCGCTGGAACCTTCGGGCAAGGCTGGTAGAAACCCAAAAGGGCAGTCAGTTTGGAAAGCAGCTTGGCAGCTTCTCATAAAGTTAAACATACACTACCATTGACACAGCCACTCCCATCCCAGGCATCGAACTAAATGCCCAAGTGAAATATGAACCCAATTTCCACAAAAACTCCTGCGCTCAGTATTTACAGTAGTTCATTCATCACTGCCAGAACCTGGAAACAGCTCCAGTGCTTTCAGCAAATGAATCCATAGAAACACCGGCTCGTTCCTGTACTGGAACATGGGCACGTTCCTATACTGGAACAGACTCTGTGTGATCCTATGCTGCAACGTGCACCACGCGATCCTATGCTGGAACACACACCACGTGTTCCTATACTGGAACATGCACCACAAGATCCTAGACTGGAACAAACCCTGGCATGTTCCTATACTGGAACACACATCACATGATCCTATACCAGAACAGACACTGCACATTCCTATACTGGAACATGCACCACAAGATTCTATACTGGAACAGACACGGCACATCCTATACTGGAACAGGCACCGCACATTCCTATACTGGAACAGGCACCTCACGATCCTATGCTGGAACAGGCACCTCACGATCCTATGCTGGAACAGGCACCGCGCGTTCCTATGCTGGAACAGGCACCGCGCGTTCCTATGCTGGAACAGGCACCGCGCGTTCCTATGCTGGAACAGACACCGCGCGATCCTATGCTGGAACACACATCACAAGATCCTAGACTGGAACAAACCCTGGCACGTTCCTACACTGGAACACGCACCGCACGACCCTACACTGGAACACGCACCGCACGACCCTACACTGGAACACGCACCGCACGACCCTACACTGGAACACGCACCGCACGACCCTACACTGGAACACGCACCGCACGACCCTACACTGGAACACGCACCGCACGACCCTACACTGGAACACGCACCGCACGACCCTACACTGGAACACGCACCGCACGACCCTACACTGGAACACGCACCGCACGACCCTACACTGGAACACGCACCGCACGACCCTACACTGGAACACGCACCGCACGACCCTACACTGGAACACGCACCGCACGACCCTACACTGGAACACGCACCGCACGACCCTACACTGGAACACGCACCGCACGACCCTACACTGGAACAGGCACCGCACGACCCTACACTGGAACACGCACCGCACGACCCTACACTGGAACAGGCACCGCACGTTCCTATACTGGAACACGCACCGCACGATCCTATACTGGAACAGGCACCGCACGTTTCTATATTGGAACACACACCACACGATCCTATACTGGAATACTACTCAGCAATTTATAAAAATCAACTATTGATTCATATAGCAATATAGATAAGTCTATAATACATCGTGCGAACTGGAAGAAGCCAGTGTCTCAAGGTTGCCTCTGGTAAACTCCATCTATGTCACATTTTGGAAAAGGAAACACGACAGACAGAGAACAGGCAGGCAGGTGCCTGTGGCTGGGAGCAGGGCAACAGGAAACACAGAACTGAAGAGTAACAGGCCCACACTTGCAGGTGCCACTAAACAAGATCTTAGCAGAAGTGTTTACCCCTTTAATATTCACATTAAGTCTAAATCAAAGTATAAACAAACACGCAAGCAAGCATCCAAGCTAAAAGTCAAAATAAGAACCACCGAACAGAAGAAAGTAAAGGGGAAAAAAATAATAAAGACAGGAGCAGAAATTCATAGAAATTAAATAGGAAAAAGTCCACAGTCAAAGGCCAGGCGCAGTGACTCAAGCCTGTGTAATGCCAGCACTTTGGGAGGCCGAGGTAGGCGGATCACTTGAGGCTAAGACTTTGAGACCAGCCTGGCCAACATGGTGAAACCCTGTCTCTACTAAAATTACAAAAATTAGCCAGGTGTGGTTGCGTGCGCCTATAGTCCCAGCTACTCTGGAGGCTGAGGTGGGAGAACTGCTGGAACTCAGGAGGCAGGGCTGCAGTGAGCTGAGATCATTCCACTTGCACTCCAGCCTGGGTGACAGAGCGAGACCTTGTCTCAAAAAGAAAAAAAAAGAAAAGAAAAAAGTACACAATCAAGATAATCCAATCAAAAAGATCATTTTAAAATTCTGGTCAGAGTTACATGAAAAAGAAGGGAAAAAAAGTGTAAAATATATCTCAATTACACTGATATTAAAACTTTTTAATTTTAGTCAAAAATTAAAAATAAAACACTAATAGCCGGTATCAATGAAAAGGGAAACATAAGTAAAAACAGTGCAAAGATTAAATAGATCAAAAGAAACACTGTGAACTTTGGCCAGTATATCTGAAAACTAAGATAATATGGAAAAGTTCAGAAAAAACAACATTTTCCTGAATTGTGTCAAGAAGCAGCAGAAAACCTGAATATTCCTATAACCATAACAGTTATTGAATCAGTGGTTTAAAATCTTTCCACAAAGAAAACACCCAGGCCCATGTGTTTTTAATGGCAAGTTCAGCCAAATATGTAAGGTAAAAGAATTCCAACTGTACAAAAACTATTCCACAGTAATCAAAAGCACCATTTTACAACTCATTTTATAAGGATATATAAGCTTAGTAGTAAACCCTAACAAGAAAAACAGGAGAAGCAAGAATTACAGGCTAGTATCATGTCTGAAGATGGATAGAATAACCCTAAACAAAACAAGAGCAAGCCAGACATGGATGTGCTCAACATCACTCATCACTGGGAAAATGCAAACCAGAACTACAGTGAGATATCACCTCATCCCAATTAGAATGGCTATTACCAAAAAGACAAACATGTCAGGAAGGATGTGGAGGAAAGAAAACACTAGTGCTGCTGGTGGGAATGGAAAACAGTATCAAGGTTCCTAAAAAAAATTAAAAATACAACTACCATATGATCCAGCAATCCTGCTACTGGGTATTATCAAAAGGAAATAAAGTTAGTGTCAAAGAGATCTCTGCACTATCATGTTCACTGCAGCACTATTCATCATATCCAAGATATGGGACCAACCCAACTGTCACACGCCAAAAGATGAATGGATAAAGAAAATATTGTACTTATAGACAGTGGAATACTATTCAGCCATAAAAGTGGAATCCTTTCACTTTGGGCAACATGGATGAATATAAAGGACATATGTTAAGTGAAGAGAGCCAGGCACAGAAAGGCCAACACCACATGATCTCACTCACGTGCAGAATCTCAGAAAGCCAATCTCACAGAAGTAGAGAGTAGAATTGTGGTTACCAGAGGTTGGGTAAGAGTGTGGGAGGAGGAGATGGCAAAAGGAAGGTCAATAGCACAAAGCTACAGTTAGATAGGAAGACTAAGTTCTGGTGGTCTGTTGCACAGTGGAATGACTGGAGTTAACAATAATGTATTATTTATTTCAAAATAGCTAAAACAGAGGTTTTTGAATGTACTCATCACAAAGAAATGGTCAATGTTTGAGGTAATAGATGTGCTAACTGCCCTTATTTACCCATTATGCAATTTATACATGTATTAAAACATCACATTGTACTCCGTAAGTGTGTATAAGTATTATTTTCAAACACAAATAACAAACGTTTACGAAGAAACTCATACGTCTCTGGACAATTGATTTTTGACAAGGGTGCCAAGACAATTCAATTATGAAAGAACAGTCTTTTCCACAGATGGTACCAGGAAAGCTGGACAGCCAAATGCCAAAGAAAGAAGTTGGATCCCTTCCTCACACCATATGCAAACATCAATGCAAAATGGATCAAAGACCTAAATGTAACAGCAAAAGGTATATAAAACTCTTAAAAGAAAACAGCATAAATCTTCATGACCTTGATTAGGCAATGGTATCTTAAATACAACATCAAAAGCACAAGCAGCAAAAAAAGAAATAAACTGGATATCATCAAAATTTAAAACATCTATGCTTCAAAGAACACCATCAAGAAAAGTGAAGGTGAAAACACACCCTATAGAATGGGAAGAAATTATTTGCAGGTCATACGTCTGATAAGGACTTGTATCTAGAATACATAAATCCTCACTATCCAATAATAGACAAATAACCTAGTTTAAAATGGGCAAAGGATCTTAATAGATATTTCTCCCAAAGGAGATATACAAACAGCCAACAAGCACATGGAAAGATGTTCAACATCATTAGCCATTGGAGAAATGCAAATCATAACCACAACACCATACCCTAAAATACCACAATACCATACCCTTCACACCACTTAGGATGGATAGAATAAAAAAGCCAAATAACAAGTGCTGGTGAGGATCTGATGAAATCAGAACCCTCCTATACGACTGGCAGAAACGTAAACTCATGCTGCAACTTTGGAAAACAGTCTGAAACGTCCTGAAAATGTTCAAACAATTCCACTCCTAGGTATATACCCAAGAGAAATAAAGACATATGTTCACGCAAAAAGTTGTGCACAAATATGCACAGCAGAATTATTCACAACAATCAGTGTACACAACCCAAAAGCTTTCAACTGATGACTGGATAAATAAAATGTGGTATATCTGTACAAATGAATGTCATTCAGCAATAAAAAGAAAATACCTGACATGACATGGACGAACCTTAAAACATTATGCTAAGTGAAAGAAGTCAGTCACAGAAGTCCATATATTGTATGATTCTGTTTACACGAAATGTCCAGAGCATGGTAATCAACCGAGACAGAAGTGGATTTGTGGTGGCCAGGCCTGGCCTGGGGAGGAGGCAGGGGAAGAGAGGATGGCTAAGATAGGTGGGGTTTCTTTGGGAGATGCTAAAGCCATTGAATTGTGTACTTTAAACAGGTCAACTGCACAGTATATGAGTTACAGATAAGTAAATTTGTTAATAAAAGATAACATTTACTGTACAGTTTCATGTATATGAGGTTGAAATACAAGCAAAACTAATCCATGTGGTTTGGAGTCCCCATAGTGGGGATCCTTGATAGGCGAGGAAGGACAGCATGGCTGGGAAGGGGGTCAAGAGAGACCGTAGTCTACCAGTACTACCTTATTGATCCTTGATGGGCGACGAAGGACAGCATGGCTGGAAAGGGGGTCGAGAGAGACTGTAGTCTACCAGTACTTCCTTGTTCATCCTTGATGGGTGAGGAAGGACAGCACGGCTGGAAAGGGGGTCAATCGAGACTGTCGTCTACCAATATTTCTTTGTTGATCTGGCTGCTGAGCAGAAGGCTGTGCTCCCTTCATGAAAACTGAGTGGCTGTGAACTTAACAACTGGCATAACTTTTTGCAGGTATGTTACAGTTCAATAAAAATGTCTTTTTAAAAAAAGTAAATCAATGTATACATGAGCCATCCCTACCATTTTGATTCAGCTTCACTTCCTAATAGAGAAATTACTAATTCCTCACTCTCACAAACACACTTCCTTTCTAACTCATTCACTGCAATGGCAGAGCTGACGAATACTCTTCACTGTGAACCACAAAGTAAACAAAAATATGTTAAACAAATGAAAAAAATTAGTAGAGCACTCCATATCAAAAACATTTTTGGCAACAGGTACTATTAAATGTCAAAAGTCATTTACAAAATAATTTACATCTGACACATTAAAACATACTACCAATGTTTTAAAATATTTAATCCCCTAAGTAATCCATTAAAGTGTGTCTAAAACAAGCCAGATAAACTTCAATGACTTAAACATATGTTTTCCGTACAGTTACTCTTATTGACAACTTAATACCCGTGAAGAAATGTAAAGATATCATGTAGCGAGGACACAGTGACAGAAAGTCTAAGGCTTTCTTTTTAAATCCTCCTTTACAACTACTCTGCGTGAGGAATGTGGTGAATGCAGCGACACAGCTTTCAATCCTCCCAGACCAATCATATCACACATCACATCACACAAAGCAACAAGATAGCAAAACCCAAAAACCATTTACAGCAACCAGGTGACCAGACAGCCCAGGGAGTGCAAAATACGGGGAAGTGCCCCAGGATCTACGTGGCGTCCGTGTCCAAGGACAGAGGGGCAGTGGCTGGTGAGGGACAGGCCAGGCCCGGTGGAACCCCAGGAGAGGCCGTGGTGCCCACTCCACACCATGCACAGTGGCCCAAGCCAGGCCCCAAAGCCGGAAGGGGATTTGCCCACCAGCAGTCAGTGTGCAGAGGGGTCTCCCCGTAAAGACAGCCCCCGTGAACTCCTGATGCTGATCAGCCACACCGCCCTTCCAGGAAAGGCTCTCACCCTGAGATGATAATAGGACTGAGGGAAAAACACGTCAATAAAACCAGGGGCAGGGAACAGAGCCAGGAAATCTCAGAAGTCAAACTGCCACCTTCTTAACTTCACATGAAAACGACAGAAGGGAGAGCTCTAGGAAGTCGGAAAAGCTCTCCCGGATTCTGCTTTCTTCCCAAAGTTCACCTACATTAAGATCACATAAAAATAAGCAACAGAAAGCTATCATCCTGGTCAAATCAATCCAATAAAAATTATTACAGAAAACAAAAAAGCCGAATAACACCCCTGCCTGCACACAACGAAAGCCCGCCAGAGGTACATCCATAAAGTGAGCGAAAGCCCGCCAGAGAGGCACATCCACAAAGTGAGTCAAAACTACCACCGGCTGCTGTAAAACAAGCTGGAAGACACTAAGAAGATTACATAAGGCAGAAAAGAACAATGTAAATCAGAATTAGAAAAACTTAAAGCTGAAGCAACAGAACTCAGGGAAAAACGTTTAGAAATAAATGACAGCTCATTTCAGAAATGAAGAATAAAATAGAGGAAACAAGAATGAATAATCACAAATGATGCATTAAGAAAAATATAAGGTTGAAAAAAGAAGAAAATCCCCAAAAAATGAAGTTGCAAATATTAGACAGGCAAAACAGAAAGAACAGATAATAAGAATCTCTAAAAGTGAAAATCAGAGCAGCAGAAGAGAACAAAATGTTAGAAGCTATAATTCGTAAACGTTCCCTGAAAACTTAAAAGTTTGACTACATATTGAAAGAACGACCATGTACCAGAGAAATTAAATCAGAACGATGACCACCAAGGCACATAATAATACCGTTACTGAGCAATAAAGAGAGTAAAAGTCCTCTGGCGTTGAGACAGAAAGATGAGTTACTTTTAAGGGAAACAGATTCAAGCACGTGCCTGTTCAACAGCATTGTGTTAGGTTAGGGGAATACAGAATAACATCTTTAAGATATGCCAGGAAAGTAAATATAAGCCAATCATTGCATACGCAGCAAACCTGGTCTTCAGGTATAAAGGACACAGAAAAACTGACAGCAACGTACAATCGCTCAAGGAGTATTGTTCCCATGAATATGTTTTGAAGAAAGTTCTAGACAACAAACTCCAGAGAACCACAAGGACTAGAGAGATGGCGACCTAAGGACGAGTAGTTAGGAGTAAACATGTGGCTACTCATAGAACCCTAAGTGATTACCAGAAGGGAAAGAATGCAGAATTTAATGGATCTGCTCTGACAATGCCAATATATTATGGCATTAAAAATGCAGGACACAGGGGAGCATGTGAGAAAGGTACTTGGTGTCTTCCGTAGTCACACTGGTGGCAGTGTCCAAATCGTTATGTTAAGACTGCCAGGCACATGATGTAGGATAGAGGAAATGTTTAATTATGGACTGCTGTAACTCTATTATATCCTGTGCTCTCGAGAATCAGGATACCTAGCATGGAAAACAAGAGACACAAATGTGATATGAAATAGCCATAGTAAAAAGTATTCCAAATTCCTAAGTTCAAATTGGAAGTATCAGTATTAATTCATGTGACGGTTAGTCTTCAAAAACTCACCTGCTGCCGGGTGTGGGGGGCGGCACCTGCGGTCCCAGCTACTCAGAGGCTGAGGCAGGAGAATCGCTTGAGCCCAGGAGTTCAAGGCTGCAGTGACCCAAGATCACACCTGTGAATGGCCACTGCACTCCACCCTGGGCAATATAGCAAGACCTCATCTCAAAAAAAAAATCACATGTATTTCTAGCTCTGCCTTACAAGGGTCTAGAAACAATGACCTTCATGTAGCAACGTACACCCCTAGTAACCGGGTCGTGTTCTTGAAATGCCAGTTTCACTAAACAGCAGAGTTCCTTAGATAACAGATAATTCCAAGTCTGGGACAGAATATGGGCAACATGAACATCTACGAAAGGCTGCCAGGGTTGTGTCCCAAGGACTCAGAGCCAAGTGAAGAGGCCCCCACTGGCCAAAGATGGACAAGTGTGAGCGTCAGGATGAGCGACCATCACAATGCACTGAGATGCCAAACGTGCGCCATGCATGAGTTCATCATAACCGTTTTAATGAATTGGTCCTCTTTGGAGGGTGAGATAAACCAATTCATTCCTTGATAACTTTTAAATTCAGGGGAAGAATCGAGGATTTATCTTGCCTTTTCCATATGAACTGCTCCATTTCATAATGAAATAGATGAAGGGCTGTTGTTTTATAGAAACAAGTTCAATTTATATATGAGAAATAAAAGGTAAAATCAAAATATTACCACTCCCCAACTCCTAGTGAATTAATGGGCCTAGGCTCTCATCAGTCAATACTTTCTGACATCACCAGAGAGTGAGAGCTAGACACAGCGTCCCTGGATGAAAGGGCACAGCCACTGCTGAGTCCTGCCAAACAGAATACACAAGGGGATCCAGTCTCTGGATCCAGCTGCCAAGGCTGAAAACACAGACGAATGCACGATGTGCCCCATGTAGACGTGTTCACAGAATCGAGAGTGTGGGGAGACGTGCAGGCATGTACCGTGTAGACGCGCTCGCAGAATCCAGAGTGTGGGGAAACGTGCAGGCGTGCACCGTGTAAATGCACTCACAGAATCCAGAGTGTAGGGAGACATACAGGTGTGCACCGTGTGGACGCGCTCGCAGAATCCAGAGTGTAGGGAGACATGCAGGCGTGCACCGTGTGGACGCGCTCGCAGAATCCAGAGTGTGGGGAGACGTGCAGGCGTGCACCGTGTGGACGCGCTCGCAGAATCCAGAGTGTGGGGAGACGTGCAGGCGTGCACCGTGTGGACGCGCTCGCAGAATCCAGAGTGTAGGGAGACGTGCAGGCATGTACCGTGTAGACGCGCTCCCAGAATCCAGAGTGTGGGGAAAAGTGCAGGCGTGCACCATGTGGACGCGCTCGCAGAATCCAGAGTGTAGGGAAACGTGCAGGCGTGCACCGTGTAGACGCGCTCGCAGAATCCAAAGTGTGGGGAGACGTGCAGGCGTGCACCGTGTGGACGCGCTCGCAGAATCCAGAGTGTGGGGAGACGTGCAGGCGTGCACCGTGTGGACGCGCTCGCAGAATCCAGAGTGTGGGGAGACGTGCAGGCGTGCACCGTGTGGACGCGCTCGCAGAATCCAGAGTGTGGGGAGACGTGCAGGCGTGCACCGTGTGGACGCGCTCGCAGAATCCAGAGTGTGGGGAGACGTGCAGGCGTGCACCGTGTGGACGCGCTCGCAGAATCCAGAGTGTGGGGAGACGTGCAGGCGTGCACCGTGTGGACGCGCTCGCAGAATCCAGAGTGTGGGGAGACGTGCAGGCGTGCACCGTGTGGACGCGCTCACACAATCCAGAGTGTACGGAGACATGCAGGTGTGCACCGTGTAGATGCGCTTGCAGAACCCAGAGTGTGGGGAGACGTACAGGCCAAACGGCCTGGGGAAAGAGGAGCAGGAGAAGAGGCCGTGGATCAAAAGAGACCTAAAAGGCATCTCAGTGGAGACAGATCTGAAGGCTGAGCTGCAGAGGCAGGGAATGCCCATGTGGGTGATGAAACGGTGAATAAACATGAAGAAGTCATAATCATGAGCATCAGGACAGGGGCACTTAGGGTGGGAGCAAGGGTGCTGACCAGGACGAGGCACACAGAGGGACAGGTGGCACCATCCTGTTTTTCACCGAGGTGGTGATTCATCTCACAACCAAACTTCTGTACCCTTTGGCCAGACTCTTCCCATCCATCCTAAGACCAGGCCTGGGAACCACCATGGTACTCTCTGCTTCTGTGAGCTCAATGTTTTAGATTCCACATATAAGTGAGCACAGGTGGCATTTGTCTTTCTGCGCCTGGCTTATTTCGCTCAGCATAAAGTCCTCCAGATTCCTCCAAATGACAGAAATGTCTTTGTCTTTTTAAAGGCTCAATAGTATTCCATTGTGCATCTATATCAGCACATTTTATCCATTCACCTGTTGTTAGACATCTAGAATGATTCTATATCTTGGCTACTATAAATAATGCTGCAGTGAACATAGGAATGCAGACATCTCAACACACTGAGTGCAATTCCTTTGGATTTGTGCCAAGAAGTGGGACGGCTGGATCACATGGTAGTTCTATTTCTATTTTTTTTAGGAACCTGCATACTGTTTTCATAATTGCTACTCTAATTTACATTCCCACCAACAGAGCACTAGGGTTCCCTTTTCTCCCCCTCCTCACCAACACTTGTTTTCTTTTGGTTTTCAGTAACAGCCATCCTAACAGGTGTGAGGTGATATCCCACTGTGGTCATATGTGGCTTTTCCTGATTTAACAAAATAACAGGTAACCTCACTGATGAGAATTTTGAGCATCTAATCACTGTGATGAACTTCTGCTTACAGATTTGCTAAAGGCAGCACCTCGCCATTTCAGATGCTGTTTGTCATAACCACAGACATGCTCTCGCTCCCCAGGAAGTCACCAGCAGGGGAATCACAGTCCAGCTTTAATTAATTGCCTTTACTTCTTTCTGCCGTCAGCCATGATGTGCAAGCAAGAAGGCTCTTTTTCTCTCATTAAAGAAAGTTCTTCATTACTTGTTCTTTTGAGTCTTAAGGGATCCCTGTTTGCAGTAAAAGAAGTTTAATTGCATTAACATGACAATATAGTCAGGAGTAAAAAAAAAATGTACAAGAGCTTTTCCCTTTTTTTGGTGTCCCTGAGCACTTGTCCAAGCTAGAAAGGGAAATCCACTGGATCTATAATTAATATTTTTTATTTTAAAGCTTATCAAACAATGTATATTATGGATTAATTGAAATTCCTGAAGACCCATATATTATCAATGTACAGTAGTGGTTCACAACCCTGGCTGTACAATGAAATTTTTCAGGGAGCACTAAAAATAAAATTAAAATAAAATAAAATATAATAAAAAAATAAAATACTGATGCCAAGACCACATCCCAGAACAAGTGAATAAGGATTTGTGTGAATGGAGTAGCTGATTTCTCTTAGGTTTTAACCATGAGATTCCTAAACACAATGAAGTCGTTATGCTGAAAGAGGAAAAGGTTCTGACCACTTTTCATTTTAAAAACATTAAGAACTTAAAAGGAACAAAGGGAGGGGAAAGACAAGAAGTACGATGCCAGCATCCCTTAAATTATTGTAAAGTATGTTTAGGACATCATCAGGAGTCTGCATAAATTTAATTCAATTTCCACCATCGTCCACACTACAGGATCCACACAGAGTAGCTAATTTAACATTTGTTTACCAAATATTAATATATATAAATTTCAGGCTGGGCACAGTGGCTCACGCCTGTAACCCCAGCACTTTGGGAGGCCAAGGCAGGCAGATCACTTGAGCTCAGGAGCAGCCTGGCCAACATGGCGAAACCCCCTCTCTACTTAAAAAAGAAAAAAAAAAAAACAAAAAACAACTAGCCGGGCGTGGTGATGCATGCCTGTAATCCCAGCTACTCAGGAGGATGAGGCAGGAGAATTGCTTGAACCCGGGAGGCAGAAGTTGCAGTGAGCTGAGATCGCACCACTGCACTCCAGCCTGGGCAACAGAGTGAGACTCCGTCTAAAAAAAAAATTATATATTTTATATATATTTATATATACATATTATATACACACACACACACACACACACATACACACAAACAAATTTCTACAAGGCGCCCAACACAGCAGCCAGCCTGGGAAGCCAGGATGGACCAGAGACCGCTGCCTGCGGCCTGAGCACGGCCTTAGGTCAGGCAGGCAAATAAAAACACGTCTGCACCGCTACTTACTAAACTAGGGATGGTGATGAACACGCTATAAAAATGTTGAAAAGAAGGATTCTGAGAAATAATTTTTTAACATTACATTCTCTAGTATTCTCATCGTGCTTCAGTTTGGAGTCTTGGTCAAAACTGGTGTTTAATAAATTCAATGAAACATTTATTATGAGTCAGGAACCACGAAAAGTGGCTGGAACACAAAGATGAATGACACACTCCTTATCCACAAGGTGCGGCCCCTTCTTCTGCAGGCTGCACAGGTCCGAGGACTGGCCAGGCTGCCTCGAACACCAGGCCGAGCTCATGCCAGCAGCACTGGGCACACGGCCCGCGAGATCCCGAGGCCTGAGCGCATCCGCTCCCGGGATCCCCGCCAGGAGGAAGGCGCTGCCACCCACGTGTCACAGATGGGAACATGGAGATGCTGGGGGTAGCGCCCTAACCCTGACCAGGAGATGGGACGTGGTCGAGATAGGACTCGAACCCCGGGAATCTGGCTCCAGAATCTGTGTTTCTAACCATGACATTATCTAGCCAAGTAAGAGAAGAACATTGTTTTCCTACCACAGAATGTTAGGGTGGGATCTGCTAAGGAGAACAGCAGCAGGTGTGTGCATGTGCGCTGGCAGAGACACGCGAGGAGAGGCAGAACGGAAGCAAAACATGAAAGGAGACGAGCGCAGAGTCTGGTATGGTCCTTCGGTAAAGTGATGAGGGAAACAAAAGATCTCCGTTAGATGCCATCTTTAAATAAGCAGCTTGTTAACGTGGTGTTCACATGAAACGCCCTCGTCTCCTTAGCAACGCGGCCCTGGCCCCAGCAGGGCCCTCTCTCCAAAGCCCTTCCAGGGTCAAAGGGCAGCGCCTGTAGGCCGGGGAAACGGAAGTAGGAGCACCCCAACCCCACCCCCTGCCCACAGGCCGCGTTCTCCAGCTCGGGCTTTATTCCCACAAGACGCTGGCCTGCAGAGGGTCACCCCGGCAGAACCTCAGCCTTGTGTGCCCCCGCACCTGCCAGGCCTCGAACGCTTGCCAGGAGATCTCAGGAGCCTGGCACACAGGAGCCCTCGGACCCCATCCCTGCCAGGGCGCCTGCAGGACCTACAGAGCATCGCCCCATCCAGTGCCTCTTCCCGGACAAGGCCCAGCGCCCCAAGACCTGCTATCCCACGGACGCCCGCAAGGCAGGGCCCAGGACCAAGCCGATATCTTCTCACCCGATGGCTGCACAGCGTCTACTCCACAGGAAAGAACATGGACGGGGACAGTCATCTCCCGCCCGAGCCTTGCGGGGCACTGGAAGCAGGAGGCGGCCGGGGCTTTCCGGCCGAGTCCCCGGCCCGCAGCTGCATTCTCCAGCTTTTCCTGACACTGCAGGATTCGGTGTCTAAATTTAAGACCAGAGAAAAAGCGTTCAGGAACAACACAGCTGTTGCGCCGCCGCTGTGCTCCATGGCTGCGGGTGTCCTTTACATCTCGGCATTTATTCTGAGTTAAGTGCGGATCCATTCACACTCATGGACAAAAAGTCTTCCAAGGAAGGAACGTGTCTTACACCCAAAAATGACCAAACCTGTGAGAAAAGGTCTGCGTTTGATACATGAAGGGATGGATACACAAACATCACAGTTACGGCAGCGTAACAGGAAAGCAGTTCTGAGACAGCGACGGTGAGCCTGGACCCACACGAAAGAACGTGCCACAGACCGGCTGGTACGGGGAGAAAGCATTAACTCCAGAGAAGGGAAAGCCTGAATTAACTGTAAATTAACAGCCATAAATACTCTTTAATAACTAAGTATTTCAGACATTTGGTGACGCAGCCTAGCACAGAGAAAAGCATTTAATTCCAAGTTCACAGGTAGCAAACCTGAAGTTCAGGAAGAGAACTCGTTTTAAGAGTGCCTCAAAACCTGCACTGCGGAGAGAAGCCCTGTCAGCAGGGCCAGCCACAAACGAACCCCCGGACACAGGAGCACGGGGGACCACGGACTACAAAGCCACCACCAAAACCCTGAAATGTCAAGATGGGAGAGGAGGATGGAGAGAGGGGTGGGGTGGGGAGCATTCTAGGGGGCGGCGTGGAGCACAGTGGGGAATCTAAAACAGGGCCTGGCCTGGGAGCGATGTCGTCACGTTTTGATTTTTCACTTCATTTCTCCCAATGTCTCTGGAGAAAGCCACTTCAAACCCCAAATGTTGGCTTACTAGATTTTGGAAGCAGATAATATTTGAATAGAAGTGGGTAATATTTCAAGAATATAAAGAGAAACATATATTTAAAAGTAAATGTTTTAAATGGCAGGCAATATTTCAAATAAAGTTTTATTCCTCACTACTCAGTTGTTTGGTGAATTCAATTCAGTGCATAGTACCAGACGAGGAGCATTAACTCCATCCATATGAAAGCAGCCCCCCCTCCACAAACACCCATGCACATTAACACACGTGCACACCAATGTACATGCACACTAACACGTGCACACATGTGAGCAGTAACCTGCATGCACCTGTGCACCCCAACATAATGTAGACATGTGCACACTAACATACATGCACACACAGAGACAGGCACACATACACACATGACACAATGTGACAGCCTTGCTTGGGTTAATGAAGTCTCATTCTAGAAAGTTTGTTTTTGTTTTTATTTTTAAACGATTTCAACCTTTATTGTAGGTTCACAGTTACATGTGCAGGTTTGTTACATGGATATACTGCATGAGGCTGAGGTTTGGGGTACAAATGATCCTGACATCCAGGTACTAAGCATAGTACCCAATAGGATCCTGTCACTCAGGTACTGAGTGTAGTACCCAATAGGGCATAGCACCCACTTGACCCCCTCCTCCCTAACAACAAGGAGGAGGTCCAGGACTGCATTTCCCAGAAGGTTTCCTTTTCTTGCACTGATTTGGTCAAGGAAGACAGAGTGTTTTAAAGGTAGAAAGATCTAACCACTCTTAAAACAATCACAAGTTAAAGTGCAGGTAGGTGGAAGACAGCAATGAGATTTGCACTTAATGTTTAAGCTGAATAGCACTAATTCTGTTTATCAAAAATGTCCTGAATGATGTGCTTGTGGCACTGAGGAACGCAGGCGCATGCGTCGGCCTGCATTTGCTCAGAGCCTATTATGAACTTCATGGAACTATAATGGCTTAAACTTCTCAGCTTGTCTTTATGTCTGGCTCATATTTTGCCATGTTAAAGCCCACAAATTAAAACAGCCACACGCTGGCATACAGGACTGGCTCTGCCCCACGTGAGGGGCAGGGGCGTATGGGGTCACAAAAGCCAGCACTGCTCTACTGGGACTCGTCAGCCCATGGTCTACTCCTCCGCTTCTTCCATGAGTGGAGACACAAAATGACTGAATAGGATCGCATCCTGAGACGAGCTTGCTGTACTAGGCA
Organism: Homo sapiens; assembly: GCF_000001405.40. Taxonomy (NCBI): domain Eukaryota; kingdom Metazoa; phylum Chordata; class Mammalia; order Primates; family Hominidae; genus Homo; species Homo sapiens. The sequence continues at coordinate 834,113 of NC_000008.11, read as the reverse complement.
ACGCTGAGTTGCCTGGGAACGTGATTCAGCCCTGGTTTCTGCTTCCCCTAATGAATCCCACTCCTTGGTTACTGATTGAATTGGGCAACGTCTCCAGGCCTCTTTGTGTCCCACACAAGGGCGAGCCCACTGCACCAATGAAAAGGCACGAATTCTCGTCCCACTGAGGAGCCACCAGCTCCATAAATAATTTTTTTCTTTTTTACCACTTTGAAAATGGCAAAGAGGATAATCCAACCTGTCATGTTCTGAGATAAAAGATGAAAAACTTCCTTTGCAACTATTTTCCCAGGAAATACAGAAATTTTGTCTAAATTCATGGTAAAAAATCTCTAAAGATGAAAGGTATGCATACATTTAAATAAAAAACAAGTCCTCTGGCAGCAGAATAATGACCCCCAAAGAAGTCTACACTGTGATCTTCAGAAGCTGAGAACTGGTGACCTCACGTGGCAGAGGGACTTTGCAAAGGGGAGAAGCCGAGGGTCCTGAGATGAGACAGGGGTGATCCTGGACTAGCCATGGCCCACTCTAATCACAAGAATCCTTAAGCCAGAGAACCTTGAGCCAGAGATGCAGCATCAGAGACACCCCCACCCCACCCTCTGCTGCTGGCTTTGCAGATGGAGGTGGGGCCACAAGCCAAGGCAGGCAGGACCCTCCAAAGCTGGGAAACGCTGAGAAACAGGTCCCCCCAGAACCTCAAGAGGAGCTGGCCTGGCTGACACCCGGATTTTAGCCCAGCAAGACTCCTGTTGGACTTCCGACCTCCAGAACTCTAAGATAATAAATGTGTATGGTTTAAGCCAAGAAGTGTGTGGTAATTTGTTACAGCAAAAAGCCTGAATTCTCTCAGGAAATGGGTACTGGAGTGCTGACTCCCCCAGTGCGCCTTCCCAAAGTCTTAGGAATAATTGGGTGATGTCACCACTACTCTGACAGAGCTCTCAGACATCGGCCTTAATCATATGTCTGCCATTTTTTAGAAACACTGTGAACACAGCATGAAGACAGGTAAGCCCTGTATCAACCCCAGTGCTGCTCATGGGGATGATGGGAGGATGTAGTGCTTGTCACAGATGTTTACTGGGTTTGCACCTTCATCTACATGAATTTGAAATCCAGATCAGTGTGCTGTGTGAGAAACCAGAGTTGTGAGAGAAACGAGGGGCCCTGTAGCCATCATCCCATTACAAAGAACTGACTCCCAAGAGGAAGAGCCCACCCCATGTCCATACACCCCGTGCCATCTCTCTCCTCCTAGTTGATCCCACAGTGTCTTCGCTGCTCAGCTCCCACCCAAGGCTGAGCACAGTCTCCTGTCAGGGACCAGCAGAGGCTCTCAGCATGTGCTGCCTACTGCAGCTGACATTCTTACACAAACACAGTTGTGCTCACTTCCTCCACAGGCACTCTGAAAAGGGAAATAAAGCTTTAACATAAGTGTTTATCAAAAAAATCAGTGCAAAAGAAAAGTGACAGGCAGATATCCCATGACCACAATTAACATTTTCCCAAAATACAAAGATAATCTGACATTAGAAAACTTTAATAGTATCACTTCTCAGTAAATACAACAGTGGATTCACCAATCAGACGCAGAGACAAGCAGAGCCTTGACTTACAGATACACCTAAATGAATCCAGAAGAATGCAGGCAATGACTGTAAACAATAAAATTAAAATGTCACAGCTGGAAACTGGATCACTTCCTTACACCTTATATAAAAATTAATTCAAGATGGATTAAAGATTTAAATGTTAGACCTAAAACCATAAAAACCCTAGAAGAAAACCTAGGCAGTACCATTCAGGACTTAGGCATGGGCAAGGACGTCATGACTAAAACACCAAAAGCAATGGCAACAAAAGCCAAAACAGACAAATGGGATCTAATTAAACTAAAGAACTTCTGCACAGCAAAAGAAACTACCAACAGAGTGAAAAGGCAACCTACAGAATGTGAGAAAACTTTTGCAATCTACCCATCTGACAAAGGTCTAATATCCAGAATTTACAAGGAACTTAAACAAATTTTACAAGAAAAAAACAAACAACCCCATCAAAAAGTGGGCAAAGGACATGAACAGACACTTCTCAAAAGAAGACATTTATGCAATCAACAAACATATGAAAAAAAGCTCATCATCACTGATTAGAGAACTGCAAATCAAAATCACAATGAGATACCATCTCACGCCAGTCAGCATGGTGATTATTAAAAAGTCTGGAAACAACAGATGTGGGCGAGGCTGTGGAGAAATAGGAACACTTTTACACTGTTGGTGGGAATGTAAATTAGTTCAACCATTGTGAAAGACAGTGTGGCCATTCCTAAGGATCTAGAACTAGAAATACCATTTGACCCAGTGATCTAATTACTGGGTATATACCCAAAGGATTATAAATCATACTACTATAAAGACACATGCACATGTATGTTTACTGTGGCACTATTAACAATAGCAAAGACTTGGAACCAACCCAAATGTCCATCAATGATAGACTAGATTAAGAAAATGTGGCACATATACACCATGGAATATTATGCAGCCATTAAAAAGGATGAGTTCACGTCCTTTGCAGGGACATGGATGAAGCTGGAAACCATCATTCTCAGCAAACTATCACAAGGACAGAAAACCAAACACCACATGTTCTCACTCATAGGTAGGAATTGAACAATGAGAACACCTGGACACAGGGCAGGGAACATCACACACTGGGGCCTGTTGCGGGATGGGGGGCTGGGGTAGGGATAGCATTAGGAGAAATACCTAATGTAAATGACGAGTTGATGGGTGCAGCAAACCAACATGGCACATGTATATACCTATGTAACAAACCTGCATGTTGTGCACATGCATCCTAGAACTTAAAGTATTAAAAAAAAAAAAAAAAAAAAAGTGACTGCTGGACCGGGCGTGGTGACTCATGCTTGTAATCCCAGCACTTTGGGAGGCCAAGGCCAGCAGATCACCTGATGTCAGGAGTTCAAGACCAGCCTGGCCAACATGGTGAAACCCTGTCTTTACTAAAAGTACAAAAAAATTAGCCAGGTATGGTGGCCCATGCCTGTAATGCCAGCTACTTGGGAGGCTGAGGCAGGAGAATCGCTTGAACTCGGGAGGCAAAGGTTGCAGTGAGCTGAGATTGTGCCACTGCCCTCCAGCCTGGGTGACAGAACAAGACTTCATCTCAAAAAAAAAAAAAAAAAAAGTCACAGCTGAATGTTTACATAGGGTTTGTTGGCAAAGAAAGGCTTTTAAAGTAAGGCACCAAAGTCAGAAATTTTACTTCTTACATATGAAACAAAATAACTCAAATGGCAACATGAGAAACAAAAATACTTGAATTGTAAATATAGGAAAAAGGGTTAATACCTTGTTTTGATTTCAAAAGAATAAAATAAACATCGTAGTAATATTGAAATGAGAAAATAGACCATGCAATGCATGCACCAAAAAGAAAAAAAGATGGAAAACAAGGAAGAAACATACTCAGTAGCACCCGTAACTTAAATAAATAGAATCGCAAATTACGTATGATCTGCCAAACCAAGAACTATACCAAGAATTTAAAAGCAAATGTTAAAAATTAAAACAACCTAACTCACGGAGATAGAGAGTAGAATGATGGCTCCAGTGGCTGGGAAGGGTCATGGGGCTTGGAAGTAAGTGGGGATGGTTAGTGGGTCCAAAAAAATGGAAAGAATGAATAAGATCTAATATTTGACAGCATAACAGGAGTGACTATAGTTTAATAATGTAATTGTACATTTTTAAATATCTAAAAGGGTATAATTGGATTGTTTGTAACAAAAAGGATAAATGCTTGAGGGGATGGATACCCCACTGACCCTGATGTGATTATTACACATTGCATGCCTGTATCAAAATGTCTCATGTACGTCATAAATATATACATCTACTATGTACCCACAAAAATTAAAACTTAAAAAATTAAATAAAAAGCAAATGTTACATGTATAATATTGGTGAGAGGGCAGATAGGTACATTTGCCTAGAACTATATTAAAACTTTACAATGAAGATCTTTAAAAATCTCCACATCTTTTGAAATATTTTAAGTCCAAAGAGCTATTCCAAGGAAATAATTAAGTACTCAAATAGAGGTAATTTATCCAAGCATTATTTATATCACTGGAGAATTGAACATTGTTGTCAATAACAAGAGACTGGTACATAAACTGAGGTGTGCGCATGTAATGGGGAACCTCATGGCTATGAACACATTTTGAATATTTGATTGACAAGGAAAGCACCATAATATACTGCAGTTATTATAATAGGCACAAGATATCAATTTTCGTTAATATAAATTATGAACCTATATGTGACTACGAACATAGAAAATATGGAAAGTAAACCAAAATGTCAATAACAACCATCTCTGAACCTTTCAACTTTTCTTCATTTTGTTTGTTAATTTTTCTATGGTAAGACATATGGCTTACATAGTTTGAAAAAAGAAATAACTGACAAAATAATTTATAGTTTTCACGATTTCTAGAAGCAAAGCTCTGAATAAGATTGAAGGTCCTTTTTACCTTTATGATGTGTATACTTACTTTTAAATAATAAACTTATTTCCTAACTTGTTGAACTAAAAAAACTTAGAATTCTTTACTTATAAATAAACACGATGGGTATTCATCATCCCATACCCAGAAGGCCTGGTAATAAGACAAGTGTTCTCTTTCCTTGAGAAACAGAGAGACCTCGGGGCATTTGTCACCTTCATGGGTGATGAAATGGGACAGGTGGAACAAACTTCATCAGGGTCAGAAAAGAGACTGACAAATCTGAACTAGAACTTGGTTTCCAACAGCCAGGCAAATATTGATTATTTTTACACATTCTGCCTCCACTTTATTTTGTAACATTAGAAACTGGATTCCTTACCAATGTAACAGGCAATGTCAGTTATCTCATAGTGTTCTTGCTAGTTAAGGGAGAAATGGAAGAAAACACTAGGGATTTCTCCTGGTTTAGCCTCATAAACAATGAAACCAAATTGGACTCATGGGTTTAATTTAAAAAAATCAGGTTTGTCAAAGCTAAACACACTTTAAAAAATTAGAAGCCATTCCCAAACCCTAACTAAAAGCCAGTGATTCATTACCCAGTAGAAATAAAAAATAATATGTTTTAATACAGAGTTGCTTCTTGGAACATGAATCCATTACATATAGACCCTGAGAATAATAAATTGTTGTGGGAAGTCAGGGACCCCAAACGGAGGGACCGGCTGAAGCCATGGCAGAAGAACGTGGATTGTGAAGATTTTATGGACATTCATTAGTTCCCCAAATTAATACTTTTGTAATTTCTTATGCCTGTCTTTACTGCAGTCTCTAAACATAAATTGTAAAGATTTCATGGACACTTATCACTTCCCCAATCAGTACCCTTGTGATTTCCTATGCCTGTCTTTACTTTAATCTCTTAATCCTGTCAGCCGAGAAGGATGCATATCGTCTCAGGACCCTGTAATAATTGCATTAACTGCACAAATTGTACAGCATGTGTGTTTGAGCAATATGAAATGTGGGCACCCTGAAAAAAGAACAGGATGACAGCAATTGTTCAGGGAATAAGAGAGATAACCTTAAACTCTGACCACCGGTGAGCTGGGCGGAACAGAGCCATATTTCTCTTCTTTCAAAAGCAAATGGGAGAAATATCGCTGAATTCCTTTTCTCAGCATGGAAGGTCCCTGAGAAAGAGAATGTGCACCTAGGGGTAGGTCTCTGAACTGGCCCCCCCGGGGCGTACCTGTCTCTTATGGTCGAGATTGCAGAGGTGAAATAAACTCCAGTCTCCCATAGCGCTCCCAGGCTTATTAGGAAGAGGAAATTCCTGCCTAATAAATTTTGGTCAGACTGGTTGATCTCAAAACCCTGTCTCCTGATAAGATGTTATCAATGACAGTGGTGCCCAAAACTTCATTAGCAATTTTAATTTCGCTTCGGTCCTGTGGTCCTGTGATCTCGCCGTGCCTCCACTTGCCTTGTGATATTCTATTACCCTGTTAAGTACTTGATGTCTGTCACCCACACCTATTCATATACTCCCTCCCCTTTTGAAAATCCCTAATAAAGACTTGCTGGTTTTTGTGGCTTGTGGGGCATCACGGATCCTACCAATGTGTGATGTCTCCCCCGGACACCCAGCTTTAAAATTTCTCTCTTTTGTACTCTGTCCTTTTATTTCTCAAGCCAGCCGACGCTTAGGAAAATAGAAAAGAACCTACGTGATTATCGGGGCAGGTCCCCCGATAATAAATGTGTCCTCAGTTTCTTTTCCACATAGTCTTTGTCTCTGAGCAACATAGATCTATTCAGTTACCTGGACAAAAGAGAATTTTCTTTTGCAAAATAAATTAGATTTCTACATTCAGAATTATTGTGGGTTGACCCAGAAGTAATGCTAAGAATTCATGCTATCATTTATCTTATTTCAAATGAGACAAAATATCAAAATGCAGTCGTTCTTATGCTTGTCTAAGCACAACAGAAATGTAAATACTGTTCTAAGTTCTGCATGAAGATTGCAATTGCAATAATTACTGAAGAAAGCGTTATACACGTAATTATTTACACTGAACTATCATATCATTGAAATAACCGTTTGAGTAAGTTCAGTGGGTTGTCTCAAAGACATGTGATTGTTATTCCTGAAAGTCCAAATGTGTATTTTAAAAATAATCCATTTAAATGAATTTGCATGCAAGTCTGCTACCATTCAATGCCCTAAGAACACCCATGAAAAATCCTCACATTGAAGACAAACAGTTCTATATCAAGGTTATATTATCTCCTTCTCCTTCTTATTCACACTCCAGGAGATACCTAAGTTTTATAGGTTAGGTAATACAAATGAAGCCTTTTTCAGCATTTTGGTCTGGATGATTCTTGGCTGTGGCGCTGTCCAGGCACTGTAGGCTGCTCTGTGGCATCCCCCACCATGACCCATCAGATGCTGGAAGTAAACGCCCTCCAACTGTGTGACCAAAAATGTCTCCCCATATTGCCAAATGTCCCCGGGGACAAAACTGCCCCCATTTGAGAACCACTGCCATAAGGGGAAACAGCAAACATCTCCATGGATATGGGGTAAGCCCTTCTGTAGTTCTGAAACACCTCCTCTAGTGAGAGAGAATGGAAAGACTGGATGTTTCTACAAAAACATTCACGAGAAAGACTGGTGCGAGGCTGGAAAATGAGCACACCCCTAAGCTTCTCTCTCCTTCCTCAAATCCACATAAATGACAAAGGTCTAAGAAGAAATCCCAAACGTAGCTGGGACACAGGAACACGTAGGCCACCAAAGAAACACAGCACTGAGGTCCCTCGAGCAGCAGAAGAGACAAGTCAGCATGACCGAGTGAAGCACAGACGGGCAGAGAAGGCTGCGAGAGGGGGCGCGGGACCCTCGAGACACCAGGCTGCAGCCACAGGCAGAAGGCAGGGCTCCCAGCTAATTCTGCTCAGCAAAACAACTACTTCCCAAGAATGTCACAGAAACACAAAATACCCAGCACCCAAAAAGGTGAAAATTCACAGGGAAATTCTGTAACACTAAATGCCTGTGGGGAAAAAGTCTCACATCGCTGACCTCAGCTTTGACCTTCAAAAAACCTGAAAAAGAAGAGCAAATTAAAACCAAAGTGAATGAAAGGAAGGAAATAATAAAGACCAAGACAGACATGAGTGAAGCAGGGAACATAAACACAACAATGAAAATCAATAAAACCAAGCCAAAAGGAAGGAAATCAGGACATCAAAGAGGTATCTGCATGCCCATGTTGACTGCAGCTCTGTTTACAACAGCCAAGATCTGGAATCCACCTAAGTGTCCGTCCACAGACAAATGGATAAAGAAAATGTGGTGCACATACACAGTGGAGAACTATGCAGCCATAAAAAAGAATGAGATCCTGTCATTTGCAACAATATTGATGGAACTGGAGTTGATTGTGTTATGTGAAATAAGCTGGGCACAGAAAGATAAACACAGCATGTTCTCAATTATTTGTGGGAGCAAAAATTACAACCCTGAACTCATGCAAATAGAGAAGAAGTACGGTTCCCAGGGTAGTGGAGGGTAAGAAAGGCTGGTTAATGCGTATAAAAATATAGTCAGATAGAATGAATACAATCTAGTATTTGATGCCACATCAGGGTGACTACAGTCAACAACTTCTTGTATGTTCTAAAATAACTAAAAGAGTATAATTGATTGTGTATAACACAAAGTAAAGATAAGTGCTTGAGGTGACAGATACCTTTTTCATCCTGATGTGATTATTTTGAAGTGCATGCCTGTATCAAAATATCCCAAGTAGCCCATAAATAAATACACCTAATATGAACCCACAATAATTAAAAATTTTTAAAAAAGAAAATCAATGAGACCAAAATCTGGTTCATTGATAAAATCAATAAAATGGATAAACTTCAGACTGAAGAGGAAGAACAGCGAGAAGACCCAAATTAGCAACATCTGGAATGAGAGGGATGATGTCGTTAGAGATAATAAGGGAACAAGATGAACTTCATGCTAACAAAGTTTCTCAGTGGGTGGGGAATGCTTTGCCCACAGGACTTGGTGGTGCTGAAGACTGCCTGGCACTCACCGCTGGAAGGAAGTGCGGCTGCCTCCGGGCAGAGGCCAGCTTCTGTGGAACAGCCTCCACACCCAGGAAAGCCCACAACAGAGAACTCTCTGATCCCAAATCCTAACTGTGTGCCTGTTCATCCTAAAGGTGTACAGTTTCCCACAGAAAGCTCCACCCTCCCAAGGTAGAATCTAACAGCACAACCTGATCCAACAGCTGTGTGGCTGAACCACAGGTACTTGGTTCTCAGGCGTCCAGGGCATGTATGTATCCTGACAGCCGTACGGTAGCAGAGACCCTGCAGATGGTTCTGTGGGGTCATTTTGGGGACAGTGAGGGCAGAGGAAGAGCCCTCCTCTGGCAGGGTCTGCAGTGAGTTCTGGGGGATTTCTCAAGCCGGCTCCTGCAGGATGTGGTGCGTATCTTACTCGCACCTGGAGTCAACACAGGGTGCTGCTTGTCCTGCAGCCAGAAGACATCGCTCCAAAGACCGCCACGGAGGTGGGGCGGCCCCTCTCAAAATCTCTGTCTCCTATCCCCTGATGCCCTGTGGCTTCCATGGCCCCTCAGGGAGTGAGATGCCAGGGGACAATGCGGGGTGCTCCAGTGAATTGCGGCTGGAGGCTGAGCTGCCTGTGCCACCAAACCAGTGGGCAGAAAGGAAGTGGGTGTGACCACATCCCTGGGGTGCAGGAGAGCTTCTTTTGCTGCTGATGAGGGCAGCATGTCTGGATCCTGGGTCCTCTGAATCGCTAGCACTACCACACTTACCAGACAAAGCTTGCAGAGGATGGCAGTGACCCCAGTGAACCCAAACAGGCGGAACCACCAGGAGGTCAGCAGTCATCTTCACCAGAGGGGAAGCTCCCGGAGCCAGGACTGGGGCCAGGACAAGGGGAACACAGGTGGGGGTGGGGACAGGAGTCACGAATACTGGGTCCTCAAACCATAAAAGCTGCCCGTAACACTGCTGTGTCATGCAGATATTTATATAGGAAAAGTAAGCCAACGCGCTCCCTCATTTCCTGCAGGGAACCCTGGCAGCATCTAAATCAAGAGGGGCTGTGCTGAACCAGAGAAAGAAGAAGGAATGTGCCCGGGCATGGTGGGCTCACACCTGCAATCCCAGCACTGTGGGACGCCGAGACAAAGACATTGCTTGAGCCCAGGAGTGCAAGACCAGCCTGGGCAACATGGCAAAACCCCATCTCTACAAAAAAATACAAAAATTAGCCAGGCATGGTGGCAAGTACTTATAGGCCCAGCTACTCAGGAGGCTGAGATGGGAGGATCACCTGAGCCCAGGAGGTTGAGGCTGCAGTGAGCCATGATGGTACCACTGCATTCCAGCCTGAGTGACAGAGGGAGAAAAGAAGAAGAAAGAAAGAAGAAGGAAAAAGGAAGAGGAGGAAGAAGAAGAAAAAAAAGAAGAAGAAAAAAAAGAAGAAGAAATGTTGTCCCAGGATCCTTTCGGAGTTAGGGGACGTGACAAATGTGATTGCAACTTCCCCTTTGGGATAAAGCTAAGTGGGGTTCCATCGTATAAGGGATAGCTGTGTGTCACGGGCGCTGCCACTGTCATCGCACAACAAGAGAACGAGAGGACAGCCCGGGTGGATGGACCCAGGCCGCAGACTCTTGACCTCCCCCGTCCTGGCTGCCCCGGGCTCCCGAATGGCCTCCCTGCACTTCTGACAGCTCCCCGTGCTGCGAATGACCACTTCCCAAAGTGCAAGACAAAACGACGACAAACATCAACAACAAAAACATTTCGATCAACATCTCTGGCAGCTGGAGGCAGGCGCCACAGCTATATCCTGACACCCACACATCCCTGCTGGGGTGCGTGTCCCAGGAAGGGGTCTGTGCAGAGCTCTTGGGGGTCTCCTGCTGAGCCCCGTGCTGCTGGAGCTGACGGAAGTCAAGGGTCTCTGGGATGCCTGATTTCTTTTTTAACAAGTTATCTTCTGCTTAAACACACCAGAGTGAGTCTTTTCTTTGCAATTAAGCACCCTAACTAATTCACAGTACAAATAAGCAATTGCCCCTTGCTAGTTACAGGGAGTTTCAATGGAGAGTTGACAAGCGTACTGTGAACTGTCTTTTCTGATCAGGGGGAAAGCAGATATCAATAATAATAATAATAATAATAATAATAATGAATTCAAGCTCGCCTTACAACTCCTCAGAAGCTGTACACAGAGCTCCCGAAATGCCAGAACAAGAGCTGCCTGTTCCTGAGGTGGCAACTTGGTCTGGCAGCCTGAAGTCAACACCATCTTCTGAGGCCACCAAGTGGGTAGAGAAAGTATCGGAACTCTGAGCCAGAACGTGTGAAGCTGCCACCAAGTGAGACGTAAAAGAAGGAAAGAAACAGAAGGAGATGACAGGCAGTGGCAGCAACATGGCCCCCCCTGAAATTTAGACCTTTCCATCAGTGCAAAGCACCTCTGGAATAAGAAATAAGAAATAATCCTCTCTTCCCTTTGACAAATCTCGTGAAATGCCGTCTCCGTGACTGTTTGCTTCACCCACTGGCACTGGGGCAGGTAAACTGACAAAACCCTCCTCTCCAATCTGCTCTTTGTGGGTCTGGGGACTGCAGGAGGTGGGCATGGCCCTCTGGACAGTCCCTGAAGCACCCAGCAGTGGTCACTGTGGCGTCCACAGCCCCAGGATGCTGTTGTCCGAAGGCTGTGTCCCATCTCACCACGCCCAGGCCTGTGGACATGCACTCCTGCTTCCCCACACACCACCAGCTTCCACAGGAAAGCTCTTTGAAAGCCACTGGAAAACAGTTCAGACTGCTATTTGAAAAGCTCCATTCTGGCAGTATTTGGGGACAGTTTGCAGTCACACGTACACTTGGTGAATGCACAGATTCATTCGGAGCACACGCAGTGACGTGGCCCTGCTCCTACTCTCTGTCAGGCCTCCCGAATTTCTCAACATTCTCTCACCACTGCCAATGATAACAGCAGAAACACTGTGCGCATGAGAAGTTTTTAAACACAGCTCTGTTTGAACAGAGAAACATCCAGCTGAAGCTGTGGACAGTGTCCGCAGCCTCTCCTGCTTCTGCCCCAGGAACACTCACCCCCGGCCTTACCATACCCGGCTGCCTGTTTCCTTCCAGGTAGCCTGAGCCTGGCCAGGCCCCCGTCACCCCTGTGCCCCTCCCCGGGTGGAGCACCCATCACAGCAGGAAGTAAGCAAATGCTGGGTAAGGACCGCAAGACGGACACACACAGGAAGCAAGAGCAAGATCACACTGTACCTGAGCAGTCCCCATTGTGGCTGGGCTGGGCGCAGGCAGAGGGTTAGCAGCCGCGAGGGAAGCCGCGCAGGGCTAGGGCCAAGCCTCGGATGGCGAGAAAGCCTAGGTGAGGAATGGATAGAGATGGGGAAAATGTGATAAAAAGGGTAAATAACCTCCCCTATGGGGAAAAAAATGGAATGTACATTAAAAAGTGAGACTAAGCAATAATTAATCAGCTGAAAAGAGCAATATGGCAAGAAGAAGTAGGCACAGAAACTGTATATAAAAATCACCACCAACTGTTTGTAGACCAGACCGTGGAATGGCACGCTGTGTGCGTGGATCCAGGATGTATGAACATGGAAACTACTATTTCCATTCTAAAGCAGGATTTGAAATGATAATAATGTACATTTAACCATTTTGAAATATTGAACCAAAGAGAAATAATAAAACCATACTTTAAATCAGCAATTATGATGATTCCTTATATAATTTGATGAAAAATAGCTATCTGTGAAATTAGTCCAGTTCTGCAAAGAACCAAACAGATTCCAAGAAACAAACAACCAGTACCAGAGAATATTAATAATTGATCATTTTCTTTCCAGGAGACAAAAATGCTATGTACCCAGATGAAATTCAGTGTAGCATGTTTTTAAAAAGAAGGTGCTAATATATGTATTTTTGATAAATTACAAAATTCCCAGCTCATTTTTTCCATGGCATACTAATGCATGAAATTATTATTCCCCGCCAGAAATGAATCGGAGGAAGTACGAACACTTGTGTTTTTTTAAGGAGACTTATTAGGTTGATAAAGTTACACTGGAAAGATATGCCAGTCTTTTCTTCTCACTGAGCTGGTGATCGCAAAACACTCTCCTACATACACTTTATATAGCCTTAAAAACTATGATCATGTTATATTGACTTTCCTGAAGGTCAGGGCTGCTGAACATTGCCTGCTATCTGCTGAAACTTTGTTGTCACCAGAATCTCTGACCAAACATCTGTTTGATGATTAGTTAGTTAACGCCATGTAAATACTTTCAAATGTAAAATTCTAATAAGGTAAGAAAATTAGCTGACTTTTATTGTAGCAAGCACATTTGGGAAATATTCATTATAAAATAATAAACAAACTGAAAATCAACCGTTGGTTTCCTGTAAGCAGTTAACGTACATTTTATGTGACTGTCAGTCTAAATTGCCTATTCATTTCCAGGCACTTACTGTTCAACTCTCCACCGTTCTAGAATTCACATTCTGCTCTTCAAGACTTATCCACTTCCTATTAATATATTAACATTTCTCCATATCGGTACAGACAGAACTACATCTTCCTGGCCTGAAACAATCACAATTATTTTAGCCCCACAAATCCCTTACTCTTGAGTATTTAGGTTATCTCCAATTTTCCCATTTCCTAAGAATTCTGCATACATTTTTTAATGCTTCTCATTATGTGAGTTTATGCAGATAGGTTTCTAGACAGAATTACTGAGTCAAAGGATATGCACATGAGCCCAAAATGCTACTAAAACATTGGTTTCCATTTACATTGCCACATATCAACAATCTTCTTGCTTTTGCCTCTGGTGGAAAAAAATAGTTTCTCACTGTTTTCCTAGAGTCTGGGGACCTTTTAATGTGATTATTGAGCAAACAAATTTCTGTGTAAACTGTTTCTTAGTTTTTTTCTTTTGGGGGATAAATTTTTCATTGCTTTCGAGGAACTCTTTACATATGCCGGATGCTTATCTATTCTACACATTGCAAATGTTTTTTCAGTTTGTCATTTGCCTATTAGCCCCATTAATGATATCTTTCAACAGTTTAGAAGGGTTTCATATGCATGTGTCCAAATCTATCAGTTCCTTCCTTCACTGTTTCTGTGATTTAAAAGATCTTCCCAATTCCACAATTTAAAAAACATATTGTACTAAATTTTCTGTTAGACTTTCAGTAACTATCTTTAATGATTACATATTTAACATGTTTAAAACTTTGTTGTGTTGTGAGATGGAAATGAATTTTTTCTCCAATGGATAACCAGTTATCCCAACAAATTTACTGAAGAATCCATATTTTCCTGACTAACTTGAAAATGTTACCCACATAAAACAGTTTGTTCTACAGATTGATTTATCTCCTACAGCACTAGTGTGTTTCTCTTAGTAGACAAGAACTCTCATGGTTCATTTTTTTCTCTAACACATCTTATTGAACAATCTTGTGAATTTGTTCTTATAGGTTAACTTCATTACCACGTAATCCACTCCCCTATTCCCACTTTCATGACCAATCCAAACAGGAAAGGGTTCGCATGGAAATGATATAATCCACAGTCACCACTTCCATGAAGTGCCACATTTCCATGCCGAGTCAGCCACGCAAGCACCACTCCACACCAAGTACTTGATGATGTTTTACGTACCTCCCAGGTGTTTCATTGTTTTTCCTATAAATCTTACACATTCCTGTTTCATTCCAATATATTTTGTGAGGCTTATTCTTTCTGAGGATGCGCCTACTTTTCCACTACTCTGTCATGCACAGTACAGTTAATAATGTTCATTCATTGATCTCATATTTGTTCTCCATGCCCAACGTTACTAATTATCTTATGGATTTTGTATAGTCTTTATCATTTTCCAATGAAAATAAGTCTCTTGATTCCCAATATCTTTTCTCATATATTTTCCCAAGATAGTAGAGACTTCAGAAGAAATGGAATAATAGTAATGACTGTGGCATTGCCGCTTTGCTCCATACTTTAGCATTTTCCCACTTACTCCTGCACCTGTTGAGTTTCTGATCATATCTTGACCTGTTTCACGGAAGTTTCCTGCCATTTCTCTTTCACTTAGAATTTCTATCACAGATGGCTGCTATGTTGCTTAAAGGTCCTACGATATCTATTGATATAGTCATGAGGGGTTTTTTAAATATCCTTATCTTATGCATTACTACATAGGGATACTATTATTAAAATAACATTGCACTTATGAGGCAAAGCTTACGCTCATACTTAACATCGAACTAGATTCAACTGGCTAACATTTTGGGTAGCAAATTTATATATTCTTAAATAAGGTCAGCCCTTTTCTGTGATACTTATCAAATTCTGGATTCAGTCATTAAATGAGACTGATGCTTATTAGTCTGAGATAACATAAAATGATCATTTCCTAAAAGGTTTTAAAGAGTTTACCTATAAAATATCTGAGCCAGTTCCTCTTGTAAAAAGACATCTATGAAAATTTTTAGTTGTTCCATGGTTACTGCTCCATTAAATTTTTCTAAGTTTTGTTGAATCAATTTATATCATTTATAGTCACCAAGAAAACAAATCATTTATCTTGATTTTCAAATTTCTCAGCAAAAATTTCTACAGATCATCTTCTATTTCTTCTAACTTTATGATTCTATAACATTTTTCACTAACTGTATACTCTTGAATTTTCTCTTTATTTTCTTTATAAATCTTGCCACAAGTTTCCTATTCTCAGCACAGTTTGCACATGTTCTTTTAAACAGCAGAGAGGATTAAGATGACAGATAGGAGGCAGGACTAACTTGCAGCTCCCACTCGGATGTACAGAGCAGCATGTAGAGACTCACGTCATTAACTTTTGCCCCAAGAACTACGGCAGGAACATACTAGGAAAGCCAAGAGAATCCACAGACCCTTGGAAGGAACTAGATCAGTGCTGCAGGCTCCCTGAAATGCAGAAAAACCGTGAGTCTGTGCTTTCTCAATGGGGAGGTTCGTGGTTCAGGGAAAGTTCCAGGGAAAATTCTCAGGGGGTTACTGGCTGCCTGGAAATAGACTCGGTACTGTTGGTGGGGCACGGTGGGAGTTAGACCAACCTTTAGGACAGCGGGCTGCGTGGGAGTGGGGTGAGGTCTGTCACTGACAGCTTTCCCCCACTTCCCTAGCGACCTGTGTGACTCAGCAGAGGCAGCCATAATCCCCCTGGGAATATAACTTCATTGGCCTGGAAACCACATGTCCATCCCCCACAGCAGCTGCAGCCAGCCCCACCCAAGGAGAGTCTGAGCTCAGACATGCCTGTCCCTGCCCCTCACCTGGTGGTCTTTCTCTACCCACCCTGGTACCTGAAACAGAGGTCATAATATCTTGGGAGCTCTATGGCCCTGCCCACTGCCCGAGAAACCTGAATATTTAACCAGGTACACCCTAGGGCAAGTTTGCTTCCTCCCTATGGGACCACAGCTGATGCACTCTTGAAAGCACCACCTCCTGGCTGGAGGCCAACCATCACACTAAACAAAAACACAACCAAGGACCCTCACAGAGTCCATTTCATTCCCCTGCCCCCTCCGCCGGAGCAGGTGCTGGTATCCACATCTGCAAGACTTTAAGACAAAAATCACATCACAGGACTCTGCAGACACCCCCAGCACCAGCTCAGAGCCTAGTAGCTCCACCGGGTGGCTGGACCCAGAAGAGCAAAAACAATCACTACAGTTTGGTTCTCAGGAAGCCACATACCTAAGGGAAGGGGGAGAACACCACATCAAGGTAGCACCCCGTGGGAGAAAAGAGTCTGAACAGCAGCGCTTGAATCCCAGATCTTCCCTCTGATGTAGTCTACCCAAATGAGAAGGAACCAGAAAAACAATTCTGGTAACAGGATAAAACAAGGTTATTTACCACCCCCAAAAGATCATATTACCTCACCAGCAATGGATCCAAACCAAGAAGAAATCTCTGAATTGCCAGAAAAATAATGCAGGTCAATTATTAAGCTAATCAAGGACGCAGCAGAGAAAGGTGAAGTCCAACTTAAGGAAATGAAGAAACATAATACAGTATATGAAAGAAACCTTCTTCAGTGAAATAGATAGCATAAATAAAAAACAATGATGACTTCTGGAAATCAAGTTCAAACTTAGAGAAATGCAAAATGCACTGGAAAGTCTCAGCAATAGAATAGAACAAACTGAAGAAAGAACTTGAGAGCTTAAGACAAGGCTTTCAAATTAACCCAGCCCATCAAAGACAAAGAAAAGATAACTTTCTTTTTTTTTTTTTTTTTTTGAGACGGAGTCTCGCTGTGTCGCCCAGGCTGGAGTGCAGCGGCGCGATCTTGGCTCACTGAAAGCCCCGCCTCCCAGGTTCACACCTTTCTCCGGCCTCAGCCTCCTGAGGAGCTGGGACTACAGGCGCCCACCACCGCGCCAGGCTAATTTTGTTGTATTTTTAGTAGAGACAGGGTTTCACCGTGTTAGTCAGGATAGTCTCGATCTCCTGACCTTGTGATCCACTCAATATGAACAAAGCCTCTAAGAAGTTTGGGACTGTGTTAAATGTCCAAACCTAAGAATAATTGTTTCCAGAGAAGAAGAGAAATCTAACCATTTGGAAAACATATTTGAGGGAACAATCAAAGAAAACTTCCTGTTTTTACTAGAGATCTAGACACCCAAATACAAGAATCTCAAAGAACACCCAGGAAATTCATCACAAAAAGATCATCACCTTAGACACATAGTCATCAGGTTATCCAAAGTCAAGACAAAGGAAACAATTTTAAGAGCTGGAGGCAAAAGCATCAGCTAACCTATAAAGGAAAACCTATCAGATTAACAGATTTCTCAGCAGGAACCCTAAAAGCTAGAAGGCACTGGGGTACTATTTTTAGCCTCCTTAAACAAAACAATTACCAGCCAAGAATTTTGCATCCAGTGATACTAAGCTTCGTAAATGAAGGAAAGATACACTCTTTTCCAGATAAACAAATGCTGAGAGAATTCCCCACTACCAAGCCAGCACTATAAGAACTGCTACAAGGAGCTCTAAATCTTGAAACAAATCCTTGAGATACACCAAAGTAGAATTCCTTAAAGCATAAATCTCACAGGACCTATTACATATAACAACAATGCAATGAAAAAAAAAAAAACCCAAGGTATTCAGGAAACAAATAGCATGATGAATGGAATAGTATCTCACATCTCAATACTAACATTGAATGTAAATGTACTAAATGTTCCACTTAAAAGATACAGAATGGTAGAATGAATAAGAATTCACCAACCAAGTTTCTGCTGTCTTCAAGAGACTAACCTAACATATAAGGACTCACATAAACTTAAAATAAAGGGGTGGAAGAAATACTCCATGCAAATGGACATCAAAAGCAAGCAGGAGTAACTACTCTTATATCAGATAAAACAAACTCTACAGCAACAGCATTTTAAAAAGACAAAGATGGGCATTATACACTGAAAAAAGGACTAGTCCAACAGGAAAATATCACAATTCTAAATATATATGTAACTAACACTGAAGCTCCCAAATTTATAAAACAATTACTACATCTAAGAAATGAGATAAAATGAGATGAATGAGAACACATGCTCCAAAGTATTCTTCTTTTGTATCCTCTTGTCCTCCTTTCAGTATGGCCTCTGTTAACTTGCCAAGTCTGAAAATGTCTTTATTTGCCCTCAATATCAAACGATAGGCACATTAGGGATAGAATTCAAGACATTCAATAAATATCTTCTTCTAGTATTATTGTTAAGGCATTATTTACCAATCTATAACCAATTTATATTTTCTTTACCAAGTTGTTTAGGATTTTGCTGTTATCCTGGACACAGTGAAATTTTACAGAGATACATCAGAATATTGAATTTATCTTTATTTCCGCTTAGCAGGTGATACAACGTATCCATCTGAAAGGATTTTCCCTCAATTTGGGGAAATTATCTGCCATTTTAATCTCAAATACTGACTGACCACTGTGATGGTCTGAAAAGGTCTCCAAAATTCACATGCTGAAACTTAAGTCATGAGGGCAAAGCCTCCACAGATGGGCTAAGGCCCTCCTAAAAAGGCTTGAGGGAACAGGGTGTTCTGCTCCTCCGCCAAGTGAGGACACAGTGCTCCTCCCTTCAGAGGACACAGACACAGGGCACTACCCTGCAAGCAGACAGCAGCCCTCACCAGACCCCAAGCCTCCTGTACTTTGACTTTGGACTCGTGGCCTCCAGAACTGTGAGAAATAAACTCCTGCTGTTTATAAAGAAACCAGTCTCAAGCATTTGGTTGTAGCAGCACACATGCACTGCGACACCCCCCTTTCTATTACCTCCTTCTTTAGCTTCTAATGATCTACTTTTTTGCTTTTCAGATATATCCGCTCCGTTAACTGTGCTTTCTCATGTTCTTTTTATGCTTAACACTAGGAAATTTCTTTAGCTTAATCTTCTATTTCATTAATGTTTTCTTCAGATATATCTGATCTATAAATATCTACCAAGTTTTCATTTCAAGGGCTATAATGTTGATAGTATTTCTTTTTTTTTTTTTTTTTTTTTTTGAGACGGAGTCTTGCTCTGTTGCCAGGCTGGAGTGGTGTAACATGATCTCAGCTCACTGCAGCTCCACCTCCTAGGTTCACACCATCCTCCCGCCTCAGCCTCCCGAGTAGCTGGGACTATAGGCACCTGCCACCACGCCCAGCTAATTTTTTTTTTTTGTATTTTTAGTAGAGACGGGGTTTCACCATGTTAGCCAGGGTGGTCTCAATCTCCTGACCTCGTGATCCACCTGCCTCAGCCTCCCAACGTTCATAGTATTTCTAATTGGTCATTTTACAAAACTACCTATTCTTGTTTTACAGGTGTTCCACATAGCATATTGGTTTATGGGATCCGAATCAGGGTCTGAATCCAGGATCCAGCCCTTACTAGTAATACATCCTCAGGACATAGTTACATAAAGTCTCCATGCCTGTTTCCTAATGGGCACATGAAAATAATAAGACTTACTTCATATGCTATTTGTAAGGATTCAATGAATTACTCAGGTAAAATCCTCAGAACATGAATAGAAATGTTCTAAGAGCTAAACTAGTGTTGCAAACATGGCATCTGGAGCCAAGTGTGTCCATTTGATCTTATGCACTACACAACCTGGGGCCAGTCGCTTAACTCAGTTACCAAAACTGAGGTGTTATAATGTCTATTCTACTTTTCACTGCCTCTATTGATTTTGATGGGAAAATAAACTAAATTGTGATTCTAAAATTCTTCCTTTTTTATGGCATCCTGCTCTTATTTTACAGAAGAAATCTGAAACCTTCCTTCAAAGACACATTAGATCTTTTTCTGAGTTCTTTTCCAGTCCCTCCTTTAAGCTTATTTTAATAGGAGGTCACCATTAAAATTAAAATTCAGTATGTTTTCTCCTTTAAGGGGATGATTCCCTTTAGATGTCCTGTACTTTTTATCATCTATTCATCCTCATCACTACACGCTGAGTGCAGACAGGAGTCCTGCTTCTGGGGCCCCAGAACATTCGGCAGAAGAACATTGAGAGGCAGGTAGCTGTTGCATAGGATAACAGGCATCTCACTGTTTATCTGCTGGAGAAATGTGCAGCCTCAGTCAGTGGAGGGAGAAAGAACCCCAGATTCTTTGGTTCTACTCGGAATGCAGAGCTGGGGAAAGAGGGAAGTGCCCCCACTTTTGTGCTAGAGACAAAAAGTTCAGCAGAGCAGGCCCCTGGAGGAGGGTTCAGCCAGCAGCATCAGCGAGTGTCTAGGCCCTCACCTCCTTTAAAACACACTGTATAATTTCCATATCAGTTTACCTTCCTGTTTATTCCTCAGTTTTGAAAATAAAAGAATAGGTTTGAAGAAATCTAAGACACGCACACCTCAAGGGTGCCTGGAAGAGCAGAGTTCATGTTTCTATTTCACATGAGGCATCTTTTTCTAATAAAAAGAAACAAGATGACATTATAGAATCTACCTTCTAAATCACAACATAATATTTTCTGTAATACAAAATACAAGTGTTTATATGAATATAAACACTTTATCAAATATCACCCACCTAATTTATATCCATAAATACTGTAACTAACAATCCCAAAATGTCTCAGCATTTTGGTTTTTTTTTCGTTTTGAAAAGGAAATATAAACCACTAGGATATCCACGAGATAACAGAAACTGTAGATCACAATAGGTTTTTTGTCTTGACCATATAATAAGGTAAGAAAATATAGCAATTTTATGTTGCATTTTGTTGGTTGAAAGATATTACTGATTGAAAATAACATATAATTTAGAAAGTCTTCTATTATAGCTAAGAAGCAGCTATAGCAAAGCATACCGGGGTATTATGAAAAATTACATGTGTTCTATTATCACGTTTTGTCACTTACACGACACACAGCCATCAACCACTCCTCATTTGAGAACCAGAGATTCTCTACCAAAGGTTTTAAACTCATAAATGTATTCAAAAGCACTATTAATCTAATCAATACCTAAATACTTAAATAGGAATTTTACTATGGGTGCATTAGGATAACCACTATTGTGCCTGGAATTCAGCTGCTCCCATGCTCCAAAGCTGAATGTTGTAATTTTGATCTCATTTCTCAACCCCATTTAAACACTTAGCTCCTGTATGCCGTATGATTGCTAATCTGTTATCCCCGTCCTTATCAAAGCTTTGATTAAATCTCAGCACACCAAATGCAAGGATCTGTAGCTAATAATTTCATCTATTTGATTAGTTTATAATATATTACTCTATAATTACAGATTTAATTGAAATGTCACAGGCATCTCATTATCAGCAAAAGAAATCATTCTCAAAACTACCTTCTCTAATGACACTGTCTTTGCCACAAAATGCCACACCTGATTTCTCCCACGCTCAACGCAGCCACCCTTTCTTCAATTTTACATTCCTCTTGGGAAGAACTCCTGAGTCAATGCTGAGAGTCTGGCGGGGCCGGCAGAAGGGAGAAGCCGTACACAAGAGGCTGGGAGGCAGGGACTTCCCGCAGACACCATCGCTAACTCCATTTCCCTCACCATCCCCCATGGGCAGTCAGGACACACCCCAGGACAACCGTGCCCACTGCCATAGGGACAAGGTCACGCAGAAGGTCATGGGGCCTTCACCTCCAGACGGCCTTCGAACCCTCGCTGCAGTACCAACTCCTCCCTGGGTCTCCTGCCTGCTGGCCCACCCTGCAGATTTCAGACTCACCAGCCCCTGCAATTGTGCAAGCCACTTCCTCGCATTAAATCTCTCTCTCCTTCCCTCCCTCTTGCAGAGATGGAGGAGCACACACATCCTACTGATCCCGTTTCTCTGGAGAACCTCGACCAGTACAGGCTTTGGCAGAAGTCCGGAAGCCTCACCACCCCATGTCCTTCCAGAATTCCGGCCAGTGCCAATCATGTCGTGTTTGACGGAGAGTCAAGGAAAAGCCAATTCACGCTTGCCTAACAGTAAAGGCAACTTACTGGCTCCCAGGAAGGCAAAGTGCAGAGCCTCAGAGTCAGTTTGGTCCCATGGCTCAGCGAAGCCGTGGTTTATTTTCTTCCCCTTATATCCTTTGATGGGAGCTTCATCTGAAAGCTGGTGGCCTCTCACCACGGCAGGAGCCCTGGCAGGGCCCCCAGATAGTTCCTGCTCATTCCAAGGATGATGGGAGCTTCATCCGAAAGCTGGTGGCCTCTCACCACGGCAGGAGCCCTGGCAGGGCCCCCCAGATAGTTCCTGCTCATTCCAAGGTTGATGGGAGCTTCATCCGAAAGCTGGTGGCCTCTCACCATGGCAGGAGCCCTGGCAGGGCCCCCAGATAGTTCCTGCTCATTCCAAGGATGATGGGAGCTTCATCCGAAAGCTGGTGGCCTCTCACCACGGCAGGAGCCCTGGCTGAGCCCCCAGATAGTTCCTGCTCATTCCAAGGTTGATGGGAGCTTCATCCGAAAGCTGGTGGCCTCTCACCACGGCAGGAGCCCTGGCTGGGCCCCCA
Source organism: Homo sapiens (assembly GCF_000001405.40). NCBI lineage: Eukaryota > Metazoa > Chordata > Mammalia > Primates > Hominidae > Homo > Homo sapiens. The sequence continues at coordinate 811,385 of NC_000008.11, read as the reverse complement.
GATAGTTCCTGCTCATTCCAAGGTTGATGGGAGCTTCATCCGAAAGCTGGTGGCCTCTCACCACGGCAGGAGCCCTGGCAGGGCCCCCAGATAGTTCCTGCTCATTCCCAGGAAGGGGAGCAATCCACACTCCTAGAAGCTGTCTCCAAGAAGGGAGGAAACCTCTTTCCCAGAAGCCCCTTCTCCGGTTTCACAGACTTGAATCAGGTTACTTGCTCGCGCCCACAGGCGGGATAATGGAGTGAGCTTCACCAGCACACCCAGGCTGCACCAGGCAGGTCGGGGAGGCACCGTGCACAAACAAACAGAAATCAGGGTCACGACCAAGAAAGTGAAGAGGAAAGTCCGGGAGATGACAGCGATGCCTTCTACACGGTGGCCATCCAAGCTCACAGCCTCAAGTTCACCCCGCCGTACGCTCTTCCTTTTCCAACAGGCATTATACCCGAACATCCAACCACAGCCACCTCTAGATGTCAACATTGACAAAGGATCTCCTAATCAAGTTTGCAATTCCGTGTAAACACATGTCCCTAAGGAACATAACTGCATTACTGAACTAGAAGTGTGTCAGACAGAAATTGAGCTCTGGCATGTGTTGGCATAGTGGGAAAACAGCCACAGGATAAGATGAAGGAACTGATTCATAAATCACCGCCAGCTATTTTTCTTCCTCCTCTGTTCTCAGTTTAAAAACCCACTGATAAACAAATTGGACAAGAAAACTCAATTACACCTTTTTATAGTTGATTATTATGTTAAAAATGGCAACAGAATTTAGTAAACAATGGTTAAAAAAATTGCAGCACAGCATGTCTCATAAATAAGGATTACAGAAAAATAATTTACTGTGTAATGAAGTTTCATTTATAGAATGTACTTCGAAAACAATAGGTGGCAAACAGCTTTGTGTGAAATCCAATTATCAGCATATTAGGCACTTACAACTTCATATCTGCTATTGTTTTAAAATCACTGTATTGCCACAAGCATAAAATGTGTAATGGTGTGTACCAGATAAACTACCCTATATTTTCCTTAATATTTTAATTAATGACTAAAACAATATGAAGCAGCATTTCAGTACAAAATGTATTTTGAGCAATATTAAATTGTCAAGTATTGCAAGAATCAGTAAAATTGGAGGAATTAAAAGACGGAGGAAAGCTGCAAAGATTAGAAGTGGGGAGAGTAAACAGCATGAGATTCACTGTGGAAAGTCCACATGTTCCAGAGAGAGGAGGGTGAGGAGGAGATGGCACTTGAAGACCTACAAGTCATGAACAGTAGTTAGAAAGGGATGGACACAGAGCAAGCTCACACCCCCAGTCGTGCTGATGGGCTGAGCCCTGCTGAGAGGAGGAGTTAGAGCAGATTGTCAGGTGCAGAGTTAGTCCCAGAGCTGAGGGCCTTGACCGCAGTCCAGGCTTTCTCCAAGACATCGCCAACCAAAGAGAAATTAGCACCAGAGCACACCATGCTTCTGGGCGAGTCAGAGCCAGACGGACGACAGACTGGTACTTCCCATGACAAATCCTAGAGAATGAACAGTGAGGGACAAAGAAACAGAGAAAACTCATCACCTTAGGACACCGGGAGAATGGCAGCACTTCCCTTTCCTCTGGTCACGCTCTCTCTCCAAGGCCAGGGGAGGGGGAATCTTCAGCCAAACACTCATCTCAAAGGAGGTGAGCTCACATGAAAACAACACATCCGTTCTTCACCAATTTCAGTCAGGTTGACTCGTATTGGTAGACAGATTCTAATTGTGCAAAAAGAAGCCATTTCATCTGTAATTTTATGGCTTTTCCCAATGCCACACCATCAAGTAACCACTTCAAACTAGACAGACTCATGCTGTGTAAATGGGAAGCTGAAAGTGCCTAAGATATCAGGCTGCATGAAATTAGCCACAAAAAAAAAAAAACCTGCCAGAGACAGAGTACTTACCCTAAGCACGTTACTGATGACGTATTTTCTTAGCAGTCAAAACTCAGACCAAAATAAATGGTGTAGGTAAAAGTCAAAAGATTACTGGGCAAAGTTTCAAATAGTGAGAAAGAACCCTAAATGAAAATAATTGTTTATGAACTAATTTGGACATTAAACAACAGTAAATCATCGAAGTGTGCCCACGTGCTAATACAGAGAGTATAAATAAAATATGAAGAAGTAATCATTGGCCGGGCGCAGTGGCTCACATCTATAATTCCAGCACTTTGGGAGGCCAAGGCAGGCAGATCACTTGAGGCCAGGAATTCGAAACCAGCCTGGCCAACATGGTGAAATCCTGTCTACTAAAAATAAAAAAATTAGCCAGGCGTGGTGGTGCACACCTGTAATCTCAGCTACTTGGGAGGCTGAGGCAACAGAATCTCTTGAACTCAGGAGGTGGAGGCTGCAGTGAGCCAAGATCATACTACTGCACTTCAGCCTGGGGGACAGAGCGAAACTCCATCTCAGAAAAAAAAAAAAAAAAAGGCAGCAACAGCAATTATCATCCAATGTGAAAGGTACTAAGTACCTAAGGGTCACATATAAGGGTTATTACTGGCTAAACAAGTATTTCACAAGTATTTCTCTCAAAGAGAAAGTGTTAGCACACTGCTTAAAAACCTAGGGTGGGTGCCTCCCACAAGCGTGAGGTGGGTTGGCTGGCAGGCTGCCCTGAGATGGCCCACACTCCTGTGCCACAAAGCAGCACTGCCCCTCAGCACTACCGTCCACCCTGGGTGGGCAGGAGCTCGGACAGCGGCCGCCCTCCTCACACAGGCTCCGCCCTGGGTGCCCAAACACATCCCCACATTCCAGCCTCACTAGAGGCACCAACCCCACCCTTCAGTTTCTGTGGTTCCATTCAGATGAGGAAGGAATCCCACTGCTGGTCCTCCCTGTTCCCAGAACGCCCTTTTGGGGTGGAATGTCCTTCCAGGGGCTACTCCCTCTCCTAGGACTGAATGTGACCTTCCTGGATCTCAGCAGACCCAGGAACAGACTCTGATCATCAAAGGAAATAAGGGCCCCACACCACGAACTTCAGGCATCTTTCTAAGTGAAATGCACCATCACTCTCCTGGCGTGGTGCACAGGCCCCCTGGAGATGGAGCTGCACCAAACACCGCTACATGCACATGTAAGTCATCGTCAACACGTATCACTGAGGCAGAGGTCAAATGTGCCAAACCTGTGTGATGCTGAAATCAGAGGCCTCGTGTCACACCATGACACAGAAAGCCGAAGACCCACGTGCCGACGACCCTGTGAGGCAGGTGTCACATCCGCCATATGACAGGTAAGGCTGACACAGATGAGCGTAAAATTATCCAAATCAACCAGAAGCAAAGCCGGGACTTCACCATAGATCTTCTGCCTTGGACCTGCACGTAGCAATTGCTTAGTAGCATGACTTGCTTAGAAAGTGGCCTCACTGCTACCACATCTTATCACAAGACCCGGTTCTTAGCTCCCCGCCAACCTTCTCCCCTTTATGTTCCTCCGGCTGCTGTGATTTACTCCTCCCCATCCTCCCTTCCTTATTCCTGTGCACCAGCACCCCCGTCATTTTGAAAGTAGCTTTAAGTTCAAAGGGAAAATGGGTAGCAGTAAAAAGAGACAGCTAAGTAGCTAAGAAATTGCCTTTTAGTTATGGAAAAACACACAGGGACACATAAGTGTTGCATCTACAACCTCATTCCTTGGGTTTCTATCAAGAATAAAATGAAGAAAAAGAGGAGAGAGAACATATGAATGAGAAGAAAAAGAGGAGAGAGAACATATGAATGAGAAGAAAAAGAGGAGAGAGAACATATGAATGAGAAGAAAAAGAGGAGAGAGAACGTATGAATGAGAAGAAAAAGAGGAGAGAGAACGTATGAATGAGAAGAAAAAGAGGAGAGAGAACGTATGAATGAGAAGAAAAAGAGGAGAGAGAACGTATGAATGAGAAGAAAAAGAGGAGAGAGAACGTATGAATGAGAAGAAAAAGAGGAGAGAGAACGTATGAATGAGAAGAAAAAGAGGAGAGAGAACGTATGAATGAGAAGAAAAAGAGGAGAGAGAACGTATGAATGAGAAGAAAAAGAGGAGAGAGAACGTATGAATGAGAAGAAAAAGAGGAGAGAGAACGTATGAATGAGAAGAAAAAGAGGAGAGAGAACTTATGAATGAGAACGAGTACCTTTGCATCACACCAGAGAAGAACTCGGAGTTTAGGATGAGAAGATGAAATGTCGTGCCACCAGCCCACTGGGAAAAATCCACACAGAGCAAGTTAAAACCCTAAATACAGAAGTGCGTGGCAGAATCTGACCTCTGCAGCAGTGGCTGAAAGTCTTTCAGTCAAGAATTATTTGAGGTTTTCTGTCCCAGGTAGGAGATTCAGGGTGAAAGCACGTGCTTGTGTTATTAGATGCCCAGTTCCAGGGGAAAACCACACTGTCCACGACCCCAGCCACACAGTGCGGTTATCAAGGATCTCATCTTTCCTTCCAGCCTTGCTCTTAGGGGTCCCAGTCATTTGTATCGGTGATAATTTAATGCTTCTTCTTTTATATACTGTTCTCTAACTTATATAACCTCTTTAATAAGAAGAGCGACATCATATTTCAAATTGTAATTGAGTAGGAGAGTCTGCTGTGTCACTCAACAATGGTTACGCGAAGCAAATGGTGTTTAATCCATCACGACTTCTCTGAAATGCACTGAAAAGTTCCCACGAGAAAGGAAATGGAGCGCTGGCCCCGAAGGGGTCAGCAGGGACCCCAGGAGCAGCCGAGCAAGGAAGCCTGTTCCGGGTACACCTGTTCGGGGGGCACCTGCTTCCAGGGCACCTATCGACTCTCTCTGCAGAGCACCTGTCCCTCTTGTGCTACCTTGCCTCAGTCTCCCTTTGGGGAGCCCTACCTCTCCATACTTCCCAGGATTTGCCAATTCTCCAGGTGCGCATTGGATCCCCTGGCCGCGGTGACCAGTCCAGAGACGCGCACGCCACTCACAGATCCAGAAACGACTGGCGGCACGGCTGCTGCAGAGTGACGGGCAGTGAATCCTGGCTGCCTGGGCCGCCCTCCAGAGAGAAGAGCTGTAACACCTTGAGACCCAGCGCCATGACAACTGTGAGGCCTCAGATCCTGCTTCCAATTACATGATCCTGTAAAGTCTCTACTTTTGTCAACCAGAATGAGCTGAGTATCTGTCACTTGCAACCAAGTCAATCCGATTAGTCAAGTCAGCTGCAATTCTACACAGGTAAATTGCTGCCTGGCATCTTCTTTGAGTCTTAAGCTGATAACTGACACCCAATTTTCCATGTGGTTTCCAAACAATCTTGGCAAAAACTCTCTGTAAAAGGAATTGGCAAAATGCATCATTCTATCTTTTTCTTCCTCAAAACGGAAGGGCTAGATGGGAAACCCAGCAGGAACTCACAGACCAAGTTGAAATTCAGAATGTGGTTTCCCCTAGAAATATGCTTGTAGGTGCTGGCTATGTTCCCAGCCTGGACCACATCCAAACAAGACGTGTACGGGACATTAGAAACTACCGTTTAAAAATCACAGCGCAGGCTGCGTGCGGTGGCTCACGCATGTAATCCCTGCGCTTTGGGAGGCCGAGGCCAAGGCCGGCGGACTGCTTGGGCTCAGGAGTAGTCCCAGCTACTCAGGAGGCTGAGAAGGGATGATTGCTTCAGCCTGGGAGGCGGAGTGAGCCCAGATCGTGCCACTGCCCTCCAGCCTGGGTGACAGAAAGAGACCGTGTCCCAAAAAAGAAAAAAAAATTATAGGACGGATACTTTTATAACATTAGAAACTACAGGTGGTCTGGGAGTTCAAAACAACTGACACAAGGGCATTGTGAAATGCAACCCGATTGCGAGCTGGGAGCCATCTGAGTTTGGGTGTGGGCTTTATTTTCAGGGAAGATCTTTAGATAAGTGAAGAGTCTAGCGGGACATAAAAACGTAGTGGCCCCAAAGATGAGGAAGCACCATAGGAAGAAAGCCCCAGCCCCAAAGAAACTCCCTGAGCACACTGAGCAACTGTGCTGGCGATCAGAAGGGCTTCCCTAGACTAAGAAACCATCCAGAAGAAATGAAATAATTTAGGAAGGATATATGGTCATGGAGTTGGGAACAGGAAGAAGTAGTCCTTATCCTAATCACCACTGACAGAGCTTCATGAAAACCCTTCATTATTCTGGGCATTATAAATGAGAAAAGAAAAACTCTACCCAAACAATAATAGTTTGCCTAGGGGGCAAATCATTCCCATTACGAATCAGTCAGGTAAGTGTCTAGAGCTTTTAGAAAAAGGCAGAGGCCAGGAGCAGTAGCTCACGCCTATAATCCCAACAATTTGGGAGGGCAAGGCAGGCCAATCACTTGAGCCTGGGAATCCAAGACCAGCCTGGACAACATAGGGAGACCTCGTCTCTACAAAAAAACAAACAAAAAAAATTAGCCAGGTGTGGTGGTGCACACCTGCAGTCCCAGCTACTCAGTGGTTGAGGTGGGAGGATCACTTAAGCCCAGGAGGCCGAGGCTGCAGTGAGCCATGATTGCACCACTGCACTCGAGCCTGGGTGACAAAGTGAGACTCTGTCCAAAAAAAAGAAATAAAATGAAAAAGAAGTGATATTAACTTGTATAGGACAACCAGTGCCCTTGCTGGAAGACTTAAGCTGGATCAAAATGAAAAGATTATTTAAAAGTTTCAAATATCTTGGGGGAAAAGAGAGAACATAATGAACTTTTTTCTTATGCTAGAACTTTTCTGGTAAAGTACAGGCAGCTTAGCCAGTGTTCATTTCTTCGAATAAGCACAAATTGTGAATTAGAGAACACAGAGCAAACCATAGCATGTCAGCCCTGCATCTCGTCACCTGATAACACACGGAAACAGCAACAAGGCCGGAGAATCGGTCACCCAAGATCTCCTCGAAACAGAAGTACGTATCTGGTGCAGTAGCGGTTTCCACCACCGCCACACAGGCAGGAGGGCCGGGATATGTGTGGACCCCAAACACAGAGACCATCGCTGCCTGCCTCTCTTTGAACTTACATAAGAGTCTCAGCACTGGATCCATAACATCTAAGAAGACACAGACGAAAACAGTCTCCTTAAAAACCCCAGAATCATTGGACTAAAATAGACTTCAAGGAAAAATCTAGAATAGCTCTGACTCCAGGGAGCATAATAATCTATTATTAAACAAATATATGATTCTCCCTCTGGTTTTTAAAGATCTCCACAATGAGAATCCTACAGGGCCATGCATGGGATATCCTAGTGCTTAATCACCTACAACAGAGAGGCCTTTTCCTATTCTGAACCAACACCACTCTCGCCACCATATAAATCTAAAATCCACACCCCCCGCCAACCCAGCAAGAAGGCAGCAGCTTAAAATTCACATTGGAGCTACAGTTAAATGTATTTCACGGATACATCTTTCTATCCATAATCTGACTCCAAATTTCTTTTGAAAGCCCTAAGTGCATGAATTATAGTTCCTTCCTGGTGCTAGCAAAATGTTAATGTCTAATCAATAGTGCAGTGCAAACATAATGTGCTCATTCATTATGCTCATGATTTTAGCATAAGTATCACAAAATGGGAATATAAAATTCAAAGTACAGCACGTTTCTCTGGCTAAAATAGTAAAACATCCCTTTGACCCAACCACTCCTACTAACCATGGAAGGCCAGTGGATTGAGGCAGCCCTGCTTCTAACTGTATCTTGTGATTCGAGTTTTATAAAAGAATGAACCCACAACTAACTTAAAAGCAGAATGCCGGGCGTGTAGATGTGTGATGCTTCTCGGTGGGCATCTCACTGGTAACGTCAGAGGCAGCTCCTACTGGGAGCCATCTCCAAGCTTTCCTGGGCTCCCATTTCCCCATGGACAGGAGCAGCTAGAGTAGAGGTGGCCTCAAGGATCCCTTTCCCTTTCAATCAATAAACAGTGGAAAAAAGACAATACATGCAGAGGTAGATGTTATTTGTAGAGGGTTTACAGCCTATATAGCAAGGAATAAACCACAAGCAAAAGTAAGTATAATATAAGGAATATACTATAATTCTAGGAAGAGAGGCAGAGATAAAATGGGGCGTGAGCTCCAGGCTGGGGGAAGCAATTCCACACTGGAGAAACATGGAGAGGTTTGTGGGGAGGAAGCGGCACTCAAGCTGACCCTGACGGGGCCTGGGGATGAACCCAGGCCCAAAGTCTAGACACACAAATGCACCCCAGCCATAAAGCCAGGAGCCGTGGGAGCCACGGAGCCCAGAAGCCGCCACCAGCGTCCAAGCCCGTCATGGCAGCTGTTACCTGGGTCTCCTTGTGGCCTCTTCTCACCTTACTCAAACCCTAGAGAGGATTTAAGGTCCCAAGAAATGCCTACCTTTTCGGGAATCATTCTCTACCTCTTTTGACCCCACCCACCTTTCCTTTATTTAGACTATGTGTAAAATCACACCCCCTCCTGGACACAGCACTGTCCACTCTGCTCGGAGTCTGCTCACTGCTGCAAACGAGTTCGCTCCCATTCACTTTCTCAGAGGGGCCACATCAGCCCCAGGGGTGAAAACGGGTACTTGGGACCTGAAGAGATCTTAGATGTTATGGTGGTGTGTGACCGTCTGAGAGACCACGGCCTACAGAAAGATGCAACCTGTCTCTGCTAGTAAAATTCCATGCAGGGCGGCGATCAAGGGAAAACCTGTCTAAAAGACCCCTGAGACGGTGAGATGCAGCCTCTCGGGGGCTGTGGGTTCTGAGGGTGGCTGGGTCCCACCCCGCCATGCAGCCCCTGAGCGCCTGGCACAGAGCTGGATGTGCCGTCCGGACTGGATGAGCCAATCTGGGACCTCAGCTACCACCACCCAGCAAGTTGAGAAGCAGCAGCAAGGACAACACGACCCCAATGCGGGACCCGCTGAGGCCACCCCAGGGTGGAGATGCTGCCCAGGGGCCCAGAGCACTGACTTCAACCAGGAAGACTGGGCTGGATGAGGGAAGCTGTGGCCTGAGGTGGGGGGACCCAGGAGGAGCGCGGACTATTCCCCAGGCCGTGATGACAGAGGACCCAGGAGGGGTGCAGATCGTTCCCCAGGCCGTGAGGACGGAGGGCCCAGGAGGAGTGCAGACCATTCCCCAGGCCATGAGGATGGAGGGCCCAGGAGGAGTGCAGACCATTCCCCAGGCCATGAGGACAGAGGACCCAGGAGGAGTGCGGACCATTCCCCAGGCCGTGAGGACGGAGGGCCCAGGAGGTGTGTGGACCATTCCCCAGGCCGTGAGGACGGAGGGCCCAGGAGGGGTGCAGACTGTTCCCCAGGCCGTGAGGATGGAGGGCCCAGGAGGGGTGCGGACTGTTCCTCAGGCTGTGAGGACAGAGGACCCAGGAGGGGTGCAGACCGTTCCCCAGGCCGTGAGGACGGAGGGCCCAGTGTTCACTGAATGGCCACTTATTACACTATGACAGTGAGCTTGAGTGAAGACAACAGGGTCAGGCGGCTCAGGTACGAAAGGGCACAGCCACCTGGGTGGCGAGCAAGGGCAGTGAGCCATCCCCGAGCAGGGACCATCTGTGTGAACCCCCAGGAGAGAAACAGCCTATTGTGAACGTTATTTCTCATCAAAATGAGCTGAAAGTCACATTGCTGGAGAGTGGGAAGGCACAGTGGGCTAAGGACAGCCACTCATCACAGGAAGCCCGCTGCACAGGAGAAGCAGGTGTTTCAAAGCCCATCCCAGCAGCCCCACCGTCCAGCGAGCCCCACAAGCCCACTGGCCACACAGCTACTCAGGAAAGACCCAGGGCTAAGGCCGAACCAGGCAGCACAGCCTTTCAGCATTCCGTGATCTCACCGCTCTTTCCTTAACTTCATTAACGCACATGCTCTGAAAGTACGTATGCTCCATCCTAATGAGGGCAGCACTTCCAAGCCTGAAGACTTTAGCATAAGAGTGGGGCCCACGGGGCCTTATGCAAACCCAATCTTCCTCAGTTTCTCTTTACAAAGGAGATTCCCTACACCTGAATCCAAGGCCCTAAGGTCCACTGCTGCACTCCTCAGATGATCTCCTCACGGAGATGCTTTTCTTATTTCCTTAAACTGCTTCATTAATCCAACAAAGTTGTATTGATCATAATTATTGCTTTGCGGCTGCTTGCCACTCTGCGTGTCAACCACGGAAGGTGCACCCAGTACTCTGTGAAGTGAGAGAGAAACACGCAGGCACAACGCCTTCGGTCTAATCAACCGATCATGCAGTGGGATCTGTGAACACGCAGCGTGGTGAGAAGACCACGGATCTGGTGAGAGGTTAATATCAACAGGATTCATGAGCCAGAAACCCCAAACCAGCCATTGAAGGTGTATCAGGCTGTGGACGGTGGCAGGTGGATGGGGACCCAGGAAGGGTGGGGGGGCACAACAAGCAAGCCAAGGAGAGGAGCAGCATTTGAGGGGGCGAGGACACAGCACGGCCGGGGATTGCTGGGGGAAGTACAGACCCGGCCTTGGAGACGCAGGGCTGCCAACAGCAACCTCTTCTCAGCAAATGTCACAGCCCTGCCTGCACAACCCCACTCTCAGAAAACATATGTGCACACAGACACACACATGCACACATGCACATACACATACACACAAACACCCATGGACACACAGACACACACATGCACACATGCACATACACATACATGTACACACATGCACACGCATGTGCACACATAGACATGCACACACATATAAACATACATGTACACACACACATGCAGGTGCACAAGGTTCTCCACTGTAGATGTCAATGCAGGCATCTCATCATGTCAATCTCAACTCCCAAGGCAGCAGGACACAGGCCCCGGCCCAGCTGTGGGTTAGAGTCTCCATGCCTGGCAGATGGAGGCTGCTCCGCCATGAGAGCCAGGGCTGGGCCCCTGGTGTTGGTTACATGGTTGTGTACAACCGTCTAAACTCATTGTGCAAACAGCCCACATCTAGCTGATTCTCCTTTGCAGGCAACACCAAACAAACATCACAGAACTGCCTCACTAGGCCTCTCCAGCATTTGCCCTCTAATCTTTAAAGAAAACACAATGTCTGTACATCTTTAAAACCCTCTCAAACCACCAGGGAACACTGATGATTCTGCCGCACAAAGTCCTCACGCAGGCCTGGAGCCTGGCAGGACCCACACCTCGGGCACAGCATGACCATATCCTCAGGAGCTCCACTTGGCATGTGGCATAGACCAGATTAGAGACAGCAGACACCAAGAGAGGTAGGCATGGCTTTCTTCAGAATGTGGGCCTGTGCTGAAAGTTTTAAAAGGACATCCAGAAACATGGTTTTCTCGGTACGCTGCTTCTGTCTGGCCATCACTGCGGCTTTCATTAAAGCACTAGAAATGCGAATCCAATCACTGCAATTACAGCATTAATTCATGAGACTTAAGCCCTTTTAATAATTCAAAGTGAGGGGCCGGGAGCTGTGGCTCTCACCTATCATCCCAGCACTCTGAGAGGCCAAGGTAGGAGGACCACCTGAGCCCAGGAGCTCGCAATCAGCCTGGGCAACATAGCAAAACCCCAACTCAACAAAGAAATTAAAAATTAGCTGGATGTGGGGGCGTGCACCCATGGTCCCAGCTACTCAAGAGACGGATGTGGGAAGATGACTTGAGCCTAGGAGTTTGAGGCTGCAGTGAGCTGTGTTTGCACCACTGCACTCCAGCCTGGGTGACAGAGACCCTGTCTTTAAAAGTGAGTTCACAGTTCATATCAGCTGTTTGATAGGCATCATTTGCAAAATGCATTTTTGCAGAATATGCATTGTCATAATGTGGACGCTGTTAGGTACACAGAGCCAGCCAAAAACAAAACATGAAGTAAGCTGAATTTGCCAACTTCCAACCTTTTTTCCAACTCCCAGCAGAGCGCACATCAAACGCCTCTAATTCTCTGGTACGGCCACCTCCCACCCAGGCACCCAGGATCCTGCTGCTCCTAATTATTCAACCCCCTCCCGCCACACTCCCTCCTCTGCCCACGAGACAAGCGCAACTGTAAACAAAGCCTCTGCCAGTGAAACTGTAAGTGCCTGGGCATGACCACTCAGAAAACAGAGCTGTGACGGTGCTGACGAGGGAAGGAGCCCGAGAAAGGAGCCCAGGCTGAGCTGAAACCCAGAGAGAAGGCCTGGGGTGTCGGCCTCCCAAAGACACTCGGATTCTTAGGGAGAAAACTGGCTTCATCCAAAAGAAGTCACAGCTGGTGTGAGCATGTGGGGTGAGAGGCAGTGAGGGAGGGCACAGGACCGACAGAGTCTCTTAATCCCAACATGTGTCATACTGTCCCCAGCGACCTGAAATCCTAGGTCAGGACATGCACACACACAAAAACACTCCAAGATTCTAAGGAAAATATCAAGTGGGAAGGCTCTCAACAAGCGTTTACTTTCAGTGCCAACGGAAGCAGGCACCCGTCACCTGGCTGGCGCCGGGACACGGGGCTGCAGGTCCTGACTCAACAAGCGTTTGCTTTCAGCGCCAACGGAAGCAGGCACCCATCACCTGGCCAGCACCAGGGCACGGGGCTGCAGGTCCTGACTCAACAAGCGTTTGCTTTCAGTGCCAACAGAAGCAGGCACCCATCACCTGGCCAGCGCCGGGGCACGGGGCTGCAGGTCCTGACGCAACAAGCATTTGCTTTCAGTGCCAACGGAAGCAGGCACCCATCACCTGGCCAGCACCGGGGCACGGGGCTGCAGGTCCTGACTCAACAAGCGTTTGCTTTCAGTGCCAACAGAAGCAGGCACCCATCACCTGGCCAGCGCCGGGGCACGGGGCTGCAGGTCCTGACGCAACAAGCGTTTGCTTTCAGTGCCAACGGAAGCAGGCACCCATCACCTGGTCAGCGCCGGGGCACGGGGCTGCAGGTTCTGAATCAACAAGCGTTTGCTTTCAGTGCCAACGGAAGCAGGCACCCGTCACCTGGCCAGCACCGGGGCACGGGGCTGCAGGTCCTGACTCAACAAGCGTTTGCTTTCAGTGCCAACGGAAGCAGGCACCCCTCACCTGGCCAGCGCCGGGGCACGGGGCTGCAGGTCCTGAATCAACAAGAGTTTGCTTTCAGTGCCAATGGAAGCAGGCACCCATCACCTGGCCAGTGCCAGGGCACAGGGCTGCAGGTCCTGAGCACCACGGGGAGTGCCAGGACAGAGAACCAGCCCCTTTGCAGATCTTTCAGCTGACAGACAAGAAACTGATGCAAACAGCCTGGTGAAGATGCAACAGGGGCCTCGGGAGCAGTTAAAGTACAAAAGACTGGCCAGGCGTGGTGGCTCACGCCTGTAATCCCAGCACTTTGGGAGGCCGAGGTGGGCGTATCACGACATCAGGAGTTCGAGACCAGCCTGGCCAACATGATGAAACCCCATCTCTACTAAAAATATAAAAAATTAGCCAGGTGTGGTGGCAGGCGCCTGTAATCCCAGCTACTCAGGAGGCTGAAGCAGGAGAATTGCTTGAACCTGGGAGGCGGAGGTTGCAGTGAGCAGAGATCACACCCCTGCACTCCAGCCTGGGCAATAAGAGTGAAACTCCATCTCAAAAAAATAAATAAAATAAAATAAAACAAAACACAAAAGACTGACACCAGCAAGTGCTGATGAGGACCCGGAGAGCCAGGAGCTCCCAGCCCTGCCTGGTGGGAGTATGAGGCAGTGCAGCCATCAATGAGGGCTGTGTGCCAAGTTCTCCAAAAGTTACAACATCTCACATTGACATCTATGGCCAGCAGTTCCTCTCCTAGCATTTACCCAAGAGAAATGAAAACAAATGTCTATGGAAAGACTTCAACAGAAATAGTCATAGCAGCCTCATTCACAACAGCCTCAAATTCCCAACAGCCAGGAGTCCATCCAGAGAATGGAAAGGCGAAATGTGGCACATTCTTCAGCAGAAGATTGATCATCAACAATAGGAAAGAAACTATTGATACATGCACCAACATGAATAAATCTCAAAAACGCTACATTGAGTGAAATAAGCAAAGTCAAAAAAATACATACTCTATGAATCCATTTTTTTAAGAGTAGGAAAAATATTCTACAGTGATAGAAGCAGCAAGTGAGAGCCCCTGGGGACGGTGGGTGGGCGATCTTCCAGGAACGGGCACACAGGACTTTCGGAGATGACGGGACGTCTTCTTCTTGGGTGGTGACTACAGGGTCGTGTTCAATTGTCAAAACTCATGGAACTCACTTAATACCTGTTCATTTTATTGCATAAAAGTTACTCCTTAATAAAAGTTTAAAAAACAAGAAAGTAATATTGACTCTGCCAATGGAAATACATTTTAAGTACAAGATACTATCTGCAAACAGGGTTAAAAGTTTGCAAGTTGGGGAAGGCTTGTCGTTTGATCCTATGCAAAAGTGATCCTTGACTTGTGTTTTGAAAGATAAGTAGGTGTTTGCTGAGCAAAAAGGGTGGGGTGAAGGGGGCTGCACTAAGGGAAAGGAAGGTGGCCCCAGGAGGCTGGAACACAGAAGCCACCTGGCTGTCATGGTGCCAGTGGAGATGTAGCTGCAGAAACAGCTGGCATGTTATAGTGCGGGCATGGGGCCATGAAGGCGTCATACACCACAAAGTCACAACTACACACTAGAGGTCCAGCCAGCAGGGGAGTTTAAATAGGGAAGCAGCACAGCAGGCTTGTGTGTCTGAAAAAGCATTCCAGCAGGGACAGGAGGGACGCACTGCTAGGCTCTGAGGCTGCAGAGGAGGAATCCACTCAGACCAAGGAAGGCCAGTAAGCACCTGAGCAAAGGGAGTGGCATGGGGAGGAGAGGCAGGGAGAGAACAGAGCAGGCCACACCCTCTGCCCCTCCCCACCCAAACCTCCAGATGTTACCAAGATTTTACAGAACAGCATCAAACATCAGGAAAGCATCCAGGCAGTCGCAGGGAAATCCTGAGGGTACCGTGAAAGGCAGAAGTCAGTTCGGAGTCTCGGAGGGGCCGTGACAGAAGAATTCTCCCAGGAGCGAGTGGCCAGATGACAAGCTCAGAGCAGGGACACAAAGTCCAAGCGGGATCCCGGGACCAGAGTCAGCTCATCACCGGGGAGCCCGGTCGTGAATTCACCTGCTTGCTAAACTCTACCTGGAACCCCCAAAGCTGTGCTCACACTGGACACCTGTTCTCACTGGACACCTGCTCTCACTGGACGCCTGCTCTCACTGGACAGCTGCTCTCACTGGACAGCTGCTCTCACTGGACGCCTGCTCTCACTGGACGCCTGCTCTCACTGGACAGCTGCTCTCACTGGACGCCTGCTCTCACTGGATGCCTGCTCTCACTGGACGCCTGCTCTCACTGGACAGCTGCTCTCACTGGACGCCTGCTCTCACTGGACGCCTGCTCTCACTGGACGCCTGCTCTCACTGGACGCCTGTTCTCACTGGACAGCTGCTCTCACTGGACGCCTGCTCTCACTGGACGCCTGCTCTCACTGGACGCCTGCTCTCACCGGACAGCTGCTCTCACCGGACGCCTGCTCTCACCGGACGCCTGTTCTCACCGGACGCCTGCTCTCACTGGACGCCTGCTCTCACTGGACGCCTGTTCTCACTGGACGCCTGCTCTCACTGGACGCCTGCTCTCACTGGACGCCTGCTCTCACTGGACGCCTGTTCTCACTGGACACCTGCTCTCACTGGACGCCTGCTCTCACTGGACGCCTGCTCTCACTGGACACCTGCTCCATGACGGACCTGTGAGTCTCCGATGCACAATTTTCCACTGCAGTTGAAAGGGCAACATGCGGCCTTATGTCAGTGCACACTGCACACATCTGTCCTTTGCATGCTTTATTTGGTCCAGATTTGGTGCATTTTCATGCTTTTTGTGGGTGATTTCACTGTTTAAAATGGCCCCAAGCTTGGTGCTGAGGTGCTGTCTAGACAGTCTAAGTGCAAGGCTGTGACATGCCCTACAGAGAAAACACGTGTTAGAGAAGCTTCGCCCAAGCTCGAGCCATGGGCTGTCAGCTCTGAGTTCAGCACTGATGAGTCAGCAGTAGATATTAAATCAGGTGTCTAAGCAGAAACACAAATAAAACAAGGTTATGCACTGATTGATTGACAAAATTGCCCTGGCTAGAGGCTTGCAGGAACCTGTGTTTCTTCAGGAGCAAGGGTTCAGTGTTCACGGTGACTTCACAGAACGTAACTGCTGTTAATAACGAAAACCCACTGGAGCCAGATGGTTACTTGAGAAAATGCAGTCAGGTATCTAAACAGTGTTCTGTGGTCCGTATGCCAAGTCACTGGCAATATTAACTTTTCTCTCCCAAACTAAATGGAGGACCTCAAAACAGGGAAGTCCCTATCAGGTAAGGTCACCTGGAGGGATGGACAAGCCACACGCATAACACAAATGGCAGCTCATCCCAACCTCACTCACGCCACCAGGGACCCCGTCCTGCAGCTAGAAATACCCGCCACCCACAGGCCAGCAAACAGTTCATCCCAACCTCACTCAGGTCACCAGGGACCCCATCCTGCAGCTAGAAACACCGTTCACCCACAGGCCAGCTGTTGGGAGCAGGCCCCCAAAAATCTGGCCATAAACTGGCCCCAAAACTGGCCATAAACAAAATCTCTACAGCACTGTAACATATTCATAATGGCCCTAATGCCCAAGCTGGAAGGTTGTGGGTTTACAGGAATGCGGGCAAGGAACACCTGGCCTGCCCAGGGTAGAAAACCACTTAAAGGCATTCCTAAGCCACAAACAATAACATGAGTGATCTGTGCTTTAAAGACATGCTCCTGCTGCAGTTAACTAGCCCAACCTATTCCTTTAATTCAGCCCACCCCTTCATTTCTCATAAGGGAGACTTTTAGTTAATATCTATAGAAACAATGCTAATGACTGGTTTGCTGTTAATAAATATGCAGGTAAATCTCTGTTTGGGGCTCTCAGCTCTGAAGGCTGTGAGAACCCTGATTTCCCACCTCACACCTCTATATTTCTGTGTGTGTGTCTTTAATTCCTCTAGCACCACTGGGTTAGGGTCTCCCCGACCGAGCTGGTCTCAACAGCCAGCAAACAGCTCATCCCGACCTCACTCACACCACCAGGGACCCCATTCTGCAGCTAGAAACACGCCCCACCCACAGGCCAGCAAACAGCTCATCCCAACCTCACTCATATGGTTGTAATAGATGTAGTTTATCTAATCTACAACACCACAAGGGACCCTGTCCTGCAGCTAGAAACACTCCCTACGCACAGGCCGGCAAACAGCTCATCCCAACCTCACTCACGCCACCAGGGACCCCATCCTGCAGCTAGAAACACCCCCCACCCACAGGCCAAAAGGATTTCAGAGACAAAGACAAGCAGATGCCTGGAGTCGTATGGCAGGCGAAGAAAACCCACAATAGAGGGAGAGCCCCCAGCTCAGCCAGCAGGAAACAAAGCTGAGAAGCCGTAACAGGTTAAACCAGCATGGCCACAGGAAGTGCAAGGAAGATGTTGTCCTTGGTTCTGTAAAACAAAATAATAGAGGTGTTGGAAATCAAAAATACATCCAACATGATGAAGCAGAAAACAGCCTGGGCACACAGGAGAACACAGAAGAGAAAGTCTGTGAGCTGTGGACTCCGTCAGGGAAATCTATAAGGAAATTGCACAAAATGCAAAGATTAGACAAATTCACATGTCCAGAGATGTGAAGAACAAGTCCAGGAAGTCTCAGAAGAGGAGTTTCAGAGGAGAAGGAGTAAAAGAAAGAAATAATAGAAGAAAAATTTCCAAAACTGAAGGAAGAGAAGCCACCAGATCTTGAAAGAGCCATAAAGACCCAGCAGCGTGGTGCGGGGAAGCCAAGCAAACCAGCCCAGACTATGGCAGCCCAAGGAGAGCACAGCTCTGTGAAATTCCACAGCAAAATGGGTAAAATCATCAGGGCGAGGGGAGGAGGAAAGAGATTTATTGACAAAGAAAGACAACAGGATTAGAATTAGACTTTTCACTAACCATACTGACTGGTAGAAGGCAGCGGTTTTAAAGGAAAATCATTTTGAATTGAGATTCCAATGCTCCGTAAAATTAGATTTTATGTGGGAATAAACATATTTTTAGACATTCAAGGATTCTAAGAGCTTTCCCACCCACAGATGTGAACAAAGAGACTCTCTAGAAGATAGACATCAGCCAAATGAAAAGCGAATAAAAATTAACAAGGAAGGCATGGGAGAAGAGCCAGCGGCAAGAAGAAAGGAGGGCTGATAGTAAAATACAGCTAAGGGAAATGACTGCTGATGCGTAACAAAGTCAACTAATAATCTTCTGAAACTAAAGCTCACATCATCTCAGCATGGGGAAGGGTGGGGAAGACAACTCCTTGTTGTTAAGGTAAAAGGTGCTGATAGAAAAGCACAATAGAAATGCGTGGGAAGTGAAAACACACTCAGCCCCATAAACAAAAATGAGAAAACTTTCAATAAATAGAAGCAAGTAGAATCCAACACTGTATTAAAATAATACATAACTACACAATGAAAAGATGGTTCAGTATTAAAACGGTTATTATTTCATTCAAAACTTACAAAATGGGGGAACTCCTATCAGACAGATACCAAATAAGCATTTGATAAAACCTAACACCATTCCTATTTTTATAAATAACTTTCTAACTAAGATCAATCCATTTTTATTCTGACACAGAGATACAAACAATGTTGGTATTGTGTTGCATTTTCTGAGCGAATGAACCTTCTACTTCACGTTCCTGTAAAATACGATTAAGGGGAAACTTCTTTAATTTGATAAAAGGTAATTTACCTTAACTCTGACAAACATTCATGCAATGATGAAACATTAGAACCGTTTTTATTATGGTGAAACATGAAAGGACATCCAGGATCAATTTTAGTATTCAGCACTGTGCTATAAGTCCTAAAATGTGAAATAAGACAAAAACTAGGAGTATAAATATTAGGAAGGGAAAAATAAAATTAGCACTTACTCATAATTTATCCACTTAGAAAATCCTGGGTTGTCATTTGACAACCAATTAGAAATCCTTCAGTAAGAAAAATAATACAATGCCACGATTTTAAAATGGGCAAAGAATATGGAAAGGTGATTTATGAAATAATAAGTGGTGATTACATAAATATTAATATCTAATAAAATTATGTCAGCTTGTTCAGCCTCTCTAGAACTCTTGGAATTTAATTAAAACCATATTATAATCATTCTTCATCAAAGTAGAAAACATGAAAGGCTGATAAAATTCACATTGGTAAATGCAGTGTCTATCAACATCGTACAGGTACATCCAGCAACTCAGCAAATCCAACTACTTGCTTAACGCAGTGACAGCTGCACCGTGATTATGTAACAGACATCCCCATTCTTAGGAAACACATGCGACGTCGTTAGGGGTTAACTCCAATGGGGTGTGCAACTTACTGTCTTATGGCTCAGAAAACAGTGCATGTGTGTGGAGAGGGAACAGGAGAGCGAGCGTGCGTGAGCTCAAGCAACAAGAAAACACCAGCAAAAGTGAATAAGGGGGAGGCATAACGGGTTCTCTCTGCTGTGCTTTTCTTGAAGTCTTCCTGAAGTGTGAAATTACTCCCAAATAAAAAAGTTTTTTAAAGGAATTTTAAAATTAATCAACTTTATGTGCATATATCAAAACAAAGATTTGGCATATTACATCAAAAAAATTCACAGCACACGGTGCACATCATAATTATTTATGTTAGAATCGAAATGTGGGCATTTAAATGTATAGTCATATTATACAGTATGCTTTGTTTCATATACACCTATTGAGACACCAGAGACTTATTAGATCCAGTTACAAGTGGGGAGGATAGGAATTTGAAGGGTGAAAAGAAATTCAGTATTCAACTCTGAATATCTACAATATTTTTTAGAACATTTAAAAACATATCCCTGTTTAAATTGTTTTCTCCTGATAACACTGGGGCATGGAGGAGGGAAGATGAGAACCCGGAACAGCCTGGGCTTCTCTGTGGAGGGAGCCACTGGCAGTGACACAATTCCCAGAAATGGGAAGTGAGGTTCATTCACTCAGAAAACATGGTGGAACCCCACTGGTAATCAAATATCTGTGGCAGGATTAGGGCTGATTATTAATTTATTCCTTTTACTTTCTAAAGCTTTCCAAATTTTCTGCAATGTGCTTGCATTATTTTTAAAATTCGGGGAAAAATTAAGCAAATAAGAAAAACAATTACAAATCCAATTTTCACAATGACAAAGAATGACTCAAAAATGCATGTTGGTCCGGGCGTGGTGGCTCATGCCTGTGATCCCTGCACTTTGGGAGGCTGAGGCGGGTGCATCATTTGAAGTCAGGGGTTCTAGACCACCTTGGGCAACATGGTGAAACCTCATCTCTACAAAGCACAAAATTAGTCAGGCATGGTGGCGTGCACCTGTAGTCCCAGCTACTCAGGAGGCTGAGGCAGGAGGATCACTTGAGCCCAGGAGTTCGAGGTTGCAGTGAGTTATGATCACACCACTGTACTCCAGCCTGGGCAACAGAAAGAAACCCTGTTTCAAAAACACACACACAAAAAAAATCTTTTCACATGAAGGTGAAAATGAGAAATAGCCGATGGATTTATCTCCCCTAAAATGAAAGAGAGAAACCAGGAAATGAAATACGGAGTTCTTGTCAGCATAGACCAAATATTATTAAATATTATTTTACTGAAATACAAAGTCCATTCAGATTTTACACTGGGACCAGGAAACATCTACCAGCTAAGCCAACTACTCACACCTTTCTCCAGGTTTCTCTCCCCATGCTGGTCTTGCTACATTCTGATCTCTATGCTAAGCATTTATAAGGTAACTCCTATAGATGAAAACCACAGCAAAGTATGAGAAATACATTTTCTCACACTTGCGGCCAGAAAATGGGAAACAAACTTGAGATACATAGACCCAACAAATATCTTTTCATTTTGGTTACGTCATCTCCAAGCATCTCTTACAGCTTCACCTGTCTCTGCACCCTGCACAGCCCAGGCAAACCCTTCTATTATTTCCCTTGAAATGCATGGTGCTTGTCCAGCCTCTACAACATCCCCTGCCTCAAGCCTCCTTTACCCCTTTTCTGTTCCTGTCAAAATCCTCCTCATTCTCCAAATCCCTGATGAGATCCAAACTCCTCCCCTGTGAGCTTCCAAGGTGACCTTTTCTCCTCAAATTCTTACTTTCTCCACTGGCTCTGGCTCTGGGGAGTGTAGAACAGGAGCCAAGATGTATTTCACACGCACTGCACTGACGTCGTCCGTCCCATGACTGAATTACCACTGCCATCCTGGGAGGCGGCATCATCTCCCCACTTTCCACAGGACAAAACAGAGATCAGAAACCTTAAGCACAGTGGGTCAGGGGTGCAGCTAAGATTCTGACTTCCTGGCTTCATGTCTCCAGCTGCTTTGATCATTACACAGGGCAATACCACTTGTCCAGGTCCACACTAACCTGAGAGAGAGAAACAATCCTCTTTCACAGGCCAGGTCTCTAAACTGCATTGCCGGCTTTGCCAAGCAGGGCCTGTGTTTGATTTAACTTTGGGTACAGCAGACGCCGTCCAAAGGACTGGAATGCATTGGAGTTACAGTAAGTGTCTGCTGACAGTGTGATAGCTTCCACTTTGGGGGCTATCTAGAATATATACTAGTATGTTACCCAAAAAGAATAAGAATTACCTAACTGAAAATTTAAGTAGCCATCATCCAGAGTCAGTTTTCTGCAAAAGACAATTCATATGGTTTGGCTCTGTGTCTCCACCCAAATCTCACGTCAAATTGTGATCCCCAGTGTCGGAAGAGGGGCCTGGTGGGGGGTAACTGGATCACAGGGGTGGATTTCCCCTTGCTGTTCTTGTGATAGTGAGTGAGTTCTCAGAAGAGCTGGTAGTTTAAAAGTGTGTAGCACCTCCCCCTTCACTCTCTTCCTCCTGCTCCGGCCATGCGGGATATGCCTACTTCCCCTTCGCCTTCCGCCATGGTTGTAAGTTTCCTGAGGCCTCCCAGCCATGCTTCCCGCAAATCCTGAGGAACCGTGAGCCAATTAAACCTCCTTTCTTCATAAATTGCCCAGTTTCACCTATTTCTTTATAGCAGAGTGAGAAAGAACTAATACAACATGGTAACGGGAACAGAAGGACAAGCTCTAGACAGGGAGAAAATATTTGCAAATCACACCTCTGACTGTGTTTTGTGTCCAAAGTACATAAAGAACTCTCGAAACTCAACAGGAAGAAAAGCATGTTTTTAAAAACCGGCAAAACCTTGAACAGTCACTTCCCCACAGAAGAGAGACGGGTGGCAAATAGGGTTCCTGCTGGCTCTGGTGTTGACGGTTGAGGGCACAGGAACCATCTGTGCTTCCCACTTGAGGCTAAAGGTGTCTCACCAGGAAAACGCTGCATCACCAGCAGTGGAAGCATAACAAAAGCCCATGGGAAAAAGTCACAAAGATGCATTAACCTTTCGATAAAGTAGAACAGAACCCACCACGACCCAGTGAAAATAAGTGACTTCTGCTGTATTTCTTTGCTATCAGTATCACCCCACTTCTTAAAAGAAATCTGATTAAAACACTGCCCCCAGGAAGGAGGACAGAACAGCACTGACTTCTGCCCGCTCTGGGCTTCTTCTCGCAAAACCAAACTTCACTTTTTTCCAAGCTGAGATACTTCACCTTAAGAAAAAATATTTATGTTATCAAAGGTGTAGGTTATTTGTAAATGGCTACTATCTTATCTAAGGGTAAAATATAATCACAAGCTCCCTGGACACTACCTGGGATGGTGCCAAACTTGCAGGGAAGCCCCAAAGGCTGAGGCTTCTGCTGACCAGACCACGTGGACACAGACGCCAAGGCCTCAACTAGACCACGTGGACACGGATGCCAAGGCCACAACCAGAGCATGTGGACACAGATGCCGAGGCCTCGACCAGACCATGTGAACACAGATGCCAAGGCCTCGACTGAATGCTGCTATCTCGACCAGACCACATGGGTATGGATATCGATGCCCCAGAAACAGCCATTTGGCTACAGAATAACAACAGGACGCTGTGTGAGAAAATACAGGATCAGATTCATGATTTGGGAGCGACGTACCAGCTTCATCCTTCACCCATCTTCTACCACACTTCATCACCAAACAGCATGCTTGTCATGACACAGGATCTCCTGGTGGGGGGAGACCCAACATAGCTGCCATGGGAGGGATCCAGTGCCATCGCTGTGCCTTTGCAAGGGCAGACCCCTGTGGCCACCATGCTGCTGTCCTACTGCCTAGAATCCTGAGCCACAGAGCATCCTGGCTTGGAGGTGGACAGGGACGCCAGACCTGGAATGCCACCATACGTGAGCAAGGTGGTTTTAATCAATTTGGTGAAAATTAGAGGAACAGCCTCTCGTCACCCCTCATCCCTCACCTCACAGCAGCCCCAAGTGCTGAGCGAGCCCAAACCCAGGCCTCAAGCCCCAACAGCACCACCAGTGTAGAGGCACTGTGCAAATACACTCCAGGAAGATGAACTTTTGGGTGTGACCATTCCGATGTAGGCTGAGACAGCCCCCAGGGTGATCTGGGATGCTGAGAAAGCCATTTGGCAAGGGGGCCCGGAGCAAGACAAGGCCAAGGGGGGAAGAGGCCACCGGCTGGTGGAACCTGACTCCGGGCGCTGCCAGCTTCCACCCAACACTGCTGACCTCACCAAGTAAGGCTGCAGGGGAGACAGAGCAGCATGGGCCAGTGCCCCCTGCACATCCTGAGTGGTCCATGGAATGACCCCATCACAGGACCATCCTTCCTTCAAAACAGGCACAGGCGTGGAGAAGGGCGCTCTCTTTGGAGAAGCGGAGAGAAGTTAGAAGATATTTTTTAGAGGCCACCCTTCCTCGGCTTGCAACGAGCATGGCTAACCAGGGGTATATGATTGCTACAACATGGGAAGGAGGGTCCTCAGCATCACAGAACGTCAGTATCACCATCGACAGGCAAATGTGAGAGAACAGACGCGTCAGGCTCTGCCATAGTTACTAACGTTCGAACACGAGCGATTGAGACAGGAAAGACATACAGCAGTCTTCAAAGGAAGGACCAGCTGAGGCTGGGTGAAGATTCATCAAGTTGGATAAATGAATGAGGGGTAGGGAGGTTTGCTAAGTGAAGGAAAATTGAATAAAGCATCGTCAGTTTACCTAGAATAATATTCCAAGTTCTGTGGCTTCTTTAATAACAAAACTAAATGAAGAAAGGAAAGCCAAAAGAAAAAGAAAGAGAAAGGTCTTGTTCCTGGTTAGAATCTGACAGGACCAAACCTGCCTTCTGCCTTCACCTGAAAGAGCTCAAAGGACAGAAGTGTTTTGAGGCATCTCATCTTAGAGGTTCTAGGTGAGCTGAAGGCTCTTTCAAATCACCAGGTAACCCCTCCAAGAAGCCACGTTCACAGGTCTCACTGAGACGCTGTTAAAAAAAAAAAACGGAAGACAAGGTTCATGATGCTTCCAACTCATACCATTTGTAAAAGTTTAAATGGTGCAGGCATCACTCGGAGGCAGTTGCTAACAGGGAAACTCTCCCTTCTCAGCCACCCCACCCCTCCCAGCCAGCAGCGAGGCCCCTCCCCGGAGGTCTCTGCAGGCACCACCGAGGCAGCGCCCGTCTCTCCCGAAGAGCCGCTGGTTCCTGGGTCTCTGAGGGAACTGTGCGTAGTGCGCTCAGGGCCACTCACCTCTCTGTGGCCGCGCAGTGCCTTTGTGTACAGCAAGGCTGCTTCAAGCTTTTTACACTTATGTGGGGGTGGGAAGAAAACGCTTTCAAAACTTGCTGCCGTTTCTAAGTTCTCTGCTGGCCCTTCCCTCTCGGTCATTCTTTTGAGAATCGACGAAAATGGTGGCTGTCCCCGGAAGATGCAGGCATGAGAAGCACCACGCCAGTGTCTCGGCCGCGAGAAGTGGGAGCCCGGACCATGGCTCCTGGTGACCTCCGGGACCCAGCTCCATGGACCAACTGCACCCTCTCTGCAGGCTTTCGGAGGCGCCCCACACACCACTGGGCCCCATGAGCTACTGAGGAAACTGATGAGCCAGAGGCCGAGACTGAAGAGGGGCAAGGACGCCTGCCAGGACGGGCTTTTCCTGCCCCTGCGCCGGCCCAGCTGAGCTAAGCTCAGGCATGGGTGTTTCGCAAAGGGGCTTTGGTCCCGGTTACGGAGGCGGCGGGCAGCGAGCTCTGGTCTGGGCATTCCTGACGAAGCTCTCTGCAGAAAAGGCTCACAGCCCTCGGTGACGGTGACACATCACACCTCCACGGGGTACGTGATATCGCCTGGTGCTCCCGTTCCCTCATTCATTCATTCGGTCTCTGCAGCACCCGGGAGGGGCCCGGCAGGAGCCTGTACAGCGGGTGAGGGAGGAGGGAGGCCGGTCTCAGAGGGGCCTGAGGGGAGGAGGGAGGCCGGTCTCAGAGGAGCCTGAGGGGAGGAGGGAGGCCGGTCTCAGAGGGGCCTGAGGGGAGGAGGGAGGCCGGTCTCAGAGGGGCCTGAGGGGAGGAGGGAGGCCGGTCTCAGAGGGGCCTGAGGGGAGGAGGGAAGCCGGTCTCAGAGGGGCCTGAGGGGAGGAGGGAGGCCGGTCTCAGAGGGGCCTGAGGGGAGGAGGGAGGCCGGTCTCAGAGGGGTCTGAGGGGAGGAGGGAGGCCGGTCTCAGAGGGGCCTGAGGGGAGGGAGGCCGGTCTCAGAGAGACCTGAGGGGAGGAGGGAAGCCGGTCTCAGAAAGGCCTGAGGGGAGGAGGGAAGCTGGTCTCACAGGGGCTGAGGGGAGGAGGGAGGCCGGTCTCAGAGAGACCTGAGGGGAGGAGAGAAGCCGGTCTCAGAGAGACCTGAGGGGAGGAGAGAAGCCGGTCTCAGAGGGGCATGAGGTGCAGGGGCCCGGCCTGCCTCATGAGAGCTCCGCTTTCAGCCTGAGCCACATGGGAATCGCCCAGAGCTTTGGCTCAAGCATGGCAGGATCCGGCGCATCTGAAGTGTCAGGACGTGCCTTTTTTTTTTTTTTTTTTTTTTTTTTTTTTTGAGGCGGAGTCTCGCTCTGTCGCCCAGGCCAGGCCAAAATGCAGTGGCACGATCTCTGCTCACTGCAAACTCCGCCTCCCAGGTTCACCCCATTCTCCTGCCTCAGCCTCCCTAGTAGCTGGGACTACAGGCGCCTGCCACCACACCCGGCTAATGTTTTGTATTGTTTTGTATTTTTAGTAGAGAGGGGGTTTCACCATGTTAGCCAGGATGGTCTCGATCTCCTGACCTTGTGATCCGCCTGCCTCGGCCTCCCAAAGTGCTGGGATTACAGGCGTGAGCCACCGTGCCCAGCCAGGACGTGCCCTTTTTTTAGTGGCTGTAAAATAAGAAACTTTCTTCTCACACCTCCTGAGGTCAAGTTTACAAACTAGAAAAAGAACACTATAAAGATGCGGCTTATTGTACCTTTCCCATGTTAATTATGACACTGGGTCTTTTTCAAAAGGTGTACAGATGGCACTGGTCTTCACAGGCATGGGCCCGTGTGGTCTTTCCCGGATTTAGGAACACTGTATGGGGTCCACAGTCACACGTTCAGGTCCACATCTTAAATTCCTCCCCATGGAAAAGATCTTGATAGGGTACATTTGACATTCTGAGATAAAACTGTTATATCACCCTTTTAAACATATCAACTGTAATCTAACTAAATACCACAATCCACCATATCAACTTGATACCAGCCATTATCCATTCAAAGCACATATGAACACGTTAGTATTAAATGGCCTAAAATATTACAGTATTCATTTTTGTCCTTAAATTCTTATTTCCATTCCATCTCCTCCTACAGAACCATATCCTACTGTAACATATATTTAAGCTTAAAAGACGTTTTCCTCTCTTTTTCTGTCTATACCCACATGAACACACATTTCATGTGTATGCATATAAAAGCCAAAATACATTTTTAAATTTTCTGTGAGAAAGATTCTAGATGATAAAACTGTCTTCTTGACTAAACTATTGTTAGTTTTATAGGTGACCCTAAAATATAATTATAAATTTTGATGAACACTAAATATTACCATTAAAACTGAATTGGAAATACATCTCTTAATGAGATTTTTCCCAATTCACTAATATATTCATGGATAAATATTACTTTTTAGTGAAAGAAAGCTGGGTTCAGTGTCAATGACTTTTTTAATAGCTGTAAGATGCAAAACTTAGATTGCATTAATACCTGGATGGAACATAAGTGTGTTATTCTGGCGATGGCCCTCAAGCCTTGGAACTCCTTCAGAAATCACTGAGCACTTACCATTAACAATTACTCCTAAGAATTAGCCGATAACGCTATGATATCCTCTTTTAATTATGTTGAAAGCAAGAAATGGGAAACTAAAAATAAGTTTCGCCCATTGATTAGAGTCACTAACTTCACCAGCAGTGAGACAGATACCCCAAACTCTCCATTGTTCTGACACCCAAGGGCAACACTCCCTGCAAGATTCCGGATGTGGTGGGAGGGTACACCTTTTCCCTCTTTCATAAGAGGGGGAAGGGTGAGTTTGAGAACACAGTAGGCAAAGACGCAGAAGCATCACTCAGACACTTTCTCAGATTAGCAGACTGTAGGGAAAGGCACCCGTAAACCCTAAGATAAGAAATCAACTTCCTTAAAACCATCTCATATCACAGCCCCTATAAGAAACCTGATGTGCCACTGAACGGTGAGCACCATATTGTGAAGTCTGCTGTGCTAAGGTGAGGTCACAAAACAACATCCTTTTCACATCCAAATGCCCAGAAAACTATCTGTCTTTTGCACCTAGTGCAAACAGTCACAAGTGATACTTTCCCGTGTATGTAATATCATGAGATTCCTTTAAACCTGTAAAAACAAAAGACCAGAACCAAGACAGAAGAAAGAAATGTTACCATGCATTTTAATTTCCTTAACCTCCTTCTCTCCCTTAAACAAGTTTCCAAGGGAACAGAGTGCAGGCAAACCATTCTCTGTAGTATTTCTGAGCAATGAAGAGTGTTTGATTCTTACATTCCTCCTAAGCAGCGCAAAAAAGACACATGTATTAATATCTGGGATACTTCTTGAGGTAAGAAAGTTTTACAGTAGGAAAGGTTACAGACCTTGTGTTGGTCACATTATCTGTCATTGTGAGATGATGTCCTAGAAAAGGCAGAATCTTTGTTGTAACTTTAGTCAATTGCATCAGCTTTATGTTATCATGCGGTCATGCGGTCACTGGTTAATCTCACGAAGTGCTGCAGACACAGCCGTCCATCCTAATCCAGCTTTCCCGGGTCAGTCAGCACAGCCACGCACTGTTTCTGAGCCCTAACAGAGTATTGTGATTTGGGGGTTGGTTCTTCTTCTGTCACCTGACAACTGAGGACACAGCAGACGCGGAAGAGGGCCAACAGGGAGACGAGGTCTCAGTGAGTGGTATTTCTGCTTTTCAAGGCATTCTGAGGTAGGAATGGGATTGGCAGACAACAAACCCTCATGAATTAACTAGTTGTAAAGAAAGAGTGCAAAAGGGATGAGTAGAGAAAAACAGGTGATAAAATCAGTGTTCAGGGGTGGGGGCCCTCAACTGCCTTGACACATAAACTCTGCCTTCAGGTCTCTTCACATTGATTTGAATCTGCCATAGCAATAATTTAACCCCCATTTGCTTTTCAATTCTTACTATTTTGTCAATAATTAACATATTTCATCAAATATTGACATGTAGAGATTGGCAAATAATTGAGGATGGCTAAACTTAAAATACTGATCCACATGAAATGGCATGGAATATCTAACATTATAATATTTAGGTATTCATAATTGATGGCCTAGTGAGAGAGTATGTATTAATATAATATGTCATCAATTCCAGAGACAGTCTTAAGTTTTACATGATTTTTTTAAAAAAATCAAGCTAAAATTCTATCAAGATACTACCAGTTATTAGAGGTTATCTATGGAATTCTAATGAGTAGGACAATCCCCTCTCTTCTGTTTTTTTTTTAATTTTTTTTAAAGCTCTAACTTTTATACCTTTTTATTGAAACATAATAAATGTGCATATCTGGGAGGTGCACACAATAATTTGTTACATTCATATAATAAAATCAGGATAACTGGGATATCTTTCACCTCATTCATCTTTTCTTTATGCTAGAAACATTCAAATTTTTCTCTTCCAGGTATTTTGAAATGTACAATCAATTAATGTTAATGGTAGTCATCCTGCTGGTTGATTGAACACCAGGTTTTCTCTTTCCTTTTAACTGTACATTTCTACCCATTAATCAGCCTCTCTCCATCCCCCCAGCTCCCAGTTTTGAATAGCAGTGGTATTATCCTATCTCCTAAATGCACTCAACTTCTCCTTTTTCACAAAAGAAACAAAAAATTATAGCACAAACATTAGGTTATATAATTGTTGTTGCAAAAAAACTCTAACAAACCTATGTCAGGAAATGAAGTTGTAGTTCCCATAGCAACAATGACATGGGCCCTTAGACAAATTTTTCATGTGCTTTGTGTGACTCTAAGAAGTAAGTTCGTTCTTTAACAAGTCATTTAAATGTTCAGCCAAATCACCGTGTCACAACGAACTTCTTTGTCCTCTTGTGTTAATGGGCTCAGCGCTCCCCACCACCCCTGTAATCTGCAGTCATTCATAGGTTTAATGCGGTACTTGGGCAACACCCCACTTTTGAGAGGGCTGTCACACTAAAAGTTAATTACAGCAGTTAATCACAGTTGTAGCAAGTCTCAAAATGCTTTCATATTTGCATTCAGGTTTGCATTTTAAGCAATTAAAATAGCAACAAAAAAAAAATCCCTGAGGTCTTATCGATTATTTTCTGTGATGTTCCTAACCCTTCCATGAATAGCTTTAGGAATCAAACCTCATTATTAAGAAGTTCAAGAAATAGTAAGAAAAAACTTAACGTCATTTAAATAATAGAGAAAACATAAGCAAAAATTTTCAACACAAAGTTTTAACATCTGATGATGCTTATAAATTTGGCACTATCAGGTATACCATCCCGAGCAATATAGTCCTTACTAACAATAAGTATGAAGTTTTAATACAAAAAAAGACTACAAATTCTTAACAGATGCACGACTTACTCTTAAGGGAATAAAGATCAGTCAATAATAAAAACCAAAAAAAGGGGTTATCTATACATATTTTCATGCCTGGGCTGAAACAAAGCTACAAAATGCATTGAAAATCATAAGGTACTATACAACCTCATGGAGAGAAATGTAATTCATTGCCAGATGCTAGTTCCCTTGCACAAAACCCTAGCACAAGCAAATATATCTTGGTATACTTTTTTGATGTCCTCAATAATTGCTACTCTGGTACAGGGGGATTCCTTTGGATCCTTGGAAAAGGAATAAAAAGGGGGTGTGGGGAAGGCGGAAGGACCAAACCTGGCCACAGGGCACCAGCCTTTGGTGAGGCGGCAGGAACAGGTTTGGACATCTGCCAGACACGGCGACTCTGGTTAATGACAATGTGCTGTGAGTTTCCAAATTGCCACAAGAGCCTCCTGCCCTGCAGACTGAGCTAACCAGCATGTGACTAGAGCGGATATTTTCAAAAGGAGCAACGGTAAATGTGGCTGAGGATATGGGTGAAGGGGACTCACGTTCACCACTGACGGGAAGGTAAATTAGTGAAATGCTGTGGAAAACTGTGCAGAGCCTCCCTGAAAAACCAAAGTAGAGCTAGCACAAGACCCAGCAATCCCACTTCTGGGTGTGAGATCACTACGTTGAGATGTCTGTACCACTATGGTCACTGCACAGTCACTACTCACAATGGACAAGATATGGAATCAACCTACGTGTCTGTCAATGGATGAATAAGGAAAACGTGGTGTGTGCACAGTGGAATGCCAGTTGGCTTTAAAAGAAAAAGAAATCCTGTTATTAATGACAATGTGAATGAGCCTGGAAGACATTATGCTGAGTGAAAAAAGCCAGGCACATAAAGACAGATGCCTCATGATCTCACGGATATGTGGAATCTGAAAAAGTGAACCCCATGGAAACAGAGTAGAACAGTGAGGGCCAGGCTGGTAGGTGGGGTTGGCGGGGATGAGGAAAGGGCAGATGTAGGTCAAAGGGTACAAAGTTTAGACTAAGGCTTAGTGATCACTGCATTGCATGGCAAACACAGCTAATAATAATTCAAACATTTCAAAATCTCTAGAATAGAATTTTAATGTTTTCACTAAAAAGAAAAAATGGTAAGTTGGTGAGGTGACAGGTATGTCAGTTAGCTAGCTTGACTCTTTCCCCAGTGTATACATAGATCAAAACATCACACTGTACTCCATAAGTATACAGTGATTATTTGTCAATTTAAAATAAAATATAAATTTATAATTAAATTTTAAAAATAAAATATAAAAAAGGAATGCAGGCAAGACTGGAAGACTATGCAATGAACTCTGCAAATGACACAGAGAAATGTGGCCCTGCTACAGATATTCCCTGTTAGTGTCTGCTTGAGAGAAGGCAAAGATTTGGATGGCTAACAGTGGTAGAAGAAAGTTCTAGAAACCAGAAAACATTAAGTCACTACCACCTTCTCAGAAAATAATGCTATTAGGCTAGGCATGGTGGCTTATGCCTGTAATCCCCACACTTTGGGAGACTGAGGTGGGAAGATCACTTGAGCCCAGGAGGCAGACGCTGCAGTGAACTATGATGGCACCACTGCACTCCAGCCTGGGCGACAGAGCAAGACCCTGTCTGAAAAAAAAAAAAAAGAAAGAAAGAAGGGAAAAGAAAAGAAGAGAAAAGCATGCTCTGGACTGAACTGTGTTGAGCCCCCAGTGTAGGTGCATTTGGAATAAAGAAGTGATTCACAGGGGAGGAGCCAAGATGGCCGAATAGGAACAGCTCCAGTCTACAGCTCCCAGCATGAGCAAGGCAGAAGACGGGTGATTTCTGCATTTCCATCTGAGGTACCAGGTTCATCTCACTAGGGAGGGCCAGAGAGTGGGCACAGGTCAGTGGGTGCGCGCACCATGCGCGAGCCGAAGCAGGGCGAGGCATTGCCTCACTCGGGAAGCGCAAGGCGTCAGGGAGTTCCCTTTCCTAGTCAAAGAAAGGGGTGACGGACGGCACCTGGAAAATCGGGTCACTCCCACCCGCATACTGCGCTTTTCTGACGGGCTTGAAAAAAGGCACACCACAAGATTATATCCTGCACCTGGCTCAGAGGGTCCTACCCCACGGAGTCTCGCTGATTGCTAGCACAGCAGTCTGAGATCAAACTGCAAGGTGGCAGCGAGGCTGGGGGAGGGGCGCCCACCATTGCCCAGGCTTGCTTAGGTAAACAAAGCAGCCGGGAAGCTCGAACTGGGTGGAGCCCACCACAGCTCAAGGAGGCCTGCCTGCCTCTGTAGGCTCCACTTCTGGGGGCAGGGCACAAACAAACAAAAAGACAGCAGTAACCTCTGCAGACTTAAATGTCCCTGTCTGACAGCTTTGAAGAGAGCAGTGGTTCTCCCAGTACGCAGCTGGAGATCTGAGAAGGGGCAGACTGCCTCCTCAAGTGGGTGCCTGACCCCTGACCCCTGAGCAGCCTAACTGGGAGGCACCCCCCAACAGGGGTACACTGACACAGGGCAGGGTACTCCAAAAGACCTGCAGCTGAGGGTCCTGTCCGTTAGGAGGAAAACTAACAAACAGAAAGGACATCCACACTGAAAACCCATCTGTATATCACCATCATCAAAGACCAAAAGTAGATAAAACCACAAAGATGGGGAAAAAACAGAAGAGAAAAACTGGAAACTCTAAAAAGCAGAGCGCCTCTCCTCCTCCAACGGAACGCAGTTCCTCACCAGCAACGGAACAAAGCTGGACGGAGAATGACTTTGACGAGCTGAGAGAAGAAGGCTTCAGACGATCAAATTACTCTGAGCTACGAGAGGACACGCAAACCAAAGGTAAAGAAGTTGAAAACTTTGAAAAAAATTTAGAAGAATGTATAACTAGAATAACCAATACAGAGAAGTGCTTAAAGGAGCTGATGGAGCTGAAAACCAAGGCTCAAGAACTACGTGAAGAATGCAGAAGCCTCAGGAGCCGATGCGATCAACTGGAAGAAAGGGTATCAGCGGTGGAAGATGAAATGAAAGAAATGAAACGAGAAGGGAAGTTCAGAGAAGAATAAAAAGAAATGAGCAAAGCCTCCAAGAAATATGGGACTACGTGAAAAGACCAAATCTACGTCTGATTGGTGTACCTGAAAGTGATGGGGAGAATGGAACCAAGTTGGAAAACACTCTGCAGGATATTACTCAGGAGAACTTCCCCAATCTAGCAAGGCAGGCCGACGTTCAGATTCAGGAAACACAGAGACGCCACAAAGATACTCCTCGAGAAGAGCAACTCCAAGACACATAACTGTCAGATTCACCAAAGTCAAAACGAAGGAAAAAATGTTAAGGGCAGCCAGAGAGAAAGGTCGGGTTACCCTCAAAGGGAAGCCCATCAGACTAACAGCGGATCTCTCGGCAGAAACCCTACAAGCCAGAAGAGAGTGGGGGCCAATATTCAACATTCTCAAAGAAAAGAATTTTCAACCCAGAATTTCATATCCAGCCAAACTAAGCTTCCTAAGTGAAGGAGAAATAAAATACTTTACAGACAAGCAAATGCTGAGAGATTTTGTCACCACCAGGCCTGCCCTAAAAGAGCTCCTGAAGGAAGCGCTAAACATGGAAAGGAACAACTGGTACCAGCCACTGCAAAATCATGCCAAAATGTAAAGACCATCGAGACTAGGAAGAAACTGCATCAACTAACGAGCAAAATAAACAGCTAACATCATGATGACAGGATCAAATTCACACATAACAATATTAACTTTAAATGTAAATGGACTAAATGCTCCAATTAAAAGACACAGACTGGCAAATTGGATAAAGAGTCAAGACCCATCAGTGTGCTGTATTCAGGAAACCCATCTCACGTGCAGAGACACACATAGGCTCAAAATAAAAGGATGGAGGAAGATCTACCAAGCAAATGGAAAACAAAAAAAGGCAGGGGTTGCAATCCTAGTCTCTGATAAAGCAGACTTGAAACAAACAAAGATCAAAAGAGACAAAGAAGGCCATTACATAATGGTAAAGGGATCAATTCAACAAGAAGAGCTAACTATCCTAAATATATATGCACCCAATACAGGAGCACCAAGATTCATAAAGCAAGTCCTGAGTGACCTACAAAGAGACTTAGACTCCCACATATTAATAATGGGAGATTTTAACACCCCACTGTCAACATTAGACAGATCAACGAGACAGAAAGTCAACAAGGATACCCAGGAATTGAACTCAGCTCTGCAACAAGTGGACCTAATAGACATCTACAGAACTCTCCACCCCAAATCAACAGAATATACATTTTTTTCAGCACCACACCACACCTATTCCAAAACTGACCACATACTTGGAAGTAAAGCTCTCCTCAGCACATGTAAAAGAACAGAAATTATAAGAAACTATCTCTCAGACCACAGTGCAATCAAACTAGAAGTCAGGATTAAGAATCTCACTCAAAACCGCTCAGCTACATGGAAACTGAACAACCTGCTCCTGAAGGACTACTGGGTACATAACGAAATGAAGGCAGAAATAAAGATGTTCTTTGAAACCAAGAGAACAAAGACAAAACATACCAGAATCTCTGGGACGCATTCAAAGCAGTGTGTAGAGGTAAATTTATAGCACTAAATGCCCACAAGAGAAAGCAGGAAAGATCCAAAATTGACACCCTAACATCACAATTCAAAGAACTAGAAAAGCAAGAGCAAACACATTCAAAAGCTAGCAGAAGGCAAGAAATAACTAAAATCAGAGCAGAACTGAAGGAAATAGAGACACAAAAAACCCTTCAAAAAATTAATGAATCCAGGAGCTGGTTTCTTGAAAGGATCAACAAAATTGATAGACCGCTAGCAAGACTAATAAAGAAAAAAAGAGAGAAGAATCAAATAGACGCAATAAAAAATGATAAAGGGGATATCACCACCAATCCCACAGAAATACAAACTACCATCAGAGAATACTACAAACACCTCTATGCAAATAAACTAGAAAATCTAGAAGAAATGGATAAATTCCTCAACACATACACTCTCCCAAGACTAAACCAGGAAGAAGCTGAATCTCTGAATAGACCAATAACAGGATCTGAAATTGTGGCAATAATCAATAGCTTACCAACCAAAAAGAGTCCAGGACCAGACGGATTCACAGCCGAATTCTACCAGAGGTACAAGGAGGAACTGGTACCATTCCTTCTGAAACTATTCCAATCAATAGAAAAAGAGGGAATCCTCCCTAACTCATTTTATGAGGCCAGCATCATTCTGATACCAAAGCCTGGCAGAGACACAACCAAAAAAGAGAATTTTAGACCAATATCCTTGATGAACATTGATGCAAAAATCCTCAATAAAATACTGGCAAAACGAATCCAGCAGCACATCAAAAAGCTTATCCACCATGATCAAGTGGGCTTCATCCCTGGGATGCAAGGCTGGTTCAATATACGCAAATCAATAAATGTAATCCAGCATATAAACAGAACCAAAGACAAAAACCACATGATTATCTTAATAGATGCAGAAAAGGCCTTTGACAAAATTCAACAACGCTTCATGCTAAAAACTCTCAATAAATTAGGTATTGATGGGACGTATCTCAAAATAATAAGAGCTATCTATGACAAACCCACAGCCAATATCATACTGAATGGGCAAAAACTGGAAGCATTCCCTTTGAAAACTGGCACAAGACAGGGATGCCCTCTCTCACCACTCCTATTCAACACAGTGTTGGAAGTTCTGGCCAGGGCAATTAGGCAGGAGAAGGAAATAAAGGGTATTCAATTAGGAAAAGAGGAAGTCAAATTGTCCCTCTTTGCAGACGACATCATTGTATATCTAGAAAACCCCATTGTCTCAGCCCAAAATCTCCTTAAGCTGATAAGCAACTTCAGCAAAGTCTCAGGATACAAAATCAATGTACAAAAATCACAAGCATTCTTATACACCAATAACAGACAAACACAGAGCCAAATCATGAGTGAACTCCCATTCACAATTGCTTCAAAGAGAATAAAATACCTAGGAATCCAACTTACAAGGGACGAGAAGGACCTCTTCGAGGAGAACTACAAACCACTGCTCAAAGAAATAAAAGAGGATACAAACAAATGGAAGAACATTCCATGCTCATGGGTAGGAAGAATCAATATCGTGAAAATGGCCATACTGCCCAAGGTAATTTACAGATTCAATGCCATCCCCATCAAGCTACCAATGCCTTTCTTCACAGAATTGGAAAAAACTACTTTAAAGTTCATATGGAACCAAAAAAGAGCCCGCATCGCCAAGTCAATCCTAAGCCAAAAGAACAAAGCTGGAGGCATCACACTACCTGACTTCAAACTATACTACAAGGCTACAGTAACCAAAACAGCATGGTACTGCTACCAAAACAGAGATATAGATCAATGGAACAGAACAGAGCCCTCAGAAATAATGCCGCACATCTACAACTATCTGATCTTTGACAAACCTGAGAAAAACAAGCAATGGGGAAAGGATTCCCTATTTAATAAATGGTGCTGGGAAAACTGGCTAGCCATATGTAGAAAGCTGAAACTGGATCCCTTCCTTACACCTTATACAAAAATCAATTCAAGATGGATTAAAGACTTAAACGTTAGACCTAAAACCATAAAAACCCTAGAAGAAAACCTAGGCATTGCCATTCAGGACATAGGCATAGGCAAGGACTTCATGTCTAAAACGCCAAAAGCAATGGCAACAAAAGCCAAAATTGACAAATGGGATCTAATTAAACTAAAGAGCTTCTGCACAGCAAAAGAAACTACCATCAGAGTGAACAGGCAACTCACAAAATGGGAGAAAATTTTCGCAACCTACTCGTCTGACAAAGGGCTAATATCCAGAATCTACAATGAACTCAAACAAATTTACAAGAAAAAAACAAACAACCTCATCAAAAAGTAGGTGAAGGACATGAACAGACACTTCTCAAAAGAAGACATTTATGCAGCCAAAAAACAC
Organism: Homo sapiens; assembly: GCF_000001405.40. Classification (NCBI taxonomy): domain Eukaryota; kingdom Metazoa; phylum Chordata; class Mammalia; order Primates; family Hominidae; genus Homo; species Homo sapiens. The sequence goes on along the minus strand of NC_000008.11, from coordinate 774,119 downwards.
ATGAAAAAATGCTCATCGTCACTGGCCATCAGAGAAATGCAAATCAAAACCACAATGAGACACCATCTCACACCAGTTAGAATGGCAATCATTAAAAAGTGAGGAAACAACAGGTGCTGGAGAGGATGTGGAGAAATAGGAACACTTTTACACTGTTAGTGGGACTGTAAACTAGTTCAACCATTGTGGAAGTCAGTGTGGCGATTCCTCTGGGATCTAGAACTAGAAATACCATTTGACCCAGCCATCCCATTACTGGGTATATACCCAAAGGACTATAAATCATGCTGCTATAAAGACACATGCACATGTATGTTTATTGTGGTATTATTCACAATAGCAAAGCCTTGGAACCAACCCAAATGTCCAACAATGATAGACTGGATTAAGAAAATGTGGCATATATACACCATGGAATACTATGCAGCCATAAAAAATGATGAGTTCATGTCCTTTGTAGGGACATGGATGAAATTGGAAATCATCATTCTCAGTAAACTATCGCAAGAACAAAAAACCAAACACCGCATATTCTCACTCATAGGTGGGAATTGAACAATGAGATCACATGGACACAGGAAGGGGAATATCACACTCTGGGGACTGTTGTGGAGTGGGGGGAGGGGGGAGGGATAGCACTGGGCGATATACCTAATGCTAGATGACGAGTTAGTGAGTGCAGCGCACCAGCATGGCACATGTATACATATGTAACTAACCTGCACAATGTGCACATGTACCCTAAAACTTAAAGTATAATAATAAAAGGAAAATAAACTTAAAAAAAAAAAAAGAAGTGATTAAGGTAAAATGAGATTATGAGGATGGGGCCCTGATCCAATAGGATTAGTGCCCTTGTAAAGACACCAGAGACCATGTGAAAACACTGTGAGAAATCAGCTGTCTGCCCACCAAAGAAAGAGGCCTTTGCAGAAACCAGCCCTGCTGACGCATTGACTGGGGATTCACAGCCTCCAGAGCTGTGAGAAGATGAGTTTCTGCTGTTCAGGCCTCCCAGGCTCCAGGGCTTGGTTACAGCAGCCAAGCAGCTCAACAGATCTGTCAGCAATGGCCTGGGCACTCCTCCACCCAGCATAAACAAGTGTGTCCATGCCATCCTACTGTTACAGAGAACAATCTGGAAGGTCCTGCATGGAGTGTGTGTGCTGATGGCTCAATGCATCTGGGGTGCATTCCATGTACTCTAGCTCTAACACCACCACCCAGAGGAATTAGGAAGCTCTGCCTACACATACACACAAAACCCTCTGATGTACACCGTTCAGCGGAAGAAGTGATTTGCAGAGCACTTAATTCCATGCATGCCACAAGAAGCCATGTGTGGCACTGTGCTGGAGCCAGGGCGCCATGACCCCACATCCCTCTCAAACACCTGTAACGTTGCCTGTCCAGTCGAGATGGGCTGCAAGTGTCTCAAATACTTTTCAGAGTTTGAAGACTTAGTACCAAAGAAAAGACAGTAAAATACTCTATTAAGGCAGTGTGCAGTGGCTCATGCCTGTAGTCCCAGCACTTTGGGAGGCCGAGGCAGGCAGACCACCTGAGGCGAGGAGTTTGAGACAAGCCTGGCCAACATGGTGAAACCCCGTCTCTACTAAAAATACAAAAATTAGCCAGACACGGTGGTGTGTGCCTGTAGTCCCAGCTACTCAGGAGGTTGCAGCTGGGGCATCACTTGAACCTGGGAGGCGGAGCTTGCAGTGAGCAGAGATCATGCCACTGCACTCCAGCCTCGGCAACAGAGCAAGACTCTGTCTCAAAAAAAATTATTAATATTAATATAATGATTATGAGATGACATTTTAAACACGATGGTTTAAATAATATATTATTAAACATGATTTTGCCTGTTTTTACTTTTTCAATATGGCTACTAGAAAATTTAAAATTACAGATGAGGCTGGGCACAGTGGCTGATGCCTGTAATCCCTGCACTTTGGGAGGCTGAGGCAGGAGAATCGCTTCAGCCCAGGAGGTCAAGAGCAGCCTGGGCAACAGAGCAAGACCTTGTCTCTACAAAAAATAGAAAATTAGCCAGGCATAGTGGTGCATGCCTTAGTCCCAGCTACTCGAGAGGCTGAGGCAAGAGGATCGCTTGAGTCCAGGAGTTGGAGGCTATAGTGAGCTATGATGGTGCCACTGCACTCCAGCCTGGAGACAGAGAGAGAACCTGTCTCTAAAAAAATAAAATGAAATAAAATTGCAGATGAGCCTAGAATTCTGTCCCCACCAGACACAATCAGTTTAGAAGGACACGCTCCACACTGCCCTTTCCATTGTTTATTCTATATGTGCCACTTCAATTTTTATGGTTAGTGTAAATTACTTCCATAACTTTTTAAACAAAGTCATTTTAAAATAAAGGAGCTTCTGAGGATAAATATTTTCACCTAACAGTGGGGCAGAGCCCCAGAGGCCACGTCGTGTTCAATGCGTCTCTGGGTAGCAAGGTAGGGGTTGCCACTCTCGTGACCATTACTCTTAACTAAACCACCTGGGTTGGACTAGTACAGACAGCCTTTTAATTTGGAACTGAAAGTTGCCCTGGCAATCCACAAATTTTGGGTGTGAAACAATTAAGTAGCAAGTACTTAGTGACAGAGCTAGCCGGCCTGCCTTAGACCCGGCTAGTGCAGGCCCAGGATTTTGGATAAAGAGGATAAAACCCTTTTAGGAAAATCAAAATGTGTTTCTGAAAGTGTTTTTCTCTACTTAATAAGGGAGATCTACCTAATAACTCTATGAAACGTATTTAAATCTAAGCATTCACAGAGGTCCCTCGATCCTTTTACAAAATGCCTCTGCACAGCACGTTTGCATTAAAACTCATATCTCTTAGTTTTGAGCATTTGCACAAAATTCTTAAGGACATTTGCAAGTAGATGTGGACAGAAAGTAGCAATATGCATGATTAAGTGTTTAGAGTTTATGGAAATGTTAGCAATCACTGACATAAATTAGGTAATTTTACAATCACTACTTGATTCTGACCCCAGCACAGGAGGACCAAGGGACCTGTCACAACTTCACGAAATGGAGAAATGGAGCTGGAAGGCACCTGTCTGGAGAATAGGACACTCACACTTCCAAAATCATCATAAAAACATCTAGCAGTAATATTTTAAAGACCCCTGTTTACACTAAGAAGACCACATCAACCTGCCCTACAGAAAAGTGAAAAATTTTTTCCATCCCTAAGAGTCCTTCTACTTTAAAAAAAAAAAAGAGGCATAATTTCTAAACCAAAATTAGGTTTATGAGTTAAATGTCATTCATGTCTTATCAAGGACAACAGAAATACAGGTCAGTATATAACTGTGTGATGCCTGCCCCAGGATTTTACAGCTCAGGGGCTCACAATGCAAGCATAACCCCCTGAACCTGTTCCACAGCCGGCCCAGCAATCACATCCCACAGCCAGAAGCAGGAGGTCAGCACGAAGGAGAGACGCCACCGAATCTTCCTCGGCCAAACAGGACAGAGGTGCATGCTTAGAAATTGTTCGGAGCCCACAGAAACTGCCAAGGAGACACCAAGTGAATTACAGAAATCAGCTGAGAGGAGGCGGGGGATTGGCAGCCCTGTAAAGCTGAGGAACATATGGCTTCCTGCAGTGAACAACATGTATCTTCAGTCTCAAAATTCAATTTCTATAAGAAAAAAAGTCTTTGGTCATCAGTCAGAAAGTCTTAAGTCACAGACAAACTGGCATAGCATGGACCTGTGATTAAATAACCCAGAAGGGCACTGTGCTCCCCAGGGTGGGAGGCGGAGGACACGGAGGAGGAGCAAGGCCTCCCTCACACCTCCATCCTCCCTCTGAGCCACGCACGCCACGCACGCACTCTCCCTCACCCCTGACGAGATGAGCATTCCGCAGCCCCTCACTAACTCCACAACTCCAGGCAAATTGTAGCAACACTGTGCTGTGCAAATGAATCTGAATAAATAGGGATAATGTATGTTTCTTCTTTATAAAAACGTACAAAACCTGTGATAAGATCATCTAGAAAATGTCTTGAAGGTATGGTAGGAAAACGATGCATGCATGTAAGTTCTTACTATTATTCGTACTTAAAGCTATCTCTCCCTCAATGTTTCATAATTGTGAACAGGAAGAAAACCCTCCTGTGTAGAGCTGCACAAGTGACTCTGGGGTCGGCATGACCCCCGCAGCTGCTGAAGCCAGTCAGCTCAGCCGTGGTCCATTTTCATGGCTTCTGACTCCATCTTTCATGTTTTCCGTAACATGTCCGTGGAGGCTGCTCTAGGGGCCTGTGGATGCATACAATGTGGCTTCTGTTCCCATTGAGTTGTCATTTTTAATGGGAAGAATCCCAGGGAACGCAAGAGGCTCGTGTCCCTAGGAGGAAGGGGAGTAGAAATGAGTGTCTCTGTTGCCCCTAACCCAAGCTACCGTCTAGGATGTGCAAACACATAAGCATCACCTGAGCCACTCAAATCCCAACACGTCACCACAGATGTCTGTAACTCATCAAAATTTTGAATCAATAAATTAGCCCAGTTTACTTCTCTGTTCCTTCCCAAACTTTCTGAAAGATTTCTCATGATTTTTTAAAAAGGAGCAACACTAAAAGGGAAAATTACATGGGGATTCTCTATTGTTTCATTTTTCTAAATAGTTTGTCCCTTTTTCCTGTATTCGGGGTTAATGGCTATGCTTCCTGTCTGCCGCCGTTTTGCTTGTTATGGGGCATCCCACTTCACAACTGACCACACTGACAATCACCTTTAAACAAGTTCTTGTTAGCGTTTTTCTGCTGGATATCCAAGTGGAAACTCAAGAGAACAATACTTCTTCCCTGCTGAGACCCAAGACTGCAAGCACTCCATGTGCCTTCATGTCTTAGTCTCTTAACTTTCAGATTGCCCCTCGGGATGAAATGCTTCTGTTTATCATTATTTATTAACCTCAAAAGGTTTCTGAGCTGATTTTCTTTCTCTAGAGATCCGAGCTGCTCACACTCACTATTGCTAGTCTGACAGACCACCTGCTTGTGCGGGACCACACCTGACCATGCACGCACTGTCTCACCTAATACTCGAAACAATCCCTTGGTGTCACCCACCTCTGGGAAGCTGCAGCCATGAGGGATAAGGATATGCCCCCTCACACAGGCTGCGGACGCCCAAGGTTCAGACCAGAGCCAGCCTCCTGTGAGGCCAGCGTCCTCAGCCCCACACAGACTGCGTTCTCCTGACCCCAGACACATGAAATGATGTAAGTAGCCAATGAATTTCATATTTTTAAAGCATGCCAATTTTAAATGTTAGGTTTTCCGATGGAAGCGCACCATTTTTAAGTGTTTTTTGATGCTGGAGTGCACCAGGAGGTGTGGGCTCAATCAGAGTCAAGACCAAGATTATCAGCGCCATCTGTAATCCCAGCACTTTGGGAGGCCGAGGCGGGCAGATCATGAGGTCAGGAGGTCAAGACCATCCTGGCTAACATGGTGAAACCCCATCTCTACTAAAAATACAAAAAATTAGCCGGGCATGGTGGCAAGCGCCTGTAGTCCCAGGTACTCGGGAGGCTGAGGCAGGAGAATCACTTGAACCCAGGAGGTGGAGGTTGCAGTGAGCCAAGATCACACCACTGCACTCCAGCCTGGGAGACAGAGCAAGATTCATGTCAGAAAAAAAAAAAAAAAAAAAAAAATCAACGCCTTCCCTCCTGGTTCATGCTGAAGTCCATACAAGCCCACAGCGAAAAGCTTAACTGAAATAACAGTTATTTGAGTAATTTGTCTGAGTGACTGTATAGTAAATAACCACAACACTACTCTTAGAAGTGGTTCAGGAATAAGGAGGAGATGCTAACAAAAGGCAGGGCTCAGCTACCACATGCCTGTCTGACCAGCATGTGGCAGTGCCTCCCCGGCCTCCCTCAGACGCTGCAGTGAACGGGCTCCAGCTTGCTTTTTATTTCAAACCCAACTGGACAATGAGTGAGGGGACCTGTATCTCCCTGTCCTCTGATTACACTCCCAAAGCCCACGGGAAGTGGGGAAAACACTAGAGAGCTGAAAGAGAATGCACATCTTCCTTCACTCCACCATGTCCCTCTAAATTATACATCAGAGAAGTGTTGCTTTTCTGAGTTAATGTCTTTGGTTACTTCTTACATTGTAAAAAACAGCTTAAATGTCCATCTCAAGAGATTATTGTGTCATCACTGGCACAAATGAAGCCCTCTACTGCAAGAAACTTCTCCCTGAGGGTCAAGTTTACTGAATTTGATAAAAACCTTGCTATCAGTTGCTAATTCTAAACCACTTACCAAGAGTGCTCACCCCAAAGCTCTGCTGCAGCTGCAGATAGCAGCCTGTGTCTCAAATATTCTCACTACCTCCGTAGAAATATAATGTCTCAACCCTAAAGATTGATGCACAAACTCCTTGTACCTTAAACAATTAAACAGCCGTCCTGGCGTGGTGGCTCGTACCTGTAATCCCAGCACTTTGGGAGGCCAAGGCACGTGGATCACGAGGTCAGGAGTTCGAGACCAGCCTGGCCAACATGGTGAAACCCCGTCTCTACTAAAAATACAAAAATTAGCCGGGCAGGGTGCCAGGTGCCTCTAATCCCAGCTACCCACTGAGGCACGAGAATCGCTTGAACCTGGGAGGCAGAGCTTGCAGTGAGCCAAGACCGAGTCAAGATGGCACCATTGCACTCCAGAATGGGCGACAGACCGAAACTCTGTCTCAAAAAAAAAAAAAAAAAAAACAGTCAACAGCCAGTAGCCAGCAACACCTGTACCTGTGCCTTTGGGCATCCTTGAACTGCTTGACTTCCTCCCACAACTGTGGCTCACCAGGCTGGTGTTCCTGTGTTTTTATTTCCTTGCTAGCAAGAGTGGAAGGTCCATCATGCAGGACCACAAGGATCCAGGAAGAAGCGGAGCCGTGGATGTGGCCCCAGCAGAAACACACGGCTCATAACCAGGACACCAACCTCAAAAGAGGAGATGCACCCCGGGGATGGCACCCTGGATCTAACTTCCTTTCCTAGAAGTTACAGTGCTTGAGGATCTTCGTCATCCAGAATCTCAGAGCCTGGCTTTCCCATCTCATGGGCGCCTGACGCCAGTGCACCGCAGGAGGAGGAAGCTGTGCTCCTGCTGAGTCATGGCCTTGGATGTCCCCTCACTGTTGCCCACCCGGGTCTTCACATGTTACAAGTCTAGGCCGCCCATCCACCCAAGGAACTAGAAAACACAGCCCAAGAATAAGCAGCTCTTAGACCACTTTTGGCCGAGCCTCAGGATGGACACAGTGTCCATCTGGACTGCATCTGCTAAACTGTCTGACGCTGGCAGTGTTGACAGGACAGCTTAGTTCTTTGGTGATTGACTCTGGTAAAACAAAAGCTGCTTTTCAAAGAATGAAAACCATCCTCTGTGAGACTGCACGGTGCCCACTGGTCAACGGACATGATCACTCCAAGTATCATGCATGTGCGTGCTTGCCCAGAGAGAAATGCTGGTGGAATGAGATCTGGCTCTCACTCCGACAGCCAATAACGCCGGACACATTGATAAAGGCAGAGGCACCAGCTGTAATTCATCTATATCACAATATATTTGCTGCACTAATTTGGGTCACCCCAGAGTTCAATTCCGGAGGACATTAGAAAGATTTATGTGACGAATTTCAAAGAACGCTGCAGCTCACATAGAGGAAGGATGGCCTCCAGCATAGGTGTGACTTGAACACACACGAGGGTTGACCAACAAGGGGTGTGCAGCCACACCGCAGGGTGACGAGCTGACTGGGAAAGGGTTTGGGGCAGATGTTATGTACCCCACACCTAGGGTGTGTGTGCATATGTGCACGTATGTGCAGCTGTGTGTGATTGCATGTATGTGAGTTGTGTGGATTGGTTTTGTTTCTTGTTTTTTGTTTTTTTGAGACAGAGTCTCGCTCTGTCACTCAGGCTGGAGTGTAATGGCACAATCTCGACTCACTACAACCTCCGCTTCCCGGGTTCAAGCAATTCTCCTGCCTCAGCCTCCCAAGTAGCTGAGATTACAGGTACATGCCACCACGCCCAGCTGATTTTTGTATTTTTAGTAGAGACTGGGTTTCACCATTTTGGTCAGACTGGTCTCGAATTCCCGACCTTGTGATGTGTCTGCATCAGCCTCCCAAAGTACTGGGATTACAGGCGTGAGCCACCGCACCCGGCCATATGTGGGTATGTTTGTGTGCACCTGTGTGTGGTTGCATGTGTGTGGGGGTGTGTTTGTGCATTTGTGTGTGCATCATCGCGTGTGTGTGTGTCTGTGTACATGCATGTGTGTACACACATGTGCCACAGTGGGAAAGACAGACATCAAGGACGGCAGAGCAACGAGGTGAAGGCACCATGTTGCTGACCATAGAGGAAACTCCATAGAGTCTTAGAGGTCCCAAACGTGACCCTTGTTTATATTATACAAAAATTAATTTTTTCCCTAGGGTCACTGTTGTTTCAGGACCATTTTGGGGTGCTGTTTTCAATATAAACTGGACTGACATTTGCCTGCCCCAAGGGCTGCTGTATTCCAATGTCATTTGAGTCAGGTCAAATGCCACGTATCTGGCAATTAATAATTATTTTGGTTCCAGCACAAGTCAACAAAAATGATCTCCACCAACATATGGCACTAACACTGTTAGACTCCTGACAAAGAATTTGTTGTTTTCTATCCACCGCATAACAGGTTTAAGGATATTATTAAAAAACTACCTGCACACTAAAGAAAAAAAATATTTTACCAAATACAGTATTTAACATTGATACATTATCAGATCATTTTACCCCTAGAACAGCCCTTGAAAATCTTATAGCTCATATTAGGGTTTTTTTGTAATAAAGTTATCTTTTAAATAAACTCATATGGAAAAACTCCAATATAAAAACAGATAACAGCAGAGAAACTCATCCTGAAACCTGGGCGTGGAGACGGGCACCCCACCCACTGTAGCTGCCCCATTTCCTCAAGTCCCTTTCTGCAATACTCCAATTTTACTAAATACGTTCTAAATGCCAATTCAAACTTTTCAATAAAATTTGCTCACTACCACTAGTCACTGTCAATTTATATCAGTAACAGCCACAAGCTTTATTGAATCTATTCTGGTTGCTGAGGAATCATTCATTTTTCTCCTTGAATCTTCATTTTGCTTTGAGTAGGTTAGATATGAAACATCTGGATTTATAGGTAAATTTTGGTACAAATTTTTTTAAAGTTCTGTGGCTAGTATTTAGAATAGACTGCTTTTTTGCTTAGGTCACAGTTATACCTATGAGAGAACCTGCAAGTTATGAGCCCCTTACACAACAGCTTAGAAGACGGCACAAGTCATTCCTCTACTACAACCACAAGGTGTGTGATGGGGCCAGTTTTATGGTACTTACGGTAGAGGTTACTGATGTATCTAATTAGAAAAATAACTGATCAATAACATGAGGGTGATTTTTTATTACCTAACAATAAAACTGAGAAGAGCTTGGACTCGGGTGACAAGGCTAGACCACAAAATCAGCCACAGAGTCTGTGGGCTCCACCACAGGTATTTCCTACTTGTTATCCTGTCAGAAGACACATTGATGGGTTTTAAAAGAAAATGATAGTTCTTTTTTAAACAGCGAAGTGACAAAGTATATAATAGGCGTTTATGTAAGTTTTGATCTCATTTCTTCTCTCGGATGGATGGAGTAGTTCATAGGAAGTGAGAAAATTACCGAGTAAAGGTTTAAAAAGATTTGTGATAGAAGCAATTTCTCTAGATGGAAACTTGAATAAAAATGTTGTACCCCACACTTCCTCACCTCTGGGTAGTGAGAAGCCTTCCAGTCTAAATCCACGCCTGTGACTCTTCATTGCCAAAATGAGGCAGGATGAGTGGCAGCTGCGGCACGGTGCTGAGCCCTGGCCCAATTCAGACAGCATGTCATGCCTTCAGGAGGGAGAGGCATGACTCAGTACCTCGCCAGTCTATTTAAACCACAAAAACTAAATGTGGTTACAGGTTAGGAAGTCTTAAGACATACACACCCTATTGGAACAAACTAGACTCTTAAAAATGAAAATTTCCAATTAAAAGCCGGAAGCTCAGCCAAACACAGTAAAGGCCCTGGCCCTCCAAACACCAATTGGTTTCACTTTATGAGGCCGTCACTTTCTGTTTAATTCTAAATACTGTTTTAAATAAGGAAATCATCAGCTATGAGTCAAGACTGCAGTTAGAAGGATTTTCTATTTCATCGTTTGCCTCATTCTTTTCATTTTTTTTAAATTCTACCACCAAGTATCGGGTTTTCCACACCTCATGTGTGTTCAGTGCCTTGCACTCAGGACACACGTATTGTCTTTGAGACGAAGGACACACCGAGTCCCCGGTGAGGTGTGCTGCCCTCTCCTCAGCCAGCACTGCCTCTCTGGGTCGCCACCGACCACCACCATCTGCTCACCTGCCTAACGTCTGCCACTCATCATGTGTTTCCATCATAAATTGTCACTCCAACTCTCTTATTCTCAACAGACCCTTTCGAGCAAATTCTATGAGGAATGGTCTTAGAAGTGCGAATTATGGAACAAAATCCCATTCAAGATGCCATTGATAAGTTCTCCTCCTTTAACAACTTCTAACAGCAGAAGAGCACGGCAGCAACAGTGAAGCTCCCCCTTCAGATTCAAGCAGTTTTTCTGATAACCATGGAGGGCTCTTTATCTTGATATGCAAGAAGATGAGTGACAACAGTAACAGTGATCTTCACTTCAATACGATGTGCGTCCTTAACAAGCAACCTTCTCAATAAATACAGCAGTAGCACGCGAAGGGAAGTGCGGGTTAACCCCAGTCCTCATCCCGGCTGCGCTGCTGATAGTCCATGTCTCCACAACGCCGTGCTCCTTCCAGGGCACGGTCAGCCTGGGCTCAGCTTCGTCCCTGCACTCCTAAACCCACCAGATTTCTGGATTCCAGATTCCCTAAACTAGTCGTCTTCCCTTTTTTTTTTTCTCCAATCCCTCTTTGAATAACTCGTGAAGTATTGCAAGTGACTTAATTCCTACTCCACTGTCATTACTGGACATTTAAATAAAACCGTCAGCTGGGCGCAGTGGCTCACGCCTGTAATCCCAGCACTTTGGGAGGCCGAGGTGAGTGACTGCTTGAGCCCAGGAGTAGGAGACCAGCCTGAGCAATATGGTGAAACTCTGTATCTACAAAAAATTCAAAAGCTAGCCTGGTGTAGTGGTGTGTACCTGTGATCCCAGTTACTCCGGAGGCTGACGGGGAGGATCACTGCAGCCCAGGAGGGTGAGGCTGCAGTGAGCTGTGATTGTGGTGACTGTGCCACCGCACTCCAGCCTGGGCTAGAGTGAGACCCTGTCTCCTTCAATCAATCAACCAAACTGTCACCTTCTTCCTTTAAATGTATTCAGTGGACCTCAAGAGTCATACTCACTGGGTGGCTGCCGTGGTAGGGCTGCCCAGGTGGCAAGCAGAAGAGCTCTGCAAAGCAGGGGGTGACCCCTGGGAGTCAGCAAAGTGGCGACTCGGAATGGTTTCTCTTAAATACGTGAACAAATTTGACACTGTTACTTTTACTCTGTTTCACCTCTTAATTCCACTCCATTTGAGCCAAAGATTTCATCCCAAAATAACCTATTACATGCTTGAAAGTTCTCATCCATCATGTTATACTTCTCTGCAACAAAGACGTATATGCAAATACAATTTACATTTTAAAACACCCTGTGACCATGAGGTCCCAAGAGTTTGACAAAGATATTCCATATCGTTGGTAATAAGTTGCACATAAAAAGTAAACTGCTACCACTTCATGGTAAGAGTGGGCTTTTTCTCCCACGGATGAATATTAGTTTCTGTTGGACTAATTGGGCCAAGCATTACTTCTAGGATTATGTTTTGTTTTTCTAGACGTGAGCATGAGAAACTTTGCTCACAAAGAGACACACAGGAGTTCTGTGACAGTTACATAGCACAGCCTTTGACTGCCTGGAAGATATACGCCAAAACCCACAGCGACCTATCATCGTAAATATTCTGGATGCTGCACCCGAGGCGGGTTCATCAGTTCCTCCTCGGGTTTTCTTAAAAACAAGCGAAAATCTCCTGCTTCAGAAGCATCCTCATCCAGCCTTCAGGGGCGTTCACTTTCTCAGTCTTGAGGCCAACGTTTCCCCATCCCCTCTCCAGGGCCTCCTCCGCAGGGTGTCGCACGCCAGGCTGGACAGCTGGTGCAAGAAGCTAGCCCGGGACAGAGGGGTGAGGACAGCGCGACCTCAGGCTCTTCCTCAGGCACTCATTTCAGGGATAGAGGGAGCTGGCTCCGCGTTTCGGGCCGTCTTCTAGGAAGGGTTCCAGGAGTGCCTGACACACGGGAATGATTCTCACTCCATGGTTGCTGATGTCTCTGCTTTCAAACATGAAAGAAGATGTTCCCTAAGGGTGCATGGAGGGGACCCAGTGCCCATCCCGGCCAGGATCCCCCACACTGGCCTTTCAGCCACACGTCCACTTGTGAAATTGTAAAATCCACAGATTTTTGTTTAAAAGCAACGCCATGTAGATATAAAAAACTACAATCTTACAGAAGGCCCGGCCATTATTACGTGAATAACGTTAGAGAGTTATACTACATTTCAAGCCAAAATCCGTGATGCAATAGAACTGCAGTCTGCTCCCGATTCGAGGTGGTTGAGGAACTGTATGGATGTGCCTCCTCTTCCTTCAAACCCCCAGTGAGTGACAGTAAAGGAGTTCAGAAAGAAAGAAATCCACAGAGATGGAAGGCGTGGGTGGAAGACCAGCAGGTTCTACCAATTCACTGGGAACTGGAGAGGAAGGGAGCAGAGGAGAAAGTAAAGTGGGGGGGAGCAGAGAAGGGGCCTGGCCCCCCAAGCCAGGATTGAGACACCCAGGCCTGGTCACTCCGGGCAGAGACGAAAGGGACACAAGCGACGTGCAGAGAGCGAATGGTTCAGAACGGCGCCCGGCACAGGCAAACACTCGATGCTAGCCAGGACCGACCATGTCAGCTGCCAGTCCTCATATGTCCCCCGATCAAAATGCCCATGAGCCTGGAAACTACCACCCACTCGCAAAATTGGAATATTCTTCCTCTCAAAAATTGATTTGAGACCTAAGATCTGGGAATTAGGGTCTCCCGCAGCATGGTGGCTCTCGGTGCAGGCACCCTGAGGAGAAGAGCAAACCCCAGCAACAGGAGAGCAAGTGGGAGGGGTGGGGGGACGCTGCCGAGCACCTGTGGAAGCAGCAGGTGCATGCGTGCAACTCCCAATCGGAGGCGCTCGCGAAGCCCTGCACTGAGGGACATGCCTGACACCCATGCACACCTTTGTGAGTTTCTAGAACACAAGGATAAAGAGAAGAAACTATGCCATGAGAGCAGGAGTCAGTTTCAGCAAAGGGACAAAAATCAGGCTTCCCAGCAACAACACTGAGTTAAAGCCGACAAACTCAGGAAAGGAAAATGCCCTCAAAATTCTTAGGCAAAATTATTTTGCTGTCAGAATTCTATACCCAACCAAACTTTCAAATATATGAGGGTAGAGTTTTGGACAGGCAAGATGAGAAACTTTAGGAAATTATTTGAAGACGGACATCAACAAAATGAAGGTGGAAATAAGGACAGAAAAACATGAGAAATTTCAGAAACAATCGGTCTAACCAGGAGAGAGATGAAAGGGTTAGAAAGGACAGGGCTGCATTCAGGCCTAAAGAGAAGTTGATTCTGAAGGTCACAGTGAAGACTTCAGGAAAGAAACCCCCGCAGATCAGGCAGCAAGGGAGGAGACAGGAGGCGTCACACTGAAAAGCCTGTGTCATCCCTTGGGCCTCTGGAATGCCTTTCAGAGGAATAAAGATGGAAATGCAAGAGAAGAAGAAGCCACAGAAATTCCAGGAAGGACAAGAAAGAAAACCGTCAGTGTGCAGCAGTCAGCTCTGCAGGGAAAATGTCAGCATAAGGTGGACACAGAGATGTATTTGCAATGTTCGGCTTATACAAAAAAGCACCAAAATTAACTCTGATTACTAAACAGACTCTCAATGGTCTCAACCCTGACAATTGCTGGGTGGTGGAAGCGAAATGAGAAGTAAGCGTGGAGCTGCTGGCATCTCTCCACGGCAAGCTGGGCTGTCAACTGACACTGCCTAGAGTTGACAGAGCAAGAAATTAAGGTGCAATTTATCGTTTAAAGTTAATGAGTTAGCAAAGGAAGAACTAAAAGCAACGTTTCAATTCTATCGAGAGAGGGGAAGAGGTAGTAAATACTTAATGTCTAGAGTAGATACATCAGGGGCGTGTAAGTCATCCCCACAGAGCTACACACAGGAACCAGTCGCAGGGAGTCACATGGGGAAACCGCCCTGGGGGACACCGGAGTGCTGGACTCAGACCTATGCACACCCGTCCCAGTCCCGGGAACGTGCAGCCCAGGGGGGAGCCCCACATCAACCGTGGACTCTGGAGTGCTGGACACACACCTGTGCACACCCGTCCCAACCCCAGGAATGTGCAGCCCAGGAGGGAGCCCCACGTCAACCGTGGACTCCGGAGTGCTGGTCACACACCTGTGCATACCCGTCCCAACCCCGGGAACGTGTCCCAACCCTGGAAACGTGCAGCCCAGGGGGAGCCACGTCAACCATGGACTCCACACGGCAATGACGCATCAGTGTGGGTCCATCCACTGTGGCAGACACACCACTCAGGCAGTATTGATAATGGGGAGGCTGTGGGGGGTATTGATAATGGGGAGGCTGTGGGGGGTATTGACAACAGGGAGGCTGTTGCGGGTATTGATAACAGGAAGGCTGTGGGGGGTATTGATAATGGGAAGGCTGTCGGGGGTATTGATAACGGGAAGGCTGTGGGGGGTATTGATAATGGGAAAGCTGTCAGGGGTATTGATAATGGGAAGGCTGTCGGGGGTATTGATAACAGGAAGGCTGTGGGGGGTATTGATAATGGGAAGGTTGTGGGGGGTATTGATAATGGGAAGGCTGTCAGGGGTATTGATAATGGGAAGGCTGTTGGGGGTATTGATAATGGGAAGGTTGTGGGGGTTATTGATAATGGGAAGGCTGTTGGGGAGGGTAGTGGTTAGATAGGAACTCTCTGTGCCTTCTGCTCAATTTTGCTGTGTATCTAAAACTCTTTGAAAAATAGTCTTGGCCGGGCATGGTGACTCACATCTGTAATCTCAGCACTTCGGGAGCTGAGGCGGGTAGATCACTTGAGCCCAGGAGTTCAGGACCAGCCTGGACAAAATGGCAAGACCACATTTCTACAAAAAATACAAAAATTAGCCAGGTGTGGTGGTGCACACCTGTAGTACCAGCTACTCAGGAGTCTGAGGTGGGAGAATCACCTGAGCCCAGGTGGTTGAAGCTGCAGTGAGTCATGACTGCACCACTGCACTCCAGCCTGGGCAACAGAATAAGACCCTGTCTCAAATAAAATTTCAGAAAAGGAAGTCTTTAACAGTGACTAACGGTGATTCTCCCGGGCACCTTGGGATGGGCAGAGGTGGAGCAAGACGCTCTTGCTTTTCAATTGTAGCTCCTACTGAACTATTTGATTTGTAAACTATACGCAAATGTTACTTTTATTTAAAATATCTATAAATATATAAATATTAAATCATTTTTAAGTTTTTAAATACAACCTGATAAGCAATAACAGGGAAACGAGGTAACCCTCTACCTACAGAAAGGCCTTCATGATTGTTTCAAGGTTTATTCAGAAAGTACAGATGTGGCACTACCGAGTTTTTGCCAGAAGAAAAAATATTTTTGGAAACAAAAATAAGAAATATTGCTCACAATACAGGGGCCCCTCCATCAGTCCTGGCTTCACTGTCCACCTGGCCATGAGGGAACCTCGGGATGGCCACTCCTGCTTTTTAGGCTTCAGTGAGCTCATTTTCATTCTGATCTTTCCAACAGCCACATATGGTAAGTGGTGAAATTACCATCATCTCCATTTCACAGATAAAATAACAGGGCAGGGACAGTAAAGGGCACAGCCATGTCCTCACTGCTCAAAGGCAGCAAGCAGCACCAGGACTCAACCCCACACACTTGCCCCACGCCGCCCAGCAGTCACTAATGAGCGCAGAGGTGGGAAACGAGGAGACAAGACGCATTTGGGAATGCCTGCTACACGTGCCCCGATTCCTGTTTAAAATACACGAGAGGAGACTCAGTCTTTGATTACACAGTGACTTTCATGCAGAGCACCAGGGAATTGGATACAGCTTCAGAACAACTTCAACACCCTCTAGATTCTGCTAAAAACATGAACCTAAAATAGGAAAATCAAAGACACACAATCTTTAATTCAAAGACATCTGATCTCAGATATGGTCCCGTACGATCCCAACCCTCAGCCCGCCTGTGGACCACACAGCCTGTGACCCAGCACCATCCGTCAACTGCTGTGAGCAGCACGTGACACAGGGGAGGGTATGGCCGGGTCCAAATGGAAAACCCAAATGAAGCAAAGGCTCATGCTTAGGAACCCACCAGAACATCCCATCAGCCCAGTGCCTACGGGTGTCATTCAACTTTCAGAGCAACAGTCCTCAAAACACGGTGCTAAATGAATCGAGTCTCATGCAACTGCACCATGGCCGACACATGAAGGAAACCATGTTTTCAATAAATCTCATGGGGGCCTTCTTAGCATTTTTCACAGATGGGCTTCATCACTGGATGAGGGCAGGTTGGCTGGATTGCGGTATTTTACATATTCTATAAATGTAAAGTGGATAACTCACTGCTAAAAGGGACCCAAAAGTGAGGAAATGGTCCGAGTTCAGGGGAGGGAAGAATTTTTTGGAGCAAGTTTAAAGCAGAAAGGGAGTTAGATGGCAAAGGGAAGGGGACAGAGAGCAATGAGGAAAAACAGCACGAGGTGGGGGTTGATGACGAGTATTCCAGGTGGGGGTGCAGCATGTGCAAAGGCCCCATGGCGGGAAACAGGGAGCCACGAACAGGGAACTGCACGGAAACAGCTTCTTGAGGCAAACATTCCGGAAGACCCATTGCGGGCACCCCAGGAAAGAGGACATTTTGCAGAAAACTCGAGAGCCAGAAAGGGGAAATCTGGGTCTGCCAAAACGCAACAGAAAACACCGCATGCAGAGAAGTGACATGATAAAAATGGCTCCAGAAAGATTATCCCGGCAGCTGTGTGTAGGATGGTTTCAAGCCGAGAGAGACCGGAGGCGGGAGATCTGCTAAAAGAACGTTCTCCTGACTCAAGCTCAGGGTGAGGAGGGTGTGGCTGGGCAGAGCCTGCGTGGGGAGACAGCGCTCAGGGGAAGGGGGATTCCAGGTTCAGCCTCAGTTTCCGCATCTATGAAAGCTGAGGCCTGACCAGACGATCTTTCAGCTTGCATAGGTCTTGACTCAACAGAGTTCTGTCCTGAGATCCCAGTATGATCTCAGGGTAGGCTGCATATGAATATGAAATCAGGGAGATGAAAAAAAAGTAAATCCCAACTTTCACACCTAAAGAACAAGGCCTGGATGGAAAACCAAAGTTCATGCATTTTTTATTGTGTCTTAAAATCTTCTCTAATATATAAGATTGCATCTGTGCTAATTAAAAACAGATCAGAGAACATTCTCAATGTCAGCTCCATGGTTTCTAACCCAACCTGGCCCTCAAAGGCGGTCCCACAACGACATCGTCTTTGCCGTCAGCCCCAACCTGCCCACACCTGCTCCCTATCCGGCCATGACCATGCCTGGCCCACTTGCTAAACAGCATGAGCCCATCACCTTCTCCCGTCTCCTATGCCACCAGCAGTATCCCCCCCAGACGCCAGCTCCTCCCAGACACTCGTGGCCCCAACCCGCTCATCCTCACACAGCCCCCAGCAAGGTATTCCAGCCACAAACTCAGCGTGTTCTTATGACTATTAGCACAAAAAAAGCCGCTAACATGACCTAAAAGGCCCTCACAGCCTGGCCCCTAACTGCCTTGTCAGCCAAATACCGGTTATAACCTAAAACAGGACCCTAGCGGCTCAGGGCACCAAGCCTCAGGTAAGCACTAGGATGACCCTGGATCCCCCGACCACCTGTGGGCACACCCCAGCATTATCCCACACTCTCCACCCGCCTCCTTCCCTGCCATGGTTTCTGGTGTGTGGGTGGCACAGCCCTGACAGTCAATTGACAAATTCAGAATCCTGGCTTCCCAGCCAACACCCAGCACTTTGCTCTTTCAAAAGCACACCTGGGGGCATCACCCAGAGGACGGCACCCCAGCTGGGGATCTGACACACATGGGGCCCCTCTCCAGGCCCCCTAGCCATGCCAGCCGCTAGTCAACCCACAGTCCTCAGATTCACAAAGAGCTCCACCCCTCCCTCTCTCCCTGGGCCTGGAATACATTCACCCCCACCTGCCCCTCGTTCCTACTCACGCACCAGACCTCACACCTCAAATGCCGCTTCTCCGCTGGGCTTCCAGCTGCTCCCACAGTCAGAGCTCAGTTATAATTAAGATTATTAAAAACATGTTTAGCAATTCACTTGCTTGGCAATTAATTTTTTTTCTTTTTGAGACAGGGTCTTGCTCTGTCGCCCAGGCTGGAGTGCAGTGGCAATCACAGCTCACTGCAACCTCTGCCTCCTGTGTTCAAGTGTTCCTCCCATCTCCCGAGTAGCTGAGACCTCAGGCAAGAGCCCCCACGCCTAGGTATTAATAATTTGAGTATTTTTTGTAGATACAAGGTTTTGCCACGTTGCCCAAGCTTGTCTCAAACTCCTGAGCTCAAGCAATTCACCCACCTTGGCCTCCCAAAGTGCTAGGATTACAGGATACTTAATATTTATCTCCCTCCACAGACTCTAAATCCAGAAAACACTGTCCTCTGTATTTACAAAAGCACACTCAAGGCCAAACCCAGTGAGGGACACACTGGGGGTTATTGGTAAATACATCAAATGAATGAATGACTCATCAGTAATAAACCCTCGTGTCCTCTTTTGTATCCACCAGACATGCCAAAAGCCTCTTCTAGAAGACCATATTGTGAGCAAGCTTCCAGAAACTCAGCCAAAGTCATCCAGATTATCACAAATTGCTAGGATGATTTACCAGATGGACTAAAAATATGTATCTTGGTTACAACAGCACACTGCTTGCTTCCTTACTTGCTTTTTTTCTTTCTTTTTTAGAGACAGGGTCTCACTCTGTCACCAAGCTGGAGTGCAGTGGCGTGTGTGGCTCATGGCAGCCTCAGACTCCTGGACTCAAGCGATCCTCCCACCTCAGCCTCCTGAGTGACCGGATTACTGGTGCACACCACCATGCCTGGCTAATTATTTTTTAGAGGTGGGGTCTCACTATGTTGCCCAGGCTGGTCTCAAACTCCTGACCTCAATCTTCCCTCCTTGGCCTCGCAGAGCACTGGGATTGCAGGTGTAAGCCCCGCACCTGGGCAGGCACACTGCTTTTCAATCCCTATTCTGTGGCCTTGGACGTCTAAGTAATATTATTCCTAGCTTCAGGAACGTAAGATAATGACACTGCAACCATTGTTTCTAAGCAAAGCTCACTGAACCTTTCAGGAAAGGCATGGGCACAGAGGAAGGCAGGTAAAACATGCAAAACCCAGGCCGAAAGTGTCTTGGCTTCTGTCAGTCCTGGATTTTTTAGGAAGAGAGTTGTCCCATTGTTTAAGGTTCAGTGAAATCTGTCCATGTCAGTGTGGAACAGAACCGTGTGTCAGTGAGATCGGGAAGTACTCGGCAGAGTTGGCGACGGGATACGGCAGTGACAGTGGACGAAATCCGTCAGGGTCTCGCAAAGTGAGCCCCAGGAAAGGTTGTCAGGTGTGGCTGGGACGCCTGCTGCAGAGGCTGCCGTGAGGACTCGGAAAGGCACCTGATCTGAGGCCTCCCACGCTGTACCACTCACTCCCCACGTGGAGCGGTGCGGTTCCATCCTCACTCAGATCTGCCAGGCAACCGAAGCTTCCCACCCTCAGAAAGAGGGCTCCAGGCAAGGTAGACAAGAAGGCAGGGCTGTTGAATGGGGAATTAAAGTGCACCTGACACCGCGCCCAGGGTCGGCCCGTGGTGGGGCCGCGAAGGCCCTTCCTGCGGCAATCACACGCCGCACCGCGCCGCCCGGACAGGAAACGGCCGACCCCACGGCGGCCCACTCAACATACCCAGCTTTCTCTGTGCAGGATTTTTTAAGACCTCAAGGAAAATAACAAGTATTTATCTATTTCATTATCTTGGATCATCTTAGAGGACACGCAAGTGTGTCTGTGGAGTGGATAAGGCTCCATCTGGTGAGCCGGCACGTTTTTATACCCACAGCATTCGAATGATGAATAAAGAACTCGAAGCTCCTAGGGCTGCTGGCTGCTCCACCAACTACTTCCTCCCTCTCCATCCACCGTCTGTGGCTCCTTTTCATTCCCCCAGGCATCTGTGCCTCCCTCTCAGCGCCTCGCGGAGAACTTCTCATTCCTGCAGGTCTGTCCACAATCTCAAAAGACCTTCAGCGGCACCTCCCATCTCACAGGCATCCCTGCAATTCTTCTTTCCTGGAAGTAAATGTTCGCTGGCGTAGTTATGATTTCAAGGCCCTTATTCTTCCTAGTGACTGAATGTCCCATTTCCCTAGAGGGGGCTTCAAAACAAACCCACCAGGGCCCTGTGAGCTGGAAACCCAAGAAAGAGCAGGGGACGGCCTGACCTCCCGGCACTGGTGAGCCTCCAAAGACGCGTTTGTAAAGTTTGTGTTCCGTGATACAGAGCAGCAATTCCTCATAAATACCGGGCCCCTCCTCTGCGTAAGTGACGGGGTCCGCAGCAACACCCATCCGGCCCTAAGCGGTCAGGTCTGCGTCCCACCAGTAAACCCTCCTGGCTTCTCAGAACCCTCCTGGCTTCTCAACACCTCTGGTTGCAGGTTTGCAAGACACATGGTAACACTTGCCCCAAATACACCAAGTTAAAAGACAGAGCTGTAATCTGTTCCCTTAAGGAAGAGGTGTAGGAAAGTGGTAACCACACAATGACTGCAGTTTCTGCCGTTTTTCACATGATAATAATTGGGAACCGAGTGAGGGTGATCCACTTAAACAGCTGAGAGTCGCCTACAGAAGGCTGCTCTGAGGACCCCAGAGGTCGCCTTCTTGGAGGGGCAGGAGTGGGAGGCTCTGAGCCCGACGTGCAGTGCCCTGGGCCCAGCCGACAGTATCATGAAGGTCTCCCCTACCCACCTTGAAGGCACAGCATCCCGTCACAAGCATCCCTCAAGGGCACAGCCTGCACCTCCAGGCTGCCTCTCTCCAGTGCCTCCTGGCCGCCATGGCATCTCCCCGTTTATAAATTTCAGGAGGGAATTTAAGCCTTCATCTTCTGGGCAGCCCCCACTGTGCTCAGCAAGGACAGAGCTGTCTGGAGAACCTCCTGCCCCATCCCCTCCTTCTGACTCCACACCAAGCATAGGCGGCTGGTGCTGACCCCACACCGAGCCCAGGCGGCTGGTGCTGACCGGGCCCTGCCATCAGGCCTCTGCCTGGCGGCACGACCGAGATTGGCACATCTGTGCTTCTTGCCTGACTGTGGCTCTCCGGCGGGCAAGACCAGGCCTCATCTGCCCTTTAATCCATGGGTGTGAGACCGGCCCGGGCACACTAGGCTGGAGGAAGGCGAGGCATGAGCATTGAGCAACGTGCACCTTGCCTTCTGCGCCCACTGGTGGTAGCCGGCAGCCTGGGGATTATCTGAGTCTCTCCTCTCCCTCTCTGCTTCATGGCAGGACAACTGGACAGAATGATTCAGCCCACACTGACCTCACAGTGAGGAAAAAGTGGGAGACCAATGATTTCAGCACAGGGAAGGGAGAAGGGGGTGCAGGCAACCCAGCACCCTCACCTCGAAGCGGCAAGTGAGATGAAAACTGGGTGAGTGAACACCAGGGAAGAACCTGGGCCACACCAGAGCCCTGGAGGGAGACCCTCTTCTAAGCCAGAAGCAAATGACCACTTCTTTAAGGAGAAAAAAAATGGGCCTGAAAAAAGTGTCAGATGAACTTCCTATAAGGACTTACTATAAAGTGTCAGATGAACTTCCTATAAGGACTTACTATGAAGTGTCAGATGAACTTCCTATAAGGACTTACTATGAAGTGTCAGATGAACTTCCTATAAGGACTTACTATGAAGTGTCAGATGAACTTCCTATAAGGACTTACTATAAAATGTCAGATGAACTTACTATAAGGACTTACTATAAAGTGTCAGATGAACTTCCTATAAGGACTTACTATGAAGTGTCAGATGAACTTACTATAAGGACTTACTATGAAGTGTCAGATGAACTTACTATAAGGACTTACTATAAAGTGTCAGATGAACTTCCTATAAGGACTTACTATAAAGTGTCAGATGAACTTATTATAAGGACTTACTATAAAGTGTCAGATGAACTTACTATAAGGACCAGAAAGAGACAAGAAACTCAGAGACAAGTTTTTCTAACCTCACGATCCAACTTCCGTAATGTCCCCGGGGAAAAAAATATGAGGCCTGGTCACAGAGTCACGAGACGGCCGAGTGAGGACAGATGGCGCGACACCTCCTGAGCGACTGTCAGAAACTTGCAGCAGCCAAACACCAGGAAAACGCTCCTTTCCACGAGAGGATGGCCGGAGATCCAGGAAAATGCTCCTTTCCGTGAGAGGGTGGCCGGAGATCCAGGAAAATGCTCCTTCCCGTGAGAGGGTGGCCGGAGATCCAGGAAAATGCTCCTTCCCGTGAGAGGGTGGCCGGAGATCCAGGAAAATGCTCCTTCCCGTGAGAGGGTGGCCGGAGATCCAGGAAAATGCTCCTTCCCGTGAGAGGGTGGCCGGAGATCCAGGAAAATGCTCCTTCCCGTGAGAGGGTGGCCGGAGATCCAGGAAAATGCTCCTTCCCGTGAGAGGGTGGCCGGAGATCCAGGAAAATGCTCCTTTCCGTGAGAGGGTGGCCGGAGATCAGCGTGCCTACCGACACCTGTTTGCTGATGGAAAAAGAAGCTTCCAACCGTCCACAACTCAGCCAACTCACCTTCTCAGACAAAACGAGCCGGGGCCCAGTGACAAATATTTCGGAACAGGTCTATTTTTGGACTGGACATTTTTCAGAAACTAAATTTAGCCAATTTGAATTCTTTTTAAAAAATGCTATCCCATTAGGCCTTTTGAAATAGGGAATCTACATCTCATTATAAAGACAGGAAACACTGTTCTCCCATCAGCCTGAAACACTGCAGACGGCGAGCCGTGGGGGCTGCATGGTAGATGGACCTGTGCAGGGGAGGGCGGAGGCAGACCGGGATGTGGGCCAGGTGCCGTGGAAGTCAGACATCAAAATGTACGGCCGTTAATTATCTGTAAAATAATAGCTCACTTGTAGTTTTTAAAAGTCATGT
Organism: Homo sapiens; assembly: GCF_000001405.40. Taxonomy (NCBI): domain Eukaryota; kingdom Metazoa; phylum Chordata; class Mammalia; order Primates; family Hominidae; genus Homo; species Homo sapiens. Next base: position 750,580 of record NC_000008.11, on the reverse strand, counting down.
TTTCTGTTACCATTCATTGGCAATTTTGACCATTTTCAAATGCTTATTAACTGAAATATTGGCTTCTTTAATTTTCTGTTTATATTCTTTGTCAATTTTTATGCACTCAGGAAAACCCTTATATTTGGAGTATTAACCGGTTTCTAAATACACTTGATTTTATTCCTGTAGACATAGAAAAGATTCGAAATGTTTTCATTAGATCAATCGATCCATTTCTGTTCCTTTTTATTTTGGTTTCTTTTGTTACTTTTCCTGTGACGTCCTCCCTGAGCCCACTCTGCACAATCGCCTTGACCTCCCCTCGTGTGGCAAGGATGCGGCACGGCCAGTGCCCACGGGTGGTGCCAGGGTGGATGCGCGTGTCTAGAGAGAGCTCTGGCAACGGCCTCCAGACTCAGGAACGTTCGCCCATGCAGCCGGCCTAACCGGCCCTAGGGAGACCCAGGAAAAGCCCTTCCACCCAGGAATGTGAGCGTGCTTGGAAGACAGGCTTTGCAGAGGTGATGAACTAAGGCTCTTTGATGAGGGGATAACCCGGGGCTTTCTGAGTGGGCCCTGACCGCACTCACATGTGTCCTGCTTGAGAGATCTGAGATGGATGGAAGGGGAGACCCCAGGAGAAGAGGAGGAGGCCACGTGGAGACAGAGAAGCAGGCTGGAGTGATGAGGCCACAAGCCAGGATGCCTGGAGCCATCAGAAGCCAGGAGAGGAGGGGACCCTCCCCACACCTCTGGAGGGAGCAGGCCCCAGGATACCTTGGCTCCAGGCTTCCAGCCTCCAGCACCAAGAGCGCGCTCTGCCGTTTCGGGCACCCGATCTGTGGTAACTTGTTATAGCAGCCCCTAGGAAACTAAACACACCCATTAATCAATAATTCTGTTCCTAGGAATTGACTGGAGAAAAAAAAGATCTACATTTTCAGAAAATATTCAAAAAAATACATTAACCCCAGAACAATGGCCAAACATTTTTGTAAGTAACTGAAATGTCAAACAATAGGGGAAAGTTTTAATCACACTCCATACGGGAACATTACACATCGATGAAAATTAACTTATAAAAGGATGTTTTGAATATACAGGCAAATTCTTAGAAAAGAATATAAAGTGAAAAAAAAACAAGGTAATTTCCAATTCTGATTTTTAAAATAATTAGGAGAAGTCTGGAAAGAAACACACCAATAAACTATAATAATTTCTAGGTCACGGAATTATTGCTGACTTGTAATATATTAATTAGCTTCTAAATACTTAGCAGATAAAAAGACCAGAAATAAAAGAAAAGAAGGCCAGGTGCAATGGCTGATGCCTGTAATCACAGCACTTTGGGAGGCCGAGGCAGGGGGACTGCTTGAACCCAAGAGTTTGAGACCAGACTGGGCAATATAGCCAAACCCCAGCTTTACTGAAAATATTAAAAGTGTGGTGGTGTGCACCTGTAGTCCCAGCTACTCAAGGGCTGAGGCAGGAATATCACCTGAGCCCAGAAAGTCAAGGCTGCACTGAGCTATGATGATGCCCCTGCATTCCAGCCTGGGTAACAAGCAAGGCCCCCTCTCACATACAGAAAAAAGAAAAGAAAATGTACAAAAGTAGCCTGCTCACCTCCCGTTATACCACCAGATACAGAGAGAGCAAAATAGATTGTAGGTGAGAAGAATCTCAAGAGATGTAACAAATATAATAAAAGTTGTCAGAAAGCAAAGATCTGGCAGCCAACGAAAGGTCTCCGCGCCGCACAACAAAGCAGTAACCCCGGGGTTTCACCCATCCTTGTCCACTGGGAAGCCACTGGCTGCTTTCCGAGAGCATCCCAGTCCACTGCAGAGGAGGGCTCTAAGGAGCGGGCAGGTGCTGATGGGCAGTGCAGAACACCTGTGTGCCACCACGAGCTCCTCAGTGAGGCCATTTGCAAATTCACAGCACCGCAGGGCTGGATGTCACCCAATATATGTAAGCACTTTTTAAAAAGCTAAAGTGCGTGGTAAATGATACGAGATATTCTATCTCTCGGCTCCTCTATGCTTTGGACTCTGCTGCTTTTCTGGGAGAAAACAAATGCCAGGTAAGGGCTTCCTCCTCGGGTCACAGTGTGGGATATGCTGACCCACCAACGCCCACATGGCCCACTCTGTTCCCACCCAGGGGCCCTGCACCCCTGTGGCTACGTGGAGCATGCGGCTGAGCTGAGCTGGCTCTGTGGACCTCAGTCTTGGAGGAGCGAGACAGAGACAGAAAGCACCAGAGCCTGCCCATCCCACCACGGAGTCCCCCACGGAGCCACCACCAGAGTCCACCCATCCCACCACAGAGGCCGGCCCCATCCCACCGCAGACCCGCCCATCCCACCGCAGACCCGCTCATCCCACCGCAGAGCCCCCCATCCCACCGCAGACCCGCCCATCCCACCGCAGACCCGCCCATCCCACCGCAGACCCGCCCATCCCACCGCAGAGCTCCCCATCCCACCGCAGACCCGCCCATCCCACCGCAGAGCCCCCCATCCCACCGCAGACCCGCCCATCCCACCGCAGACCCGCCCATCCCACCGCAGACCCGCCCATCCCACCGCAGAGCCCCCCATCCCACCGCAGGCCCGCCCATCCCACCACAGAGCCCCCCATCCCACCGCAGGCCCGCCCATCCCACCGCAGAGCCCCCCATCCCACCGCAGACCCGCCCATCCCACCGCAGACCCGCCCATCCCACCGCAGACCCGCCCATCCCACCACAGAGCCCCCCATCCCACCGCAGGCCCGCCCATCCCACCACAGAGCCCCCCATCCCACCGCAGAGCCCCCCATCCCACCGCAGAGACCCCCATCCCACCGCAGAGCCCCCCCATCCCACCGCAGACACGTTCATTCCACCACAGACCCGCCCATCCCACCATGGAGCACACTCATCCCACCACAAAGGCCCCCACCCTGCCCCATCCTGGAGCCCCCGCACCCAATCCTGCCACACAGCCTGCCCGTCCCGTCATGGAGCCCCTCATACTGCTGCAGAGCCCCCCACCCCCGCCCTGCGCCCCGTCCTACTTCAAAGGTCACCCTCCAGCCGCCTGTGTCCTCCGCGTTCCCCTCGGCTGGAACGTGGCCTGTCCCAGCCTCTCCGCCTTGCTTTTCATCAGCCAGAGCTTGTTTCTGGAACTTGGGACCAAAGATGCCTAAGCGAGGCCCGGCGGAGAAGCCCATCGCGTGACTGGCGCGGAGCATGGTAAATGGTGCATTTGTCACTACGGCTCGATGGTTTTCAGAGGAGGTTTCTCCTTCCCTGTCTGCTTTATGATATCTTGCAGTCTTTTTACTGAATGAAAACGTAAAGAAGTCCCGTAAGACTCAGAAGTATGACGCGTTGTGGGTAGTACACAAACTCAGAAGAGCAGTCAGAGGCGGGGCAGTGCCCGGCAGCCCCTCACACTCTAGAGCCTCCTGGTCTCTAGGACAGGCCGGCTTTCCAGTGTCGCTCTCCCCAGCCCCCCGAGAACCAGGACAGCTCAGGCCAGGAGGGCGAGTAAAACCACCCCAGGCCCAGGGCAAGGGGCCCATTTCCCTTCCTAGCCACTGGCTCGGACATGGTGAGATGTGAGGGGAGGTCTTCCCGAGAACTCACAGTAAGGTTTCCTTACTGCAAAGGTGTCCCCATCACGCCTGCAGGGCCGACATCACCCTAACAGGGGCACCGTCCTCGCATCATGCCTTCAGGACCAGCGTCCGCAGCCAGCAGGGGCTACACCGGGATGGTGAAGGCCACAGAGCAGACAGAGGGAACCTGGTTGCTGAGGATGCCCGGCTGTGGTGCTTTGTGGTAAGAACGCACAAATCCTCAGTTTCTGTTTTGTGTGGGACTTTCTATTATATGCAGCCAAAAGTATGCTGATACAGCAAAAAAACAAAAACAGAAAATCAAAACCACTGTCCACCTCAGCACCTGCCAGTGTGCAGCTGGCATTCTGATCCACATTCATTCAGCAGATGAGGGGCTCATGCCCAGCAAGGTGTCAGGTGCAGGGACACTGCCATGACCACAGTGGACGGCCCTCTATCCCACAGATCTTCTCTCCCAGCCCGTGGCACTGGATGGTGGAGGCTGCGCCCCCAGCTCTGGAGCCCCCCTGCCGACGTGGCCTGTGGCTCTGTGTGACCCCACACGGGATCCAATGCGCCATCTGACCCCTCTTCCCCAGTTTCCTCATCCGCAGCCTGCAGACAATGCCAGCACTGACCTCACAGGGCTGGCATGAGAATTCTATGAGTTAATATGAGTAACTCGCCCAGCAGTGCCCAGCACATAGGAAACGTTCAACAGATGCCAGATATGATCAGAAAACATCGAAAATAAATAAGTCGCATGGGGTGTGAGAAGGCAAGGGAGCTGGGAGCACTGGAGGGATGGCACCCACTTTGGCCTGGTCTCTCTGAGAAGCTCCACATGTGGGAAGGCTTGGAGGAAAGCAGCGACGCACCCCCGGCCTTCCTGCAGGGCACACGGGCCCCGACCAGGACCATCACTGAAGTTCAGGCACCAGTAAGGAGGCCTGGGTGACGGGGGCAGAGTGTTGAGGGGATGACCTTGGCTGGCCTGAGCAGGCCGTGAGGGGTGGTGCGGACCCCCATAGGCAGGTGGCCTGGCGCTGAGTGAGATGGAGATGTGATCAGGCTTCTAGGGTTCCTCTTTCTGGAGTCGGTATCCTTCCAGTCTGGTCTTTATGCTCCAAACTCAGTAGCTTTAGGGAAATGGGATGAAAGTATTCATACTGTCTTATAGTCCGTTCTCTTTACTTAATATGGTATGAACACCTTCTTATAGAATTAGGTACTTAACTTTCATGTTTTTGTGGATGTGTATTTTTTATAACATTGCTGTACCACCATGAATTTACCCAATCCTGTTACTGCTGTTTTCCAATATTATACTATGAAACAAAACTGGAGGGAACATCCACTTAGCTAACTTATTGTAAATTCATGATTATTTCCTTAGGAAAAGTTTCCAGAAGTGAAATTGCTGGGATAGTTACATGTAAAGAAGAGTTTTTTTAAAATTGAGTGCTGCGACTCTTGAGAAAATATCATTAGAGAAGCAAGTAGCTGGATAAATTGAAGACTGAGAAATACTGTTTGGTTGCTTTAAAGAACTACGGAACTCAAGTTTCACCAACAAAAATAAAACTTTGAATCTAATTATAGTGACAACCTAGAACATTTTGTTTCAGACCCAGTAGTGCTTCATTCTGAAATGGCCACAACAAAAGGTTGAAACTACAATTCTCAATTGTTTATGCAAATTTCTAAATTATATATAGTATAGCCAGAAAACAGATGTTCGGAAATTTGCTCAGAATGTCAAAATATTACAAAGAATGTTACAAAATGGAAATTATTTTTAAAGAGCTAAAGGTTTCATATTAAAGACCAAGAAAAAAGGTAAAGAACCTGCCGCTGTGCTTGTCTCCAGCACCCACAACTCGGAAGCAGCGGGAGAAGGGACGGTGGCGTAACGAGGCATTCACGGTGTGTATTTACGAGTTCATGCAACTGTTTATCCAGTGACATGGCCTAAAACCCTGCGGCAGGTGTGGGGATGGCCTGGGCTACCCCTTCCCGCCATCTCTGCTGCACTGAGGACAGCATGCGGACAGACTGGGGGATGGGGAAGCCGGGACCCAGTCCAAGCGAGGAATTCGGAGGCTGGGAGCATGACCTCACTCAGGCATCGGGGCCGGGGAAGCAGCATTCCAACTAGGTTTGAGAGAACAGACATGAGGAAAGGACGGAATGAAAAGCACCGTCCAGTGTGGGTGAAGCCAGAGTGTTGCTGGGGCACAGCCCAGGCAGGGAACAGGGAGTGACCGTGGGAAGCAGACAGCCAGCACCCCGGGAGGGCGACGTGGCCGGAGAAGAGGCAGGGAGTGACCGTGGGGAGCAGACAGCCAGCACCCCGGGAGGGCGACGTGGCCGGAGAAGAGGCAGGGAGTGACCGTGGGGAGCAGACGGCCAGCACCCCGGGAGGGCGACGTGGCCGGAGAAGAGGCAGGGAGTGACCGTGGGGAGCAGACGGCCAGCACCCCGGGAGGGCGACGTGGCCGGAGAAGAGGGAGGGACGCAGGTTGGGCTGGGGAATCTGTACCTCGAGGAGGCGTCAGCCCCTCTTCTGCACCTTCACCCATTCAGATCATTAGATGCGACCCAGGGCCAGGGTTCAAGGGTGATCAAGACCCTTCCTCACAGAGTGGCTATTCCAATACATCAAAGACAAGGAAAGTGGGAATTACAAGGTGGTGAGAGGTGTCACCCTAACAGTCAGAGCACAGAGAAACCTTCCCAACCCAATCTCGTGGGTCGGGGGTATATGTGGAGAGGAGACGCTGCCTCTAAGCTTGCTGAGCGAACGAGCACTTCTTCCCAACGCACAAGATGAGAGACAGAAGAGGGAAGCGGCGCTGGGTCTGAGAGAACCACGATGATGGCTCCATCCATAGACTGCCACGGCCACCAGAACAAGTCACTTCCTTCAGCTAAAACAGGTGTCTGGGCATTTAGATGCAAAGACTCAGAGGAAACGTGAAGGCACGTGAAACTTGAGAAACTGCTGTTGTCTGCAGGACACACGACGTGAATCCACGTCTTCAGCCCTAAACCACAGTAGCTTAGTGAGTGATCCAGACATGAAGACCCGGCCACGGAAATCACATGCAAATACCAGCAAAAGGCATCGCGCAGTGGCCCATGCCCACAATCGCAACATTTTGGGAGGCTGGGGTAGGCTGATGGCTAGAGCCCAGGAGTCAGAGTCTAGTCTGGACAACATGGTGAAACCCCATCTCTACTAAAAATACAAAAAATTAGCTGGGTGTGGTGGTGCACGCCTGTAGTCCCAGCTACTCGGGAGGCTGAGGTGGGAAGATCGCTTGAGCCCAGGAGGTCAAGGCTGCAGTGAGCTGAGATTATGCCACTCACTCCAACCTGAAACACAGGAGTGAGACCGTCTCTAAATAAGTAAGTAAATAAATACCAAGAAGAGGTCATCAGTGCTGAGGGTAGGCTGTGCATGTGAGTTTTGCTTTTGGTTTATTTCAAAGAAACCAAATCAAGACAAAATCATTAAAAAATACTTCTGTATTTTTAACTGTTATATATTACACAACCCCAGCCCCTGAATATAAGATCTACCCTCAGAACATCTCTTACAAGTTAGTGCCAGAGAAAATTTATCTTCACCAAAAAATGAGTATGCAACGTCTACCCTGAAAGCATGATCCTCAGGTTGAACATGGCTTTGTAGTTTTGGGTTTTGTTGACTTGACTCCCTGGAAGCTCAGTGTCAAACGTGATGCCCAGAGAATTACATCCATCCTCATGGTTATCACATGTGTTTCTTCCGATTTTCTATTTCTATTTTCTAATTAGCATTTTTTCCCTTGTCCTTCTGTGGTTAAGTTGGGTCCAAAACTTTTTGGAAAGTGGCAAGAGATATACAAAAAAGTAAAACAAGACCAGAAATAATAAATAAAACAGTTTTGAGAGAAATCAAAGAGTTGCTTGATAACTTCCATTGTGGACTGACTCAAAGTAGGCCTCAATTGTATTTTTTCATGATAAAAATAGTCAAGACTAATCCAGCATTTCCTACGTGCACCATTCTTATCACTTTACAGTCATGAATTCATTTAATCCTCCTTAACCCTATCAAGTTAATATTGCATTGGCCCCACTCTTAGTGATGAGAAAACTGAAATACGGTGAGGTCAAATAAAGAGCCAAATGCAGCTGGGAAAAGTGACTCACTCCTGTAATCCCAGCACTTGAGGAGGCCAGGGCAGGAGGATTCCTTAAGGACAGGAATCTAAGGCCAGCCTGGGCAACACTGCAAGACCTCCGTCTCTACCAAAAAAAAAAAAAGTAAAAATTAGTTGGGTGCGGTGACATACACCAACTACTAGACAGGCTGAGGTGGGAGGATCACTCGTGCCCAGGAGGTCAAGACTGCAGTTAGCTATGATCATGCCAGTGCACTCCCGCCTGGGTGACAGAGGGAGACCCTGTCTCTAAAAAGCCACTTGCAATGCTGTGCAAAAGTCACAGGACAAACATTCGTTACACACAAAAGGATGTTTTTCAATACCGCCTAACTTAAAATACATACTCTATGGACCCTTGAGATCATTCCCATTTTTCTTCTTTTGTACAGAGTATGAAACATTTTAAAGACAACGATCAGTCAGATTCACAGGTTACTTTAAAAATTTTTAACACAAGTTTACAGATGGGCTATTTCCAAATGTTTATTCATTGTTTAAAATGGTTGATTTAAATTTTTCTCTTTTTTTCCTGCCGATACACACGATGTACCATATAAGAAACAGTACCCGAAGATGAATAAGCCTTTCCCTGCAACAAGAGGTTTAATGTGGAAATGTCTGAAGAAACTAAAAGCCCATACATCCCATTTGCTTGTCAGGGACAGAAAACTCAGTTCAAAGAAACAATCTCCTGGTTTATGTAACTGAAAGTCACGGGGTAATGATGGTTCAGGCATAACTTAGTTCAGAGCTTCCAACAGCATCCTCAGGACCAAGCTCTCTGCATAACAGCCGCCCTTCTCCTCCACAGACAGATGAGGAAGGTGTCATTTCCAGACAGGCCATCCCTGCAAGGCTGTGCACTGATGCCACAACTGCAGGCCTTACACCTTTCCCGCTGTTTTTCCTAAAGCTTTCCTCTCCTTGAAAGTTCCCGCTCTTCACTCATCCAATTGCTCTTGAGAGGGAGTTAGGGCTCCGGCCAGTCAGGAGCCACCTCTGACGGGAAGTAGGGTCCGCCAAGCCAACCCCATGAGGTGGCAGGTGTTCCCTAAGGGGAGCTGGCTGCTGCCTGGAAAGGGAAGCGTACACTGAACTGCAAATACACTGGAGTCTGCAGTAACGGGTCTAGAAAGCTCAACTCCTGAAGGCCCGCCAATAAATACAGACAGGACACTTCCAGAACTAAGGCAACTGACATCCCACATGAAGACACTGCCATCAAGTCAGGAGAGGTGCACCTGCAGCGGACACCCATCACCGGGATGTCAGAACACCCAGGCCCCTCTCCTGGAGCTAAAGTTAAGGGACTGCATGTCAAGGCCCATGACCTGAGGACTGGGAGAAGATTTTCATAGGCAGATGAAGTCAGTGCACAGAAGAATGACATGAAAAAAGAAAAACAGAGCTTTACAAATGAGCTCCTACTGCCTTTGCTGAGGAGATTAATTTGTTACTGCTGTTAAGCCTTGGAAGGGAAAGGTGGCTACCAGTAGATGCAAGATTTAAACTAGAGTTTGCACACCCTACGACCCCATGCCTGGTCAATGCCAAAGCCCATCTGCTTAACTTCCCTAGAAATTAAAGTCTTTTGTCATGAGCACACGTGAAATCACTATGCTCAGTTTTTGTACGCACAAGTACCCAGGAAACAACAAAACATATTGAAGAAGTTAGTGGCACTAGAAAGCCTCGTATGATGAAAACTAGTTGGTAAAACTACGGTTGATTAAGAATAATTTTTAACTGCATAGAAAGTGTGCCTACTAACTTCCTGTATGGCAGCCTGTAATTCTTTTATAACCAACATGATGGCAATGCTCTAAATATGACTCCCATCTGGCCAAAATGATGAATCATAGTTATTTTTATTGTATCCAATGAATGACCATGGAGCATCCATCCTGAGGGTCAATAAATAGAATATTTAATCAACTTCATTTTAAAATCTATAATCAAAGTATACATCATTCAACTCCTTGGATAACTGAGGAGTCATGAAGCTTTTCCTCAAATACAGTTATATAATAAAAAAATTATAGCATTTCTTCAATTTCAACATTATGGAAGATGATATCTTCAAAATAAAACAAAACAAAATCCTCTCACCCTTAAAAAGATATTAGAGCACTTTAGTTTCAGAATTAGTTGGGTTCTGGGTACACAGAATCCAATGTAATTTAAATTCCACGAAGCCTATTTTTGCTTTTAATATTTAATTTGGAATTTCTACCAATTTCAAAACTGAAATAAGTAGACACAAATAAGAGAAGCAATAGATTGCCACAGAAGGGCATGTATGTCACTGGGGAGAAATAATGTCATGTGATCTGAATTCTACAAAACTAAAAATCGAATTAACCCATTTAAATCACAAGTAACAAAAGGCATACAAAAAGTTGGTAAATAAATACATGTTTATTTCTGTCTCAAGCTGTACCACTTTGGACAATCATAAGTGCAAAGTTCTTTCGAAGAATAACAAATAGACATTGAATACTATGAAAAGTTGACTTAGAATGCTTATCTGAGAAAACATCTTCGTGCTGAGAAAGCTTTACTTTTAATTACTTCGTTCCTTTGAATTATTTGACGTAGTACTCATTTTGCTTACAACTCTTACCCTTTAACCTGAAATTATAATATACAGATTTGACGCGGTAGATCAACAGAGGAAGCCATTCTGTGCCTCTCCACTGCTTACCCAAGAACACGGGCGATCACCAAGGAGTGACAGTGAAGGGGCAGGAATGGCGCACAGAGGCAGGATGCGTCCCAGGTCATCACTGAGAGCAGATCCCACGCGCCCGAGCTGCCGCGGTGAAGATGCCTCAGGTGACCCGAGACAGAACCGAGGACAGGGCCGGCTCTGTGTCACCTCGGTCCCTCCACGGCCTCCCCGCCCAGATGTGCTTGGACAGAGTATTGCCTACAGCCTGCTCCACATGCTGCCAGATGTAGGGGATAAAATATTCTAATGTGTTCTCTTCCAAGCAATGAAAAAGTCACACCATCCAGAAGGAAATGGTACGCACACTCTACAATTACTATTGGAGCCAAATCTGTGAGTCACCCAGCTGCCGGCACAAGACAATTTGGCTACTGGAAAATCCTGATTAATGACATTTTTTTAAACCCAGAGTAACAACTTGACCTGCCAAGAATTACCATTTTTTCATCATTTCGCCATTTTTGGCCTTGGTTATCTATTACCTTTCTCAGAGAAAAGGAAGTAAAATGAAAATGGTGTAAGGTGCGTTCACCTCAGGCCAAAATGCGCCTTCCAAGGTGCGCTGGGGCCGGGGTTTAGCGCAGCTTCGCGACCCGGGGGAAGGCTCCTTGGAGAGCCTCCTGGACTCCCTCGGGCTACGCCGAGGTACCGGGTTATTTCCCAACTGCAAGGACAATTAATTCACGGGCTGTTGATGAGATTCCTCCTGACAGGGCGGATTGTCGGGCTCCGCCAGGCTCTGGGACCGGGTCTCTGTCCGCCGCGCCCCAGGCCCGACCTCTCCGGGGGGTACCCCCCTTCGCGTCGCCGGAGCTGCCTCCAGCCTCGAGTCCGGGAAGACGGGAGAAGCGGCGGCGCTTTGGAGAATATTTACAGTTCCCAAACCCCCCACAGCCCGGGCTGGCCGAGTTCATCCACACGAAGGATAAATTCACTGCTGATCGCTTTATCTTTAATCGATAGAAGACCGGGGCCGCCGACAAGTCACGAATTTCCAATTCCAGGCCGTGGCCGGGATCGCCATTCACCGGCGGCGGCGGCGGCGGCGTCGCGCAGGGGCTGGAAGGACCCGGGCTCCAAGCGCGCAGGGCCGGGACCGGGGGCCGCGAGTTTCCGACGCGCATCGCAGACCCGCCGCGCACCCTCGCCCCCGCGTCCGCTCTCCACCTGCGAACCTACGCTGTCCGGGGGCTCCGCCTTCTCGCCGGCGCCCACCTCGCCCAGCTATCTCTCCTCCAGGCCCCTCCCCGGGTTCCCAGGTCCAGCCTGCTCCGAAGCCTCGGGCACCGCACACGCCGCGCGCTGAGGGAGGGCCGGGCGGGGAGAGGCGTCCAGTCCAGCCCAGCCCAGCCCAGCCCAGCCCAGCCCCACCTGGGCGCGCAGGCAGAGGAGCCCGCGTCCGCCGCCCCCCAGCCCTCCGCGCAGGGCTGTAATAATTACATCCTCATTATTTCTCCTGCAATCGTTAGCGAAGGAGCCGGAGACAGCAACAGCCGCTGCCGGGGGAGGCTTAGTTACAAAACCCTGCGCTGGGTAGCGCCTCGCTTAGCAACCACCCCTAAAAAAGACCCCGAGCTCCTCGCTCGCACTTGGAGAGCCGGGCGGCGGCCACCCCCTCGCTGCGCGCACCCTCCACTCCGCCTGGTCTCGGCAGCCGCTGCTGCCCGGCACAAGGGCCCCATCCTGGTCGCCCCCGCCCCCGCGAGCCCCCGTGCGCGCAGCCCAGCCCGGCACCCTTCATTCATTCCCAGTCCCCGTCGGCGTTTCCACCCGGGCTTGGGGGGAGGGGGATGCAGTCTGCTGCCCGCCGCCCCCACTCGCTCGCAGCTGCCCCACCGGAGCTAGGCGCGTAGCCCCTGGCGCGCCGGCACCCCCCAGGCTTTGCCCCCTCCACCCCGGGCAGGCAGAGCGGAGAATTTCACACCTCCGCGGCCCCGTGCGCTCCCGCACCCCCGGAGCCCAGGGTCCCGGCACCCCCGAGCGCGGCCAGGGATGCGCGGAGCCCGGCGAGGAGCGCAACGCGCGACCCCCGAGCACAGGCTGTCCCTGGGGTCCCCAGCGCTCCGGCCCCGGCGGGCGGCACGACCCCCGCTCGCCCCCGCCCCCAACCCTGACGCCCTCGGGGCGTCCCCGCGGGTCCGACACACCGCGCCCTCCCCGCCTCGACGGCTCTCGGAGCCCCGCGCCCGGCTCCCGGCAGCCCCCGGCGGCTCGCACCTTCCTCAGCGCGGACATCCTCGGACGCTCCGGGCTCAGCAGGTGCGGGGCGACATGGCGAAGCGGCCCCTCCTCAGACCGACGGCTCCCGGGGCTCGCGGGTTGGGGTCAGTACGTCCGTCCGCGGTCCGTCCGTCCGTTCGCCGCCGCAGGCGCCGCGCGCTCAGACCGCGCTCGAGCCCGGCGCACGGTCGGTCTTCACGGCCGGCGCCTGCGCACTCGGCGCCCAGGGAGGCACCGGCGCACTGGGGGGCGGCCGGCGCGCGGCTGCATCTGGGGAAGGGCCCGGCTTGGGGAGCGCGCGGGCAGCCCGGCTCCAACTGTTGCGCGGGGCGCGCGGGTCACCCGGGGACTGTGCCGGGCTCCCGGCGGGAAAGCAGCGGCCTCCACCGCGGCGCGCGCAGGCGACGCTCACCGCGCCCGAAAGTTAGCGGGGGACCCGGTCACACCCGTCGCCCCCGGGCAGGGTCAGCCTTTCTGGACCGCTGTTAGAGACGCGCCGGCGCGTTTGTGCGCGGGACTCGCGCTCGGGTTCGAGTCGGCTCGGCGCCCAGGGGGGCTCGCGGGGCAGAGGGGACGCGGGGCGAGGGAGGCGCGGGCGCTTGCGAGGGTCTCACTGCGAGGTGCGGCCGCCGCTTGGGTGCTGGAGGCAGAACCTCCCCCGGTTTCCACTGGCGGGCTACGCTGAGGAAGGTGTGCGGCGGCGGCTTCGCGGGGACCCACCGGGGGGCGCCCCGAGAACCTGGGTCCGGACGCAAGGAGCGCCCTCGGAGGGGGCCCGCCGCCTGGGTTTGCTGTGAGTGGCGTATGGACGACAGAGCCGAGGAAAAGGGAAAATCGATCCGGAGAAGTGGTGTTGACAACCACAGCAGCCGGGAAGATCAGCCACCCTGGCCACGTGTGGACGGACCCTCGCCAGGATCATGGGTTTTCCCTTCCGGGATCGGAACGCGGGAGCTAGACGCGCTGGTATGGGGATCCCTGGGCGGTCACCGACCCTGGGCAAGTCTCTCAGCCCCAGTTTAACATAAACGCAGAAATGGATTTCTGCTTTCCACCTGCATGGCTACGGCATTTAAATGAGGTAAAAGATGCGAAAACAAACCGCATAGAAAGACGGATGGGAGTTAGAATGAAATCAGGTCATCCAAAATATTTGGAATGGACAAACCAATCTTTTCCAGAAATTCCAAGATCTTTAAACAAAAAACAGGCTCTGTAAGAATTCCCCGTATAATTGATCACCAAAATATTCATCAGTTGCAGTTTATTTTCAAGGCAGAGTGCTAAACGACGAGGGGGTAGAAAGGTGAATGGGAGAAAGAAGTCCGGCCGCTGTCCATTTCTTCTAAATGTTTCCCGAATCTATCAGTGGTCTCCACTGTCAAAAAAAAAAAAAAAAAAGGTGCATTCAGCGCCCAAACCTCAACTAGGGAGAGATTCCAGGCCAATTTATTTTCATTTCACAATTTACTTTCCCTTTGCTTTCCTCCCCTGCATTTCGTCCCCATCCCTTCACGTTTTTTAAAAATATATATATATATTATTTCATGCAACCGCAACAAGAAAATCACACAAATGTACTGACGGCCTCTCCTGTGTTCTCAGCGTGTGAGCAGCACAGAAAACCACGGTTGCCGCCCCATGAAGCCTTCAGTCTAGAGAGGGATCCGCCCAGAAGTTACCCAAGGAACAGACAATTACAAGTTATAATTCTCTGAAGGAAACATATGGAGTGTTATTGGTGAATGTGAAAAGGGCAACAAATACAGTTTGTGACATCAGAAAAGAACTTTTTGAGGACGTCGTTATTAAATCTCCCCCTGGGTTCTCCCACAAGCAGGTTTTGAGGTGTGGATTTGGGTGCAGGTAGTTCATTTGGGAGATCGATCCCAGGAAACTAGAGAGAGGAAGTAGGGAGAGAGAGGCAGGGCAGGAGAGGACGTCCCAGAGGCTGCGGTGACGCTGGGCTGCTCCTGTGGCCACCGGGGCCCCGTCCTGCTGGGGTGCTCTAACAGGAGCAGCTTGGAGTGCACGTCAGCTTAGGAAGGCTGGACAGCTTTTCAGCTTCTAGGTCCCAGTGACTGAGGGCTGCTCCTCACCCACACACCCCACTCCCCAAGTTGAGCACCTCCCAAAGCTTCAAAGAAAGTCCAGAGGCCAACCAGCAGGGGAGTGCACGGGGACCTGAGAGCACATTGAGGGTGGCATCAGAGGTGGCCTCTGCCATGGCCCTGGGAACAGGATTTAGGGAGATAAGAGCAGGCCTGAAGACCTTGGGAGATAGAAGGACTTGATGCCTTTTTTTTTTTTTTTTTGACGGAGTCTCACTCTGTCACTAGGCTGGAGTGCAGTGGCACTATCTCAGGTCACTGAAACCTCTGACTCCCTGGTTCAAGCGATTCTCCTGCCTCAACCTCCCGAGTAGCTGGATTACAGGTGCACACCACCATGCCCTGCTATTATTATTATTATTATTATTATTATTATTATTATCATTATTATTATTATTATTTGTATTTGTATTTTTAGTAGAGGCGGGGTTTCACCATGTTGGCCAGGATGGTCTCGATCTCCTGACCTCGTGATCCACCCGCCTCGGCCTCGCAAAGTGCTGGGAGTACAGGCGTGAGCCACTGTACCTGGCCTTTTTTCTTTTCTAAGACAGGGTCTCACTCCTGTTGTCCAGGCTTGAGTACAGTGGTGCTGTCACGGCTCACTGCAGCCTCAACTTCCCTGACTCAGGTGATTCTCCCACCTCAGCTTTCTGAGTAGCTGAGACTACAGGTATGTGCCACCATGCCTGGCTAACTTTTTGTATTTTTAGTAGACACAGGGGCTTGTTATGTTGCCCAGACTAATCTCCAACTCCCATGCTCAAGCGATCCTCCTGCCTCCGCCTCCCAAAGTGCTAAGATGACAGGCATGAGCCACCATGCCTGGCCACATTTTCGTTTAACTGAACAGTCAGAATAACTGCAACTGAGGGAGAAAAGGACCACATGATTGTGACGGGAGAAAAACTCAGGGGTCTTTCAGGACATTTTAAGGGCTTTGATTTGTATCCTCTATACAATGAATTATGATGTAGGATTTTGAGCAAGGCAGAGATTTTCTTCATAGACAATCCTGTCATTTGCAGAGAAAACTTCTATTTCTCCCTTCCCAATCTGTATACCTTGTATTTCCTTTTCTTGTCTCATTGCATTGGCCAGGAATTGCAGTGTAACAGTGAGATGCAGTGGCAAGAGGGGGGGGCCTTGCCTTCTTCCTGATCTTAGTGGGAAAGGCTTCTAGTTTCTCACCATTTAGTATGCTGTTAGCTCTAGGGTTTTTGTAGGTGTCCCTTATCAAACTGAAGAAGTTACCCTCTAATCATAGTTGGCTGAGGGTGTTTCGGTTTTAAATCATGAATGGGTGTTGGATTTTGTCAAATGCTTTGTCTGCATCTAATGATGTGATTGTGTGGTTTTTCTTCCCTATCCTGTTGCTGGATGGTCCACCTTCAGTGATTTTTGAATGGCAGTGAGGTTTTAAAATGACCATTTTGGCTGCTATAAGAAGAAATGTCGGTAGGATGGGAGTGAGGAACAAGAGTGGAATTGAGATCATTTTAAAAATGCTCGGAGAAATCCTGGGATTTCAGAGATCAACTTAAAAAAGGCTGGAGAAATCCTAGTGACAAATGATGAAAACACAAACTCAGCAGTGGAAGTAAGACACGTTGCAAGTAGAATGCGCTTGATGTGATTTTTCTGGATGGGTTATTCAGGAAGAGAGGAAGAGGAGAGTCACCAATGACCCCCAAGTTTGGCCCAGCAATTGGATGACACTTCTGGGAGGCCTTAGTGTGTTACATGCTTACTGAGAACTGTGTGTTGGAGCTGGGGACATGGATGCCTTGGGGACTTTGTCAGGAGCAGGTGCAGTGGAGGGGTGGAGAGAAAAGCTGGACGGGGTCACAGAGTCCATGGAAGACGTCAAAGTGGAGACGGGCTTTGTAATCAACTCTTTCCGCCAGTTTGAGTGTGGGAGAGATTGAAGAAACAGGGCTGGAGAAAAATACATTATTTCCTGGGAGGATTTTGTTATGGGGGCGTCCACAGTGGGCTTGAGTGCTGGTGAGAATGATGAAGTGGAGAACAAGTTCAAGATGCAGCCTCATTACAGGGATTATTTCCCCTCCTGCATCACTCATTTTCAACAGTAATTTGATCAGGTCAAATTATCTCTCTCTCTCTCTCTCTCTCTCTCTCTCTCTCTCTCTCTCTCTCTGTCTGTGTGTGTGTGTGTATGTGTTCTGTCTTCAAAAACCCTCCAGTTATTGCCCCATTTGCATGGTCCCGCCAGAGAATGGTGTACAGTCAATGTCTAACTTTTCCTCGAAATTCTATGAATTTCCATCAAGTTTCTGCTTCTACCACTTCAACAAAATTCCTGTAACCAAGATCCCTGATGGCCTCTGCCCTTTACAAATGCAACCGTACATCACTGGTCCTCCTCTTGCTTCATCCACATCATTGGAGACCAGTGGTTCGTTCTTTGACTTGGCTTCAGGACCTTCCTTTTCTCCCTGGCCACCCTTCATGTACCACAGCTTGGGCCCCCTCATCTCCCCACCTCTCAAAGGCCAGAGCCCCTCGGGGCTTATTCCTTGGACCACTTTCTAAAGTTCACGCCTGCTCCCTTCATGACCTCATATGCTTACTCATCTTATGAGCACCTCAAACTTGACCTGTCTAAAACTGCACACTACCACCAAACGAAGATCCCCAGAAGGCTCTCCACCTCCTCAGTGCAACTCCAGCCTTCCAGTTTCCAAACGAAAAATTTACAGCCATTCTACATTTCTCCTTTTCTGTCACAGCCCAGTTTGATCAATCGGAAAATCTCTTTGGCTTTACCTTAAAACATGTCCACAATCCAACTAGCCCCCCCACCCAGAACCTCCAGTGCCACCACTTGGATGTGAGCTGTCAGCATCTCTTATTGCAGCAGATGAAATCTCCACACTTCCTTCCATGCAACTCTAGTCATCACAACGCTAAATGACTTCTTTAAAATGTACATCAGGCCATGCACAGTGGCTCATGCATGTAATCCCACACATTGGGAGGCTGAGGTGGGAGGATTGCTGGAGGCCAGGAGCTGGAGGCTGTAGTGAGCTGTGATGGCACCACTGCACTCCAGCCTGGGCCAGAGTGAGACCCTGTCTACCCCAAAAAGAAAGAAAATGCATCAGATCATTTCACCCCTTTGCTCTACATCGTGTAACAACTTTCCACCCTGCTTCTTGGAACATGCAAAGTTATCAGGCTCCCTGCAGACCCTGCCTGGGTCTGGGTCTCCTTTCCTCCTGATCTGAGCTCCCCTTATCCTGCCCTTGCTTCTGGTCCCCAAACTCAAACAGGGCAGCCGTTCTCCTGGGACATCGTTTCCCTCCTGTGGGCTCTCTTTCCCTGGGCACCCCCAGTCTTGCTCCCTCACCTACCTCAAGCCCGCGCCCATCACTCTACAGTTAGGCCCTACCAGCTTCATTTTCCTCCAAAACACCCATCTCCGTGGGTTCCTCTCCTGAGACAGCCCACATGAGGAACAGCGCCTGGCACACACCTGGGAAATGTTTTGGAAGAAACGAATTCAAGGAGGAGGGTCCTGAGGGGGTGGAGCGGGAGGGCAGAGGCCCTTGGAGCTGGACAGGGAGACAAGAAGGGGTCTGGCAAGCCGGGGTGACGTGGGGGCCGCTGCCCTGACCACTCCCTGTGTCCCACAGGTGCCTGGGGGCCAGGGACACCGCCCTGGCCATGCCCTGTGTCCAGCAGGTGCCTGGGGGTTGGGGTCACCGCCCTGGCCACTCATGTGTCCAGCAGGTGTCTGGGGACCGGCTGGCCATTCCCTGTATCCTGTAGGTGCCTGGGGGCCAGGGACACCGCCCTGGCCATTCCTTGTATCCTGCAGGTGCCTGGGGGCCGGGGACACCGCCCTGCCCACTCCTTGTATCCAGCAGGTGCCTAGGGGCTAGGGGTCACCGCCCTGGCCACTCCCTATATCCTCCAGGTGCCTGGGGGCTGGGGTCACAGCCAGGGCCACTATCCGTGTCTCGCAGGTGCCCGGGGACCGGGGACACCGCCCTAGCCACTCCCTGTATCCTGCAGGTGCCTTGGGGCCGGGGGCACTGCCCTGGCCATTCCCTGTGTCCGGCGGGTGCCTGGGGGCGAAGCGGGGACTGGGGATCCGCAGGTGCACCCGTGGGGTTGGGGGTGGGCGCCTCTCCTCTGGGGCCCTCCGTTCCCCTCTTCTCCACAACGCCCTCCCTAGCGTTCGCCCCCAGAGTTCCGCCACCGCGTAGAGCAGTCGCCGCCAGCGCTCTCACAGCGTCCTCAGGTCCCCAAGAGCCCGCACCGCCGCCCCCGCAGCCCTCCCTCCGCGCATGCTCCACAGCGGGGCTCCCAGAGGCGGGTCTGGAGCCTCGCGACACGCCTACAGACTCGATATCAGCCAATCTACGGCCGTGATGTAGTTGACTGACCGCCCGTGGCGGGGTCCCGTATTCGGATTGGGCATTCCTGCTGTTGTGGGCGGACCCAGGAGGGCGGAACCCGGAAGGCACGGCGCTCAGCTCAGGACCGCGCGCCGTGGTCTGAGGTCCGCGGCAGGGTCCCGCATGGCGGCGCACAGGAAGCACGGTAGGTGGGTGCGGTGCGGAGGCCTGCCCAGACCCCAGACCCGGCTCTCGGCTCAGACCGCGGTGTTGACTCGGGACCCCGACCCCGGCCCCTTTCCAGGCCCCACCCCAAACCCAGACCGACTCCCCACCTCCACCCCAGTCCCTACCCATCCCCCGCTCTTACCCCGGACCGCGGCCCACCCCTCGCCCGTGTTGTTGCTTGCATGGCTGCTGGTCGGGCCGGCCCTGCCAGGCCCCACCTGGTGTCTGGGGTCCTGGGCGGAGGCGAGCCCAGCCAGGGATTCGTGTTCTTAGCAGAGCCCCTGTTGGTGAGTGAGTAGGAGCCGCTCAGCTCTTCAGAGGGGTCCTAGCCCAGGGCTCCGGGGTGGGGCTGCAGCCGGCTCCGGCAGCCTCACCGAAAAGTACAGCAGAACCTCCCAGAGCCACTGTGTCCTCATCTGAGAGACGGAGGTCATGGTGTTTACCTTCAGTGGACCTAAGGTGTGGGGCGCATCCTAGTGCTTATTAAATTCTGTGATAGCATTAGTACCAAAGACAGGAGGAGAATAAATAGAATTGGTTAACCTGGCCGTGCCTTAGAACGGAAGTGTTAGAAAATAAAGCGTGCTCCTGCTTCCTGCAAACCCCAGCTCATTACCCTCACCGTGTAATCATCATCATAATGAAAAGAGTGGCGGTTTTTGACATGAATCTCGTGTTACTTGGATTAATTCAGGCGCTGATGAATTTTTTTCCTTCTCTATGTTTAAAACTGATAATCATGTTTTTCCCTTTGAAATGAAAAGATAATGGCAAACTATAGTTATAAAACAATTGCTTAAAAAGAAAAAATTTCTCAGTGAGGCAGAATGTGGAGAAAAATATGGTCTCAAGTCTTCCTTTTCAGGGACACACTGCACGTGGGCTTCCCCCTCTCCTTCAGGACCAGGGAATTGTCACCTGATCAGCTCACAGGTTAAAAATGACCTAAGAGTTTTTAAGCAGTCACATGCTAGGCTCTAAAATGGACATTCACGTATGTTAATGAGCACCAGAAATACCTTGTTCATGACCCTCTCCTGGAAGCAGGGCTGGCAGGCTGTGAATTCAGTGTCGAGGTTCTTAGGAGCAGACCTGACGGTCAGCTGCCTGCAAAGCTGTGCCTGCCTTCTTGGTGGGGGGCTTCTTGCTACTGCAGGTTTTCTCCTTGTTTTAAACCACAACACACTCTTCTCTTACATTCCTTCAAATGTTTGCACTCTTCTAAGCCTGGAATAAATGCTCTTCTCTATGCAAGAAATTATTATAGCATCTGTAATGTACCTAATCAACTTAAAAAAAAAACCTTTCTCCATTCACCAAATTAAAGTGAATGAAAGCTGTTAATTGTTTTAGTCATTCACTAATCACCTTCCCTCGAAACAGCCTTTTTTTCCTATTGGATATGTGACAGAATGGTCAAGTAAATTTACGTTGTTTAAGGACATTGTGGTTGGAAGGATAGATTAATAAATCCCAAAAGTTTATAAAATGTAGGTGGGAAAGAAAATATTAGTTTTCTGTGTGTCTTCCTCAAGATCACCTGAAGAGCCCATCGGCTGAGTGGCACTTAGGCTCTGAGAGGCACTGAAGGGAGGATTTAGCTGGAATAAAACTTCCCAGCATTTGTGACCTGATGGAGCAGGAAACTGGAGTGTGTGTCTTCTTCAGAGCATTTCCCTTCTGCGTGGCTTGCAACGAGTGAAGTTAGGGGAAGGTGCCGCAGGAGGAGGGGATGGAGCTTGGCGTGTCCCCTTGCAGGGATGTCTGTTTTCCCAAGGTCCAGCTCAGGGTCATGGGGTGGTTGCAGGTGGGGGTTGGGCGCTGTTGTTGATGGTGGGAGAGGAGGCAGGTGCCACAAGACGCAGGTGTGCCTCTCCTGGAGCAGACCCCACACAGAACTGACTTGGCGTCGTTTATTCACCGCCGGATGTTGGCGGAGCATCTGCTGAGTGTGGCAGAGCCCCTCAGGCCCTGGCTGCGGCAGCGAATCAGGCACGGTATCCCTCCCTCCCCGAGCTAAGTGAAGCTCTGCTGTGCTTTGAGGCTGTGCTTGGGTTTAGGGCAGTGCTTGCTGACAGAGGACACATCCAGGGGCCCATACTCTCCCCTGCCTGGCCCTGGCACAGACCAAGAAACATGAGGTGGAAAGGTTGGCAGTCAGGCTAAACAGTGATTCTAAGCATTTTTTTTTTCCTGGAAGTAGATTGTTTCTGCTAGGCAATATAATCTGCTAATGTGACAGTTTCCCTGTAACAATGTGTAGCAAAACTCTGCAGGATTAATGAGAAGAATGTATTGCCTTTGAAGCAGCACCACTTGAGTAAAAATTCCTCAAATGTGCTCTATGTTATGCTAGTGTAAGTATAGCACCGGAGGATATTTCTTGGGCCTACTTTGCAAGCCTCTGAGAGGTGCTGTGCAGCTCCGACCATGAACTGCTCTCCTAATTGAAGAGGGTCCCAGGAAGGGGAAGGGCACTATGGCCTCCATTCTACCCAGGGAGATTGGGTGAATATCTGGCATGTAATTAAGTGCTAGCTCAGGTCGGGCTGTTTCTGGCATATAGGGTAGCCAGCGGTCAGGGGAGCCTGGAGTGGGGTTGCAGTGGACTGGGGAGGCCCCCAGTGTCACAGATCTCCCAGGGACTGCGTGCTCCTCGAGGAAGGGGCCTGCTGCGATGGGTGAGGACCTTAGGAGCTGCCCGGGTGACTCCTGGAAGGAGTGACTGCATCTGGCGTTGACCAGGTTGAGCCTTGCTGCCTCCTCCTCCCTGGACGGTTCCCAGTGCCTGTCAGGACATCTCGTGTTGGTGAGCAGAGCCATACAGGACTTGCTCCTTGCTTCCTTCCTGAAACGCTTACTGTGTCCCTGCTGCCTGGGCGGAGTCTTGCTGTTGGGCTGGCGGAGCCTCCTCCCTGGTGGTTGGTCATTGTGAGGGATTTGGCTCTGGCCCTCTCCCTGACTCCATGTGTGCTTCAGGGACATTTCCGGAGGAGGCAAAGCTTGTGTGGGGTTTGCTTGGCAGAGACGATCCTCAGATGCTGGGGTGAGGACCACAGCCTCATGGAGGCGGGAGCCCCGTCCCAGGGCCCAGCCCTGAGCAGTCAGAGGAGTGCCAGGCTGTCCGGCCGCTCCCTGTCTCCCTGCATGAGGCCTGTCCTCACCGCCTGCTGCTGTGTGTGTGGTGGGAGGATGCGCCCCTGGATTTAAGCAGAGTCCCTGCCCCACAGTGCCCCCTGCATTCGTCTCACTGCACCCTGAGGCCAGTCCTTTGACTCCTTGTCCTGCAGTTTCCCATCAAGGTGGTCCAGTGGTGCCAGCCGCTCGCGTCAAGGAGAGAGCTCCAAGGGCACCATGCTGCTGGCCCGGCCTTGCTGGCCCGGCTGGGCCTTCTGTAGGGAAGGCCACAGAGCCCTGTCCCAGAGGCCTCCTCCTGGTAGGCACCCAGCCTGGTGTCAGCCTGGGGAACATGTGCTGGAGCGCAGGATGCTTGGATGCTTTTTAATAAGAATCCATTCTTGCTGTGACTGCTGCACGCACAGGACAGCTTCACTCGCCCTTGCAGGTGCATCCTCCAGGGCCAAGGGGTCTGCAGCAGGCAGGCGGCCTCTGTCTTCCTGAGACTCCTCAGATGAAGTTGGAGCTGCCAGTGCCTTGCTGTGAGCAGTCACACTTCCTGTTCACCATCTCCCTGTCATCTTCTGGTTTCTCCTGCACCTCAGGGAGTGGATTGCCCCAACTTCACACGCCAGGAATCGCTGGCGCTGTCCACGGTGCTGGCACTGGTGCCAGTTCCTGCAGCTCTGGTAGTCCGGGAGAGATGTCTGTGTGTAGGTGTGGGTCTGTGAGCTTGTGTGTGCATATTGTCAATGTGCATGCATGTATGTGTGCCGCTGTTCCTATGTGTGCACGTGTCTGTGTATGCCTTTGTGCACACGTGTCTGGTGTATGTGTGCATGCATGTCTGTGTGCATCTGTGCAGGTGTGTGTGGTGTGTATCTGTGCATGCATGTGTGTGCCTTTGTGGTGTGCGTGTGTGTATGTGTATGTGTACGTGTGTGCATGTGTATGTGCCTGAGTGGTGTATGTGTGTGCATGCATGTGTGTGCCTGTGTGGTGTGCGTGTGTGTATGTGTATGTGTACGTGTGTGCATGTGTATGTGCCTGTGTGGTGTATGTATGTGTGTTTTGCATGTGGTCTGTGTGTACATGCATGTCTGGGATGTGTGTGTACATGTGTGTGCATGTGTATCTGTGTACATACGTATGTGCCTGTGTGGTGTCTGTGTCTGTGCATGTGTGGTGTGTGTCCATGTGTCCATGTTCATGTATGTGTGTATGTGTACATGTGTCTGTGTGTGGTGTGCGTGTACATGCATATCTGTTTGCCTGTGTGTGCCTGTGTGTGTACATGTGTGTGCCTGTGTATGATGTGCCTGTGTACACGTCTGTGTGTGGCACTTGTGTACATGTGTGTCTGTGTGTTCACCTGTGTCTATGTGCATGCATGTGTGCCTGTGTGTGTATGTGTGTGCGCCTGTGTGTCTTGTGCCTGTGTACACGTGTCTGTGTGTGGTGTGTGTGTACATGAGTGTCTGGCTGTTTGCCTATGTATATGTGCATGCATGTGTGCCTGTGTGTGTATGTGTGTGCACCTGTGTGTTGTGTGCCTGTGTACACGTGTCTGCCTGTGGCATGGGTGTACATGTGTGTCTGTGTGTTTTCCTGTGTGTCTATGCATGCATGTGCGCCTGTGTATGCATGTGCGCCTGTGTGTTGTGTGCCTGCATACACGTGTCTGCGTGTGGCGTGTTTGTACATGCGTGTCTGTGTGTGTCCTTGTGTGGTGTGTGCATCTCCCAGCTGTACCCTGCAACTTGCCTGTGATACCTGCCTCTCCCTTGGAGTCCCAGAGCTGAAGATGCTGGCTCAGATTTGTTTCCATTGGAAAGAGGCCCCTTTTTCTTCTTACAGCATGGCGTTGGTCTGGTTGGGTGCCTGGTGACTCTGTTGGGGCCGACTTTCATTCTGGCCCCGTGTGTGGGACTGTGTGCAGAACTGGACAGGAGTCATTGCTGTGCTGCAGGAGAAGTGGGGCTGTGTTCATTGACACATGTGGCTTTGACATTTTCTACTCAGATGTGGTAGAATCCTTCCTCCAGAACAGGAGTTGGCACCTCTTTTCCCATCTTCAAGGAAGGACAACGTGCTCAGGAGCGCTTCCCAAGTGAATGACTGAATGAATGAACGAAGGAGGGGAGAGAAGAAGGAAGGAATCAGCCTCATGGAACAGGGAGGTTTAGAGAATCCTGGCAAAGGAAGAGGCGCCGTGCCAGCCAGGTCCTGCGGGAGTGTTGGTGCATGGTGAGGTTGGGGGGTGAGGGTCGGCCCCAGCAGGGAAGGGCAGGTGCAGGGATGGCAAGGCCAGAGCACGTGGGGATGAAGAGATGCGGTACTGCGACGGCTGGAGGAGGGTTGCAGGAGCTGCTCAGACATGGGGGCAGCTGCAGTCTCGGCTGCTTGCAGGTTGGGAGAGAGTCGTGCTTGGTGTACAGCTGGAGAGGGAAGTGGGCCGAGGAGGTGGTGGATGCCCAATGTGCCCATCCCTGACGGCTGGCGCCTCAGTGCACAGCAGGCCTAGGTCTCGATGGGGATGGCCACCGAGGTCAGTCCTGCTGGGCTGCTGCCTCAGAGCTCACTCTACTAATGCTCAGGTGGCTCATCTGTAAAGTGGGCGGCAGCACCGTGAGGACCCAGCCAGGTGACCGATCACATGCAAGGTTCTGATGGAGTCACAAGCTGGTCACTGCCGCTGGTCCTGTCCGCTGGGTGCAGTAGACACGGAGGTAGGGGACCCTTGTGCCTGTGAGAACAGAGCAGACAGGAAGCCGGAGAGGACAGCAGGCACGGAAGCCGGAGGGGACAGCAGGCACGGAAGCCGGAGGGGACAGCAGACAGGAAGCCGGAGGGGTCAGCAGGCACGGAGGCTGGAGGGGACAGCAGACAAGAAGCCAGAGAGGACAGCAGACAGGAAGCCGGAGGGGACAGCAGGTACAGAAGCCGGAGGGGTCAGCAGGTGAGCAGGCATCACTGCGTCAGGGTGTGGGACGAGAAACCACAGCACCCGAAAAGGACCACATGGTCCTTCGTGGCTGGCGCAGGGAAGAAGTGGGGTCCAGGAGGCCACAATGGGGCAGCCGTGGCTCCCTCGTGGTCCGGGCCAGGCGGCGTGGGTGCAGGAGGTACAGCTGCTTCCCGGGTTCTGGGTTCCACATCTTTGATAGCGTTCCTCAGTGAGCGTAACCTGCCCGTGCAAACAACACGGGGCTTGTCGGTGTGGAATCCCTTATGGGTTGCAAGTTCTTTGGGCTGAATTCAGGACCTATCTAAGGAAAAAGCCAATGTTTAATGAAAGTGGAAAAAATAACAATATTGGAGTAAAAGGTGTAGTTTATCTGGTGTCTCCTGATTTTCATAAAGCAGCTTGCTGAACGGCCTTCCCAATGACCTCTCAGCGTGTTTTAGCCCAGCCTTGTTTTGGTGAGAAACTGACTCCGAGAACTGAGTGGGCTGCTCTGAGGTCCCGCCCCCGTCGGGGCAGTGCCGGCCTCTCCGGAAGCCCCTGGGCTGCTCGCATCCCGCTGGGTGTGTTTACCAGTGCTTAATGAAAACTATTGCAGCCGCCCGTGAAGGTAAGGTGTTTGTGAACGCTTCGTGATACGACAAATGCTGGTTAAAAAACTACAAGGAGAAACTCTGGGCAAAGTTTGCGTGGAATATTTTCTTTCTTCTCCTTTTTTATTTGTAGAGATCGGATCTCACTATGTTGTCCGGGCTGGTTCTCCAGTAATCCTCCTGACGCAGCATCCTGAGCAGCTGGCCTGCAGGTGCCCGGCTTTCTTCTTTGTTGAAGGGTTAGAGTTCCAGTAGAAAATGATCATTTGGTGTATTTTCACCTCCTACGTGAGGATCCCATGTCAGATCGGTCATGGCGTGAGGTTCTGGTGATGTCCCATTTGAGGATTATTTCTGGTTTGGTGTCGAGCACTTGTTTTTTGTTTTTTCTTTTTGATATTTCAGAAAGCTTGCCCACTTCTGCTTAAGTATTAGCCAATTATTTTTCCATTTGTCATTCTGTTACGAAACTCCTCAAGAATCTACTACTCATTGAATTAACATACTGAGCTTTTCTTTCTTGTGAAGTGATGTAATTCTATTACCAGTTTATTCCTTTATTTCTAGATTATAGTCAAAGGCTAAATACCTTGCCTCATTATAGGGATAAAATGAAAAAAAAATCCCACAGTGATTATCATTTTAAAGAAAGCTGTGGCTGGGCCAGCATATTTTCAGCAGGCATTTAACTTAGTTTTTACTGAAAAAAGAAAATTGAAACAATCAGATTTCCAGAAAATACAATAACCCTAATAAATGTTAAATTTAAAATGCCTATTACAATGAGACAGGCAGATGTAGGATGAAAAAGAGATCAGCTAGAGCTGCTGTTCACTGAGAGAGCAGAATTTGGTATTTTCTCTAAACTGATGAAATAATGTGGTTTGTGTGTGTTTTGTGGTTTTAGTGGAAATGTTTTGAGAGATTTCTCTAATATGACAGGTGAAGGAGGCAGGGAGCAAGCACCTCCAAGCTGGCCATGGTGGAAATTTCTACTAATGATTATTTCTTGTTTGAAAATCTAATCACTTTTCTGTTTGTAAGTCTATTAAGTGGAAACTAAAAAGGAATGTTATAAACTGATTTTGTTCTCTGTGAGTGTTAGTCTGTTCTGCATTGCTGTAAAGGAATGTCGGAGGCCGGGTTATTTATAAAGAAAAGAGGTTTGCTGGGCTCACGGTTCTGCAGGCTGTACAGGGAGCATGGCGCCAGCACCCATTTCTGGTGAGGCCCCGTCGGGAAGCTTCCACTCTTGGGGAAGGCAGAGGGGAGCCAGCGTCCTATGGTGAGGGAGGGAGAGCGGGAGAAGGTGGAGGTCCCGGCCTTTTAAGTACCCAGATCTCCAAGAGCTCATCACCATGAGGTGGGCACCAAGCCATTCCCACGGGATCTGCCCCATGGCCCAGACACCTCCCAGTAGGCCCACCTTCAACACTGGAGCTCACATGTCACCATGGGATTTGGAGGGGACACATCCAAACCAAGTCAGTATGTTTTTCTCCTGCAGTGGCTTTACATTGTAAAGTCACTCGTGAATATTTGTGGTCTCTCTTATTTTAATGAATTCCTGTAAGCATGTGGTCCTATCGGTTTTACAGCTTCTCCTGAGCAGCCACATTTTGAAATAGGTCCTTTTGAACTGATCTCATTCTTCACATTCCCAAATAAGCTGTACACGTATTTTCTCTGAAAGTCACACTTTTCCAACAGACACCAGTTTATAAGGGTGATAGCAAAAGTTTTGAAATTTTAGAGAATCACGAATGATCATTATTTTAATCTCTTCCAGCACCAGGAGTCGCATACCCAACTGTTAGATTTTAAATTCAGCAACTGCATTTAGGAAGAGTTTAGAATTGAATAGGTTCACTTCCAGTGGTCAAACTTTGTTTCTTTGTGAGCTACATATATTTACAGTTTTTCCTAAGTGTGTAATTTCCATAGAACACTTTACTGAAAGATTTTATTGGTATTTGGCTGTGTCTTTTATTTGAAATAGCAAGTGTAGGCAGCAGTCCTTTCTGAGAATTATACCGAAGTGACTTAATTCCCCTGTGAAAGGGACTCATTTCTGCTGGGTGTTGCGGCATGTGAATTTCAGACGGGGTGTTTTTTCTGGGCCTTGGCCTTTTGTTGTTGTGTCTCTCTTTTTCTCGGTGCTGATTGCTTGGCCTGCTTCGTCATTTATTTGTTTTCCTGCAGGTTTTTTTTTTCGATTGGCATTAAACACTCCGTCCTCTGCCTTTTTATTTTCCGGTGATTGCTTTTTGATGGGCACTAGAGTTTCAAGTTAAAACTTGCTCTTGCTGCTGGAAGGGGAGCACGTTGATGAGGTGTGGGAAGGAGAATGGAACCAGCCTCAGGCTTCTGACAGACACGGAGTCGTCGTGACTGCAAGGCATTTTCATTTGGGCCATGCAGCATCGGGGGCTCCGGGAGCTCCTGCTGCACCAGCTGGTCCAGCTCTGTTTTTGTGGGTTCCTTTTGTTTTCAACACATTGTGAATTAAACAGAAAAGAGGCTTTTAACCTCTAACTTGATTTTTGTCAGCCTCTATCTAGAGCTCATAAGCGTACACACACTTAGGTAAAAACACATTGGATCAAAAACGAGCATTTCAACAAACCAAAAATGACAAATGCTTCACTGTGTCCTGGTTATTCTGGAGGGAAAAAACCTTTCGTTTATGTTCTGCTTTTGGTATTAGTCGCGAAGTAGAGCTGGCCCGTTGGAAGACAGGCTGTGTTTACAGAATCGTGTCCATATCTGCAGGAAACCACCAGCAGTCCGTGGGGTCCTTGTGTCATTCCTCTGACGGTTCCAAGAACCAGCAAGGGCATCAGTGCCATGCAGTGTGGTTTTGGTCTAAAACAGCTGATTATTTCTGTGTAAATAAACAGTGTGAGCACTGGTGGTAAAGGCCCTGAGTGCCTGGGCCAGGTGTGTGGGGGCCGCACGCTCGGCGCTTGTCAGCTCAGATGCTAAACCCAAGTGGCGCCGTGTCCGTGAGGTCTCTCCCAGCCCCAACCTCCATGCTCTCATCTCTGGGGCTGGGAGGAAGTGAAGCTCGTCTGTGAATCTGCCAGCAATATTAGCTGGTGGAAAGTAATTATTAATATTCAATTTTGCATTTTAAACTTTGCTCTTTTAAAAACTGATTTTAAAAAGTTAAAATTATATTTTTTAAAAAATACTTTATTATTTCTATTTTAGCAGCTGTAAATATTTAGACATATTATTTGTCAGCAAAGTTATTTTTAGATACCTGGATATTTGTATTAAACTGAGTTAAAATTTATTATAATTCTTGTTGAAGAAAAAATCTCCCGCTTTATAATGAGATATCCATTTTGACATCTATTTGAGATCATCTGTTTTTGTGCCTGTTTACAGGACACTTTATGAGTAATTCATGGGTCATGGATAATATGACACAAAACCAGCCTTTGCCAATATTTAATATCAAAATCATGCTGTAACTCCTGTGAGTGAAGCATTGTGCGGGACGTGCTCGTCTTTTCTGTGACAAGGCTTACCAGAAGTAGCAGGGGTCAGAGTGGCTTCAGGCTCATTCCAGCGAAGGAGCAGATACGGTGACCTCCAGGAGTGTGTGGGCCACTGGGAAAGACGTTTTCCTTCACTAGGTTCTAGAACACCCATGCAACATGGAGCCCCTTCAGCCATAGGGATTCATGATACTTAAACCAGTTTAGCTTAGGCTGCTGAAAGGTTTTCTTTTTGCTTTAGTTTATTTTGACGACCGTGCTCAAGTTTGAATTTGAAAAGGGACATTGTCTTTCCCGTGGCTGTAAACTGTACAGACCTTTATGTGTTGACCGTCGTGAATTAGCACATCCAAATCCCTACGGCCTTCTTCCCACTCCCACCCTCCATATGAAAACTCGGGATTTAAACGTTAAGGACTAAAATTGTATACTAAAATTGTATTGTTTGCTTAAGATTTTTAAGCAGCCTGTTTTCCTGCATTCTTAAGTAGTTGCATGCTCTTCCTGGCATCCTGATTATCCCAGTTATCAGCTTTGTTATCCTGTGTGTCTGTGGCTGACACTGGCGCGGTGCCAGCATGCGTCCTCGTCCTTCATCGTGGGTACCTCAGCGTTCTGCCATCGGTCATGTCCGTGGGTGACGCTGGCGTGGGGCAGGTGTGTTTCCTCGTCCTTCCTCGTGGGCACCTCGGCGTCCTGCCGTTGGTATGTCTGCGCGGCCTGCATTTGCCTCTCAGAGGTCTCATTTGTCTTTGAGGGTGTCCAGGACATTCCTCTTCCTCCAAGTCCTCTTTTGTGCAGAGCAGTCAGTGATTTTCAAGGACTGACATGATGAGATTTTGTGTTCAGAAGACAAGAGGAGCAAGGTGCACGTCTAGGGCCGCGTTCTGCTTTCTAAATGTTGGTCTTCTTGGAGAAGGGGCTGGTTCCAGGCCTAGGCAGAGAAAATACAAGATGAGCCTGCGGTACCTTGTAGGGCCTTGTGTGCTCATGGGAGGGCCGGGTGGGCTGGAGGGCACCAGGTCCATGCTGGAGGGCGCTGGGTCCACACTGCGGTGGACCCTGTGGCCAGTGCTGGGACTATTTGAGCAACAAAGTATATCCGGACAGTACAGGGTGATGGTCCTTGGAACGAATGAAACATCTACGAGTCCTTAAAGTATTAAATAGCACAAAGGTAATAATTCAATACATGTGCAAGTGTGGGCACTTCAGTACAAAATTCCACGTGATAAACATGGAAGGAGTGAGGAAGGAAAGCCACTGAGGAGCCCACAGCGACGTCTGCCACCGCCAGGACCCACCAGCGGATGCCAGAATTAGTGGGTGAGATTGAGGAGGAAAAGGATCTGGTCCCGCGGTGTCTCCTCCACAGTGTTTGTTGGTTATGAAGGAAAGAGAGTCGCTTGGCAGGGAGAAACCCAGCAGACCTCACAGCACCTGCGGGCGACCGCGGGCGTCAGCTGAGAGAAGCATCTCAGCCAGATGTGGGCACCAGCGCCCATCTGCAGTTCTGCAGAAGTGAATGACCTCAGTGTCACCCTGAGAACACTGGACCCAAGTTACTGCAGTTCCAAAAAATAACTGCCCCAAGAGATGTCATGATGGTGGAGTACAAGGAAAATGGGAGAAAAGTGAGGCATGGAGGGTGGATGGGGCAGGATCGGAGCCTGGTCGATGTGGGAGCCCGCTGTTGGATGACGGCTCAAACAGCCAGGGCTGGGGTGGGGCAGAAACCCAAGTTTTCACGGTTGAAACGGCCTCCCTGAGCCTCGCCAGGCCTGGGGCTTTCGTGTGGCAAAGCCCCGAGGGTCGGGCTCTCAGCCCAGGCAGTGGCCCCAGGGCCTGGGCTCCCGGTGGGAGGTGAGTCTGGGACCTGCCTAGGTGGTCTATGGGGAAGCTCCTCAGGAGGGTGTTGGGACATTGGCATGTGCACTGACAAACCGCACAACACACCTGGGTACAGATGGGAGCGCACAGAGAAGCCGCACAATGCACAACACACCAGGGTACAGATTGGAGTGCAATGACAAACCGCACAACACATGGGTCTGCATGGTTCTGGGAACCACCCCTCTCGAATCTGCTCGTGTGGCACCTGAGCAGGCGTGCAGGGGAATTGCAGAAATCCTAGAGGCTGAAGACCCAGAGGCCTTGGGGTTCTGTGGTCCCTGCACGCTGTGCCAGCAGATTGATTCCTGGCTTTCAGGTCGTGAGGCTGGGATCACGTAAATCTCTTCCGAGAGAAATGCCTGTGTTACAGAAGGCGGAGCTTGTGACTCCCAGGGTGGCCTCTGCCATGTCAGTTATCCCTGAGAAACCCCTGTCAGCTGTCACTCTGAATTTAAAGCCAGCTGACTTTACATTGTTCCCGCCTTCTACTTCCATTTTAGAATTTTTATAAAGATTCGAAATGTACTGTACACCTATATCAGATATTTTCATTTGAAACATGAAATTTAACAGTGTTGGTGGAAAACCACTGTTAATTAGGCTATAAATGTAATTTATTTCAGGCAGTGGATGGAATTCAGTGAAAATGCTCCCTACCTTTCTTTTTTTTTAAGGCACATTCTTATTATGTCGCTTTTAGCTCCGAAATCTGCCTCAGGAAGCCTTGAAAGACCGTGACCTGGGGCCAGACTCAGTGCGCTCCAATCCGTACCCTGGTGTGTTGTGCGGTTTCTCCGTGCACTCCGATCCATACCCTGGTGTGTTGTGCGGTTTGTCATTGCACTCCAATCTGTACCCTGGTGTGTTGTGCGTTGTGCGGTTTCTCCGTGCGCTCCGATCTGTACCCTGGTGTGTTGTGCAGTTTGTCAGTGCACTCCAATCTGTACCCTGGTGTGTTGTGCGGTTTCTCAGTGCGCTCTGATCCAAACGCTGATGTGTTGTGCCGTTTCTCAGTGCGCTCCGATCCTTACCCTGGCGTGTTCTGCCATTTTCTTTGGGATCAGCTGCCTTGTTTCAGAAAACTCTGTCATCTGATGCTTGCTTGGGCCCAGCGTCTCCTGGCGGTGGCTGTTTAGTCAGGGCCTGCCCTGGCCTGCCCCCGTCCCTGGGACTGTCTTGTGCCTGCCCAGCCTCAGGCGTTCTGCAGCATTGCCTGGCTCTGACCATGGCCTGGGATTTCTCCATAGCATTTTCCTGGCTCCAGACACTCGCAGGCAGCTGTGCCTGGGGAGGCGACTTCAGCCACATGTCCGCGTTGGCTGCCCCAGGCCCAGCAAGGCTTTAGCTCTGAGCGCCCCTGTCCTTGTTTGCAGAATTGGACGGCTGGTTATGGTTTTGTCTTAGAATTTGTTTTGGCTTATGAAGATGTTGGATAAAGTGCATCTTATCTGCCTACCATCTCCTCTGCTCATCACCAGCTTGGTCATCTGGCACAGGACATTTTCTTCTTTGACATTTGAAGGAAATGTGACCATTGGATTTTTATCTGAAGTCTTGGAACCTTCTTTTGAACATACCTGGGAGCACTGCAGCACATTTTTAAAAGCATTTCACAGACCACCTGTTGCTCCCTGAGAGCCAAGGTGTCTCCGCCGGGCAGGTATGCTTGAGGCAAGGCCTTTCTGTAGGGGTGGGACCCGCTCACCACAGCCAGCAGGAGCTTTTGAGGTATCCTGTGCTAGTGCACTTCTGCATCATATTCAAAATATAGCGTATGGGGACCCTCTCATTGCCAGGACCTGGTGAAGAGCCCGGGGTCTCAGGGATCACATCGTTTCAGTTCAGGTTTTCCACTTAACCAGAGGTCGTTTCCTCCCAGCAAAAGCAGGCTTTGTGCTCACTCTCTGGGAGCCGCGGAGGTGGAGAGTCTGAGTGAGCAGCCACCTTGTTCATGACCACACTGCACCTCACTCCCACTGAGCTCTGTGCTCAGGGTTTTCATGGTCCATCCACGGAGGGCACGGGGAGCTCTGGTGAGCGTTGCGTGGAAACCCACATAGTGTTCTTAACAGCGGGGCCTGTAGGAGGGTTATTTCTATCACGTGTTTGTCCCAGAGGCCAGAATTAGGAAGGATTTGTGCCTTCAGCTACAGTGTTCCCAGGTAGGGCCGTGGAGCCTCCCTGCCTCGCCTAGAAGCCACCCCCAGCGTCTCCTCTCAGGGGGCCTATGACAGATCCCTGCACGCCTCCAGTCAGGCCAAGTCCCTGCCTCCCTGTTCCTAAAGGCACCAGGCAGTTGTTTCAGGAGTGCTGATTTCCACTGTGCGACTTTTGGTTATTCCAAAGCAGCTGCCTGTTTATTAACCACACTTAAATCAGGGCAGAAATATTTATTCATTATGACCGTTTGTCCCACAGTTTAAACAACGTAAACTAAAACAAGCAAAGTAAAGAATCTCTGTTTAGTCGTTAAACCACGTCAGATGCACGGAATTCTCCCCATTCGCAGTTGTTGACACGTTCAGTTTAAGGGAGAGAGTGCAGACCGTGGGTTCCCAGAGGGCGCGGGGTGGTGCCTGCCCTGCCTCAGGGCCCGCCAGACCTGCTCCATTCACTCACCTGGCTCCAAGCACTGTGGGCCACTGACACCGTCCACCCAGGACCACAGCCCCCACTGACAGGGGTCATGGCCTGCATGTGCCTGAACCTCACAGGGAGGAACCGAGGGACCTGCAGCCAGAGGCAGCACCTGCCAGCAGTGCACAGCCTCCTGGATGCAGGGTGATGCCCTGGAGAGAGGGTCAGCTGATGGCAGGATGGTGGGGGGTCCTCGGGCCAGCCTCAAGGGTTCCTCTGCGGGCAGAGTCTGGGGGATCCTGGTGTGCAGTGCCCAGCGTGGGAGGACCAGGGACTTGGGTCTCCGTTGGTGCTTTCAGGATGTGTGTGTTTGTGTAGAGTAAAAGTCACGTGTGATTCAGATAAACTGCATAATTCATTCCTTTTCCTCCTTTTCTTTTAATCGGTTGTCTGTACAGTGTTTGTGGAGAAGGTGCTGCAGAGACTTTTTCCTCCTGTTCCAAGTGGCCAAGGAAAGAGGGAACCCCAGACGCTGGCCGTCCAAAATCCACCAAAGAAAGTGACCTCTGAGAAAGTGAGCCAGAAACATGCTGAGCCTTTGACAGGTGAGTTTGTCTGCAGATGTGGGTGGGTCTCAGAAACTGAAGTTAACCTCCGTCATCATCACTTGCCTTGGAGAATGTGTCTTTTGGGCCTCGGGCATCTGTCTGCAGGTCTGCAGAGGGCCTGCAGCAGGTGGGCAGGGCAGGCATCGCTCTCCACACAAGCTCTGCCAAGGCCCCTGTGGACTCCCCAGCCAAGGCCAGGTCAGGGTGCTGCCTTTTTGGGGTCATTTACTTGTGTGCTCTGAAGATGGCGATTGGACTGAAACTGGGGCTTGGGCCAGCCTTCCTGTCCTCTGAGGAAGACAGGCGCCTTCCCCACCATACACCATGCCCCCAGTCACTGTGGTGGCCCCCTTGGCCCCGTTGGCTTGTGCCCACTCAGGGACAGGCTTCTGAGGTTCTTGTCCCGTGGTCTTTGGCAGACGTCTGTCCCATGACAGCCCCATGTTAAGCTCTTGGTGGCTGCAGGATCATCTGCCATGAGAGTCCCATCAGCTCTGGTCCCTGCAGTGCAACTCCGCTCACCTGTGAGACTGTGAGAGGACCCCGCTGAGAGACACGGGAAGAGACCACCTGGGTGCAGCACATCCCACTGAGAGACACGGGAATAGACCACCTGTCTGCGGCACATCCTACTGAGAGACACGAGAAGAGACCACCTGGGTGGACCACATCCCACTGAGAGATGCGGGAAGAGGCCACCTGGGTGCAGCACATCCCACTGAGAGATGTGGGAAGAGACCACCTGGATGTAACACATCCCACTGAGAGACACGGGAATAGACCACCTGGGTGCGGCACATCCCACCGAGAGACACGGGAATAGACCACCTGGGTGTAAGACATCCCACCAAGAGACACGAGAATAGACCGGCTGTGCGCAGCACATCCAACTGAGAGACGTGGGAAGAGAACACCTGGGTGGAGTACATCCCACCGAGAGATGCAGGAAGAGGTCACCTCTGTGCAGCACATCCCACCGAGAGACACGGGAATAGACCACCTATGTACAGCACATCCTACTGAGAGACGTGGGATGAGAACATCTGGGTGCAGCACATCCCACCGAGAGATGCCGGAAGAGGCCGCCTGGGTGCAGCACATCCCACCGAGAGATGCCGGAAGAGGCCGCCTGGGTGCAGCACATCCCACCGAGAGATGCCGGAAGAGGCCGCCTGGGTGCAGCACATCCCACCGAGAGATGCCGGAAGAGGCCGCCTGGGTGCAGCACATCCCACCGAGAGATGCGGGAAGAGGCCGCCTGGGTGCAGCACATCCCACCGAGAGATGCCGGAAGAGGCCGCCTGGGTGCAGCACATCCCACCGAGAGATGCGGGAAGAGGCCGCCTGGGTGCAGCACATCCCACCGAGAGATGCCGGAAGAGGCCGCCTGGGTGCAGCACATCCCACCGAGAGATGCGGGAAGAGGCCGCCTGGGTGCAGCACATCCCACCGAGAGATGCGGGAAGAGGCCGCCTGGGTGCAGCACATCCCACCGAGAGATGCCGGAAGAGGCCGCCTGGGTGCAGCACATCCCACCGAGAGATGCCGGAAGAGGCCGCCTGGGTGCAGCACATCCCACCGAGAGATGCCGGAAGAGGCCGCCTGGGTGCAGCACATCCCACCGAGAGATGCCGGAAGAGGCCGCCTGGGTGCAGCACATCCCACCGAGAGATGCGGGAAGAGGCCGCCTGGGTGCAGCACATCCCACCGAGAGATGCGGGAAGAGGCCGCCTGGGTGCAGCACATCCCACCGAGAGATGCGGGAAGAGGCCGCCTGGGTGCAGCACATCCCACCGAGAGATGCGGGAAGAGGCCGCCTGGGTGCAGCACATCCCACCGAGAGATGCCGGAAGAGGCCGCCTGGGTGCAGCACATCCCACTGAGAGATGCCAGAAGAGGCCGCCTGGGTGCAGCACATGTGGGCGGGTCCATTCGGTTCCCCAGTAAACACATAAGTCTATGAAGCCAGACGTGGGTTCCTGGGTGCCATTTCTGGGGGTCTCGTTCGTGTTTGTATAGTGGTGGTCTCTCACTGGGCATTTGTTCTCCACGCATTTGTGTTCCTGAGAGCTGCGTGGTCTCTGGTTTTCACACACCTTATAATGGAGCTGCGCACCAGGATCTCAGCAGGCAGGTCCTCGTCATCCCACAAATCACCTTCCAGCCCCACAGGTCAGATCTCCATTGACTCTGAACACATCTTCCCACAGACGTAATATTCTGTGTGGTGATTCCATTTCCAGGCCGGCTCAGAAAGCCTGTCTAACCTGCGATGTGATGAGTGCCACAGACACCGTTCTGGTCAAGGATAGAAGACAAGTGAGAAGGAAAAAGTTCCCTTCACGTCTCCTAGATACGGGGTTACACTAAGCATGCTTTTCCCATGGGACAAATCCGTGTATTCCATGTTCTTTTCTACATTTTTCCCATATGGCTTAATGTTTTCAAATGGTACAAGCTCCCAGTGTAGTAGGATAACGTTCCAATTAAGGAGTAAATGACTGCTTTTGCACATACTTTTGCCATTTAAAGAATATACTTATTATAGGCTGAATTGCGCTCCCCGCCTCACAGCCGCCACCAGCAAATTTGTATGTTGAAGCCCTAACCCCCCATACTTCAGAATGTGACTGTGTTTGGAGATGGGGTCCTAAAGTTGATTAAGGGTCAATGAAGTCGTCAGGGTGCACCCTAATCCAGTATTACTGGTGTCCATATTAGAAGATGAGATCAGGACACACATACGTAGAGAGGCTTGACCCTGTGACAACTGAGAGAGAACGGCGTCTGCAAGCCAAGGTCCAAAGCCAGCCCTGCTGAGACTATGACCTTGGCCTTCCAGCCTTCCGGGCTGTGAGAGAACAAATGTCTGTTGTTGACTTCGCCCAGTCTGTGGGGCTTTGTAGTGGCAGCCCTAGAAAGCTAATGCACTGTCCATTGTGCCTGTTAGAAATTTTCTTGCTTTTTCAATCAGTATAACAAAGTTTTTAAAGAAAAAGCAGGTAATGAAAATCTGAAAGAAGCAACAAAAAAGACTTCTGGAACTAATAAAGGATTATAGTGGGGTTGTACGATACAAAGTTAATACACGGAAGTCAACTGCTTTCCTATATGTCAGCAAAGAACAAGTGGAATTTGAAATTAAAAACACCCAGCACTTTGGGAGGCCAAGGTGGGCGGATCACAGGGTCAGGAGATTGAGACCATCCTGGCTAACACAGTAGACAGTAGAAACCCCGTCTCTACTAAAAATACAAAAAATTAGCCAGTCATGGTGGTGCACACCTGTAGTCCCAGCTACTCGAGAGGCTGAGGCAGGAGAATCACTTGAACCCTGGAGGCAGAGGTTGCTGTGAGCCGAGATCATGTCACTGCACTCCAGCCTGGGCAACAGAGCAAGACTCCGTCTCAAAAACAAAACAAAACAAAACAAAACACGGTATCATTTATATTACCACCCCCCCATAATAAAATATTTTAGTGTAGATCTAACAAATGTGTACAACATCTATATGAAGAAGCTATAGAACTCTGATGAAAGAAATCAAAGAAGACTAAAAATTGAACAGATATTCCATGTTCATGGATAGGAAGACTCGATATTATAGAGATACTCATTCTTCCTAACTTGATATACACATTCAATACAATCCTGATTAATATCCCAGCAAGTTATTTTGTGGATATTGATAAACTGATTCTAAAGTTTAGATGGAGACGCAAAAGACTGAGAATAGCCAACAGAATATTAAAGGAGAAAAACAAAATAAAGGACTGGCATTACATGACTTCAAGAGTTACTTACCAGAAATCTACAGTAATCAAGACAGCGTATTTTTGGCAAAAGAGTAGACACATAGATTAATGGGACAGAATAGAGAGTACAGAAATAGACCCACATAAATACCACTGACTTATCTTTGATACAGGAGCAAACAAAGGCTATTCAGTGAATGATCTTTTCAACAAATGGGGCTGGCACAACTAGACATCCACATGCATAAAAATATAGACACAGACCTTAAACCTTTCACAAAAAAATCTTACTAAAAATGGATCTGGACTGGGCGCGGTGGATCACACCTATAATCCCAGCACTTTGGGAGGCCAAGATGGGCGGATCACGAGGTCAGGAGATCGACACCATCCTGGCTAACATGGTGAAACCCTGTCTCTAATAAAAATACAAAAAATCAGCTGGGCATGGTGGCGGGCGCCTGTAGTCCCAGCCACTCGGTAGGCTGAGGCAGAAGAATTGCTTGAACCCAGGAGCAGAGGTTGCAGTGAGCTGAGATGTTGCCACTGCAGTCCGGCCTGGGTGACAGAGCAAGACTCCATCTCAAAAAAAAAAAAAAAGATCTTACACCTGAGTGTAAAATGCAAAACTATAAACGGTTAGAAGATTACTTGGGAGGCAATCTAGGTGCCCTCGGGTTCAGCAGTGACTTTTTAGCTACAACACCAAAGGCTTGATCAATCAAAGAAAGAATTGATAAGTAGATGTCCAGTTGATAACCTGGACATCATTAAAATTAAAATCTTGTGCTCTGCGAATGACATTGTCAAGAGAATGAAGAGACAGGCCACAGACTTAGAGAAAATATTTTCAAAAGACATACCTGACAAAGGACTGTTACTCAAAATGTTTGAAGAATTCTTAAAACTTAATAAGAAAATGGGCCAAAGATGTGGACCTCACCAAGGAAAATATGTAGATGGCAAATAATCCTATGTAAAGATGTTTCACATCATATGTTATCAGGGAAATGCAAATTAAGACAATGAGACACCACCACATACCTACTAGAATGGACAAAATCCAGAACACTAACAACACCAAATGCTGGAGGAACAAGGACTCTCATCACTGCAGATGGGAATGCAAAACAGGGCAGCCACTTTGGAAGACAGTTTGGTAGTTTCTTACACAACTGAACATACTCTTACCTGTAGGATCCAGCAGTTATGCCCCTTGACATTTATCCAAATAGATGGAAAACGTCAATAAACCTGCACATGGATGTTTATAGCAGCTTTATTCATAACTGCCGAAACTTGGAAGCAACGAAGATGTCCTTCAGTAAGTGAATGAATAAGCAAATTGTGGTACATCCAGACAACGGAAAATTATTCAGGGCTAAAAAGAAATGAACTGTCAAGCCATGAAAAGACATGATGGGACCTTAAATGCTTATTAGTAAGTGAAAGAAACCGATCTGAAAAGGCTACACATTGCAATTCCAACTCTGTAACACTGTGGAAAAGCAAAACTGAGGAGACCCCAAAAAGATCAGTGACTGCCGAGGACTGGGAGGAGCAGGTGGAGCCCAGGGGCCTTGCAGGACGGTGAAACCGCCCCGTACGATGCCGAGGACTGGAAGGAGCAGGTGGAGCCCAGAGGACTTGCAGGACAGTGAAACCGCCCCGTACGATGCCAAGGACTGGGAGGAGCAGGTGGAGCCCAGAGGACTTGCAGGACGGTGAAACCGCC
Organism: Homo sapiens; assembly: GCF_000001405.40. Lineage (NCBI taxonomy): Eukaryota > Metazoa > Chordata > Mammalia > Primates > Hominidae > Homo > Homo sapiens. Next base: position 710,366 of record NC_000008.11, on the reverse strand, counting down.
CCGTACGATGCCGAGGACTGGGAGGAGCAGGTGGAGCCCAGAGGACTTGCAGGACGGTGAAACTGCCCTGTATGATGCCGAGGACTGGGAGGAGCAGGTGGAGCCCAGAGGATTTGCACGACGGTGAAACTGCCCTGTACGATGCTGTCATGGTGGGCGCATCTCATTCTGCGTTTGCTTCAACTCACAGGATGTACGAGAGTGAACCGCAATGTAAACTGCAGACCGGGGTGGCAACGTGTGTCAGCGTAGGTTTATTGATTATAAGAATGTACGGCTCTGACGGTGATGATAATGGGGAGCATGTGCACTGTTATGCCTTACAAGAAGCAGGCCATCCCTAACATTTCCTGTTTTTCTCTGAATTTTACTGAACCAACATTTTTAATCTTTTTTAAAATTGTATTTTTAAGGTCGATTTACTTTTTCTTTGTTCTAACCTACCTAAAGTTTTAACGGTGATTGTTTACCAGTAACATATCTGGTGGTAGGAAGATGAAATTAGGTGGGGCAGTTGAAGCTGTATGCATGGATGGATGATGGATCATTCCTAAGTGAAAAAATAATATCTGTAAATTCCAGGCCAGTTTCATTCTAGAAGATATATATTTTCTTGCCTAAAGTGATTGGCTTTTCACTTTTAAGTGGCTGGGTCCATTTGAGTCTGACAAAGCACTTGGCCTTTGAAGTTTTTGGTGATCCTTTGGGTGACGTCTTTTCACAAAGCTTCAGCATTCAGCCACTTCGTTTCAGTGGCATCTGTAAGATACTCTTTAATATGAAGATGTTGAATTAAAAGTCAAAATACTGATGTGAGTTGACCTAGTCTCAAAGGGTAAAAGATTATTTTTCCAGGGAGCAAATGAGAAGGTTGGGTGCACGAGCCTTTTGCTGAACAGTTGGAGCCGTGTCCAGGTGGAGGTGCCAATACAGAATCAGGATTGGTGGGCACACGGAGAAACAGGCTATGGCCCTTGAGGGCTGAACCCCCCAGGGTGAGGGTGCAGATGCTGCCCCTGCTTCGGTTCCCTCGGTGACATGGTCTCACATGTGATTTCTGAGGGTTCAGACTCTGGTCTGTCAAGTCTGATGCCCTTGGGTCAGTTGCTTGGACAATTTAGACCCTTCAATTACAAGCAACCAAAACCACTTGGCCCTGGCTTAAAAGGGAATTTGTGATGATCAGGTCGTGTCACAAGGGCAGAGATAGATAAGGCTGCACCCCAGAAAGGTAACCTCAAATTTACCATTTCAAATCAACCAATTCAAAGTATACAATTTACTGCTTTTTAGTATATTGACACTGTTGTACAACCATTCCATTACCACCATCTAATTCCAGAATATTCTTACCACACCAAAAAGAAACACTTGGCCGGGCAAAGTGGCTCACCCTGTTATCACAGCACTTTGGGAGGCTGAGGTGGGTGGATCACTTGAGCTTAGGAGTTGGAGACCAGCCTGGGCAACATGGCGAGTCACCCATCTCTAGCAAAAAGTACAAAAATTAGCCAGGTATGATGATGTACACCTATATCGCAGCTACTCAAGAGGCTGAGGTGGGAGGGTCACTTGAGCCTGAGAAGACAAGACTTCAGTGAGCCAAGACTGTGCCACTGCACTCCAGCCTAGACAATGCAGTGAGACCCTGTCTCAAAAAAAAAAAAAAAAAAAAAAAAAAAAAACTCATTATCCCGTAACCACTCAGCCCCCATTCCCCACTCCCTCTAGCCTCTGGAAACCACTAATCTGTTTTCTTTATAGATTTGTCTGTTCTGGACATGTCATATAAATGGAATCATGCAACATATGACCCTTTGTGTCTGGGTTTTTTCATGTAGCATAATTTTTTAAAGGTTCATTCATGTTGTAGCATGGGTCAGAACTAACTTTCTTTTTTAAGGCTGAATAATATTCCACTGTATGAATAGACCACATTTTGTTTCTCCATTCATCAGTTGATGAATGTTTGGTTGTTTCTCCTTTTTAGCTATTGTCAGTAACATTGCTATGAGAATCCATGCACATGTTCTTGTGTGGCCTGGTGTGGACGTATGTTTTCGATTCTCTTGAGTTTATACTTAGGAGTGGAAATGCAGGGTCAAATGGTAACTCCATGTTTAACTTTTTCAGAAACTGCCGGACTCTTGTCCACAGCAGCTGAACCATATTACATGTCCACCAGCATTGTACAAAGGTTCTAGTTTCTCTACATGCTCACTAACACTTATTTTCTATTTTTTTTTTTAGATAATAGCCACCCTAGGAGGTGTGAAGTGGTATCTCATTGTGGTTTTCCATTTTTCTGATGACTGAGAATGTTGAGCATCTTTCCCTGCGTGTTGTCCATTTGTGTATCTTCTTTAGAGAAATATCTGCTTACGTCCTTTGCCCAGTTTTAATTGGATTGTCTTTCTGTTGCTGAGTTGTCGGAATTGGTTGTACATCCTCCATACTGAGTCCTCATCAGATACCTGATTTGCGAATATTTTCTTCCATACCATGAGTTATCTTTTCACTTTCTTAATGGTATCCTTTAAAGCCCCAAAGTTTTTAATTTTGATAAAGTCCAATTTATCTATTTTTTCTTTTGTTGCCTGTGTTTTTTATATCATATTTAAGACATCATTGCCTAATCAAAGGCCACAAAGATTTATGCCTAGGTTTTCTTCTAAGAGTTTTATAGTTTTAGCACTTATGTGTAGGTCCTTGATCCGTTTTCAGCTGATGTTGTGTATGGTGTGAGGTAGAGTTCCAACTTCATTCCTTTGCATGTGGATATCCAATTGTCTTAACACCAGTTGTGGAAGACATCATTTCCCCATCAAGTGGACTTAGCACTCATTGAAAATCAGTTGGCAGCCAGGTGCGGTGGCTCACACCTGTAGTCCCAGCACTTTGGAGGCTGAGGTGGATGGATCACTTGAGGTCAGGAGTTCGAGACCAGCCTGGCCAACGTGGTGAAACCCCATCTCTACTAAAAATACAAAAATTATTCAGGCATGGTGGCAGGTACCTGTAGTCCCAGCTACCTGGGAGGCTGACGCAGTAGAGTCGCTTGAACCCGGGAGGCAGAGGTTGCAGTGAGCCAAGATCGCATCATTGCACTCCAGCCTGGGTGATAGAGTGATACTCTGTCTAAAAAAAAAAAAAAAAAAGAAACAAAAAAAATCAGTTGGCCACAGATGTGGGGTTTATTTCTGGACTCTCAATTCTATTCCATTGATGTATGTCCATCCCATGTCTGTACCATCCACCATCTTGTTTTGATTGCTGTAGCTGTGTACTAAGTTTTGAATTGAGAAGTGTGGGTCCCTCAACTTTGTTCTTTTTCAAGACTCAGGGTCTCTTGCAATTCCATATTAATGTTAGGATCAGCATGTCAATTTCTGCAAAAAAAAATCATTTGAAATTTTGATGGGTATTGCATGAGTTTGTAGAACACTGGGCAGTATTGTCTTCTTAACACTATTACATTGTCCAGTCCCTAGCTTTAGGATGTCTTTTTGTTTATTTAAGTTCTTTTTAATTTCTTTCAACCATCTTTTGTAGTTTTCAGAGTGCAGTTTTATCTTTTTGTTGTTGTTGTTGTTTTTGAGATGGAGTTTCACTCTTGTTGCCCAGGCTAGAGTACAATGGCATGATCTTGGCTCACCACAACCTCCGCCTCCTGGGTTTAAGCAGTTCTCCAGCCTGAGTAGCTGGGATTACATGCGTGTGCCACCACGTCCGACTAATTTTTTTTGTATTTTTTTAGTAGAGATGGGGTTTCTCCATGTTCGTCAGGCTGGTCTCGAACTCCCGACCTCAGGTGATCCGCCCACCTCAGCCTTCCAAAGTGCTGGGATTACAGGCGTGAGCCACTGCGCCTGGCCTTATCTTTTTTTATATTTTTCCTTCCAGTACTTACAGGACGTAGAAAAGTTTTACCGTTTTTTAAAAAGTGTATTCCAAAGTATTTTATTCTTTTTGGTGCTATTGTAAGTGGAATTGCTTTCTTTTTTGTTTGTTTTCTTTTGGGAATGTTCAGTGTTTGTCTGTGAAAATGCAAGGGATTTTGTGTATTGACCTTGTATCCTGCGGTTTTGCCTAACTAGTTTATTAGCTCTTACATTTTTGTTGTGGATTTCTTAGATTTTCTATGTACAGTCACACATCACTTAACAACGGTAATACATTCCAAAGGAGTCCATTGCTGTGTGAGCAAAGTGCGCTTACACACACTAGACAGTGGATCCAGCTGCAGGCCTGGGCTGTGTGGCACAGCCTGTTGCTCCCAGGCTGCTCGCCCAATCAGTACATGCCTGTGCTGAAGACAGTGGCAACTGTAACACCATGGTGAGTGTTCATGCATCCAAACATTAAGAAGGTGCGGTGAAAATACAGCGTTATCATCTTCAGGGTCCGCCGTCCTATATGCAGCCAGCCTTTCAGCATCCAAACATTAAAAACGTACGGTGAAAGTGCAGTGTTACCATCTTCAGGGTCCGCATTATCTTAAGGCTCCACCGTCCCCCATGCGGCCAGCCTTTCACCAGTGTCTTTTGTGGTACATCACTGTGCAAGATGCTGTCATCTGTGATTTCGGGTAGTTTTACTTTTTCCTTTGTGAGTAAAGATAGTTGTACTTTCCCTGTCCAGTCTGGATGCCCTTTGCTTCCTTTTGTTGTTGTTGTTGTTGACTAATTGCCCTGGCTAGAAGTTCTAATACGATGTTGACAAAAAGTGCCGTGAGTGGGAATCCTGGTCTCATTCCTGATCTTGAGGAGAAAGCATCCCTGTTTTCACCATCCTGTATGATGTTAGCTGTGGGTTTCATACGTGGCCTTTATCATGTTGAAGAAGTTCCCTTCTATGCCCAGTTTATTGATTTTTTTTTAATCATGAACAACATATTTTTGAAGTGCTGTGCCTTGGAAATGTTAAAGGAAAAATGTTATAATTTACTTGCATCTGGAAAAAGAGAAGTCTTGGCCGGGGGTAAAATGATGAAATCACAATAAAAAACGTAAGAACCGTGGGTCACTTCTGCACGGGCCATCGCGCAGTGTCCGTTGAGATGCACGTCCAGGAGGAGTCCTGCTGGATATCAGGGCTGGGCCGAGTGGCGCTCTGTGAGGGACAGGAGGCAGCCGGATGAGGAACAGTGCCCACATCCGTCCTTGGACATGAGACGGAGGAAAATGTTCTTGTACGGTTAGGTCAAAGCATGGTAATTATGGCAATGATTTAGCCAATTGATTGATATTTGTTCACTTCACACGATCTGTTTCTTTGGTTCTAGAAGAGTGTTGATAATTCCATTTGTCCCAAAGATAAGACTGATTTGTCAACAACCAAAATAACTGGTGTATGTGCATTTTGGTAAACTTTTTTCACTGAAGAGCCCATATTGAACTTTTTTTTAAATTTGTCAGTTATGTGTTGCATATATTTTAGATTCAAATAATTCTCAGGAATTATTATTAAAAACAGCAATGTTCTGCCCATCACTCCAGTCACACACCCTCCAGCTCTGCAGTGGCTGCTCCTGGGTAAAACCACCCCCCCTTTCAGAGTCACGCACTTACACTGTTGCTTCCTGTTTTCTTCTTCTTTTTCTTTCTTTTTTGGCAGGGAGGGAAGGGATTAAATCTTATGTATTGACTTTGGAAACTAAGGATTTTGGTTTTTTTTAGCAGCTTCCCCCACCATGGATGCACATTTTTTACAACCCCCGTCCTTCCAATATGATTTTTTCAAAATGTTTGTACATCAGTATTGTTTACATGTTTATGTCTCCGTAAACACCGTTTCTTGCTGAGTCACATAACACACGATTATTCCGTTTTGTGAAACCTTTAGTGGAGTGAGCAGAGCTTTAGTAGAGTTAATAGTTTTCTTGGATTTTTACATTTTCTTCTAAATACTTAATAGTACTAATTTCTCCCCTCACCTCCCTGTCCTTGTTCTATGGTCAGACACATTCAGGGTCAATGAGCTTCATCTTCCGTGGCCTCTTCCAGACTGTTCCACCCCCAGCATGGGCCGCCCCCAAGTCCTTGCCGTAACTCCCGGTCTCACCTCTCCCGGGGGCTTCCTTTGCTGTCCTGGGCCTCAGTCTTTTCATTTCTTGGGTTTGCTTCCATTTTGTTGAAATGCGTTCGTTAGTAACTTCCTGAAAAATGGTTTTTGGGAGATAAATATTTTAGAGATCTTGAAGGTCAAGTATACCTTAATTCTTGTACTTAAAAGTTTTTCGGGGTGTAGGATTCTGGGCTAATAACTGTCTTTCACACTGGAAGTCTTTAACATCCAGTGTCGCTGTGAGAAGGCAGTTGCCATCATTCTCGATTCCTGTGGCTATGAGCAGTTTTCCTCCCTTAGGACAGTTTGAGGTTCTGCTTCTGGCCTTCATGTGGGTGCAGCCTGATGCTGAGGTCTTGAGCATGGTCTGTTTTCATCTGTCGTGGCCTCCGTAGTCTGGGAACATGTGCCACTCTCTTGTTTCCTTGATCGTTTCCTCCTCTTTGCTTTCAATCTTCGGTTTACAGAATTCCTGTCATTCAGACATTGAGTCTCCCAATAGATCCCCTTTTTCTTACATCTTCTCCCGGATTTTTTATGGTTTAGTGATTTGAGACCACTTTCTGGGAGATTTTCTCAAATTTCATCTTCCACCCTTCCGGCTGCACCCTTCGTTTTTGTCACTGCGTCTCAGAGTTGGAGCGGGAAGGAGGAGAAGAAGGGTCTCTCACACTCTCTATGGACAGGCTCTCCCTCCCTGTTTATCTTATGGAGTCTTTGCCTTCAGTTATGGTGCCTGGGGCTCCTGGGAGCCAGGCCTGGCCTTTGCAGAGAGTGAGTCCCGGTCTCCCACGGGTGGTGGGGAGGCTTCCACAGCCTGCCTGCCCCCCTTTTTCTCCCCACTTCCAGGCTCCTTGGCGGCCCCTCTGGAGCAGATCTCGTGTCTGCTGTGTCTCGGCTGCCATTCTAGGATTCAGCATCCCGTCTACTTTTCACTTTCCAACACTGTATTTTTTTCATCTGTCCTTCATTTGTCCTCTGTGTGTTGCAAACCCACTTATTCTCATTTTGGTGGGGCCTTAGGAGGAGGATGGGGTGTGTGCACTTGGTCTGTCCTGCACCTTCATCTGTATCTTACTGACGTGCCATTAACAGATAGGATGGGTTCATTTCTGTGCATTTGGCTGTGCTGAACTGCATTTCCCACAGTTCCCTCCCCGAATGCTCCTGGTTACAGGGGGACACGAGAGGCCCTTCTGCCTGAAATTCGGAAGGTGGACGTAAGCCCTTTTAGTTTCCAGCTCCTGGAGGTGAAAGCTCACGCAGCTCATGTGCATTGTTGCAGACTTGCTGCCTGCCTGGGTGGTGTGGGCAGTTCTGGGCCTCCGGCTCTCTGCAGCTTCTTGGGCCCTCCTTCAGCTAACCCCAGGCGTGCGGGGTACCTGTCCTGGGTAGGACACCCACTGCTACCCTCAGCAGCAAGGACGGAGACAGGCTTCCATCTGGTTCCCGGGGCATCCAGCTCTCGCTCCTGCCTTCTGGCTTCCGCCCTGCCCCTCTGCGTCCATCACCAAGGCTGTGCTGGCCGAAAGGGTCCACTTTGGCGGGTCTTGGCAGTTAGCTGAGGGCACCAGTGTCGCTCCCACACAACATGCAAACCCTCCTGCCGAGCTGCGACCTTCGCCTGTCACGGAACCTGGTGCTGAGTGTGGTGAGAGTGAATCCTGCAGCACGTGGCGCACTGTCGGCCTCTTTCATGTTTAGCTTTTGATTGTGCTTATTGTCCATTTGTATTTCTTCTTCTAAGTGTCTGTTCAAGACTTTTCCGTCTTGGCTGGAGGTGGGAGGTGCCTGCTCCTGTGTTTTCTGGCATCTTTCTCTGCTGTCTTTGTGTGTCTGCACTCAGGGAGTTTCCCTGGGGTGTGTGCCTAGAGAGGTGCTGGTTGTACATTTCAACGTAGGGACAGATTCCCAGCGTGTCTTTAAAGGAGCTGTGCCGCTGTGTGCTCACTTGACTCGCCGGCGTTCTTGTTTCTCCAGGCCCCGGTTAATACAGAGTGTTTGCAGTCTCGCTAATTGAGTGTGAGGTTTCTGTTTCTTATTCAATGCACGCTACCAAGCTAACAAAACTGGACAGCCTTTCACGCCTCCTGGCCATCTGCCTTTGCCCGTGTTTCTGCGGAGCTTGTCTTACCAATTTCCGGGGTTCTTTAGATGCTTCAAAGCCCAGCAAACACCTTCTCTCAGTGGATTGCCTTTCCTTTTTTTTTTTTTTTTTTTTTTTGAGATGTAGTCCCGCTCTGTCACCGAGGCTGGAGTGCAGTGGTGCAATCTTGGCTCACTGCAAGCTCCGCCTCCCAGGTTCAAGCGATTCTCATGCCTCAGCCTCCCGAGTAGCGCCCGCCACCATGCCTGGCTAATTTTTGTATTTTTAGTAGAGACGAGGTTTCACCATGTTGGTCAGGCTGGTCTTGAACTCCTGACCTCTTGATCTGCTTGCCTCAGCCTCCCAAAGTGCTGGGATTACATGCGTGAGCAACCGCGCCTGGCTGCCTTTTCATTTTTAAAAACGTCAGTGTCTTCCATTGTTTAGAAGTTGATATAATGTGACATCATCTTTAATTTCATAGTTTTTGTGTTTTGTTTAAGAAATCTTTATCTAAAATCTACCTCAATAACAAAGATATTTTACGCTTTTTTGCAAAAAAATACACGTATCATAGACAGTGTTTGCTCTTGCAGTTGTTGTCTGGTGTGAGGTGGTGGTCCGACTCTGTTGCTCACCTGACGCTGCAGTTTCCTCAGCCCTCTGTCCTGGGCCATTCCCTGTGGCAGCGGCTCTGTCCTGGGCCTGCGTCTGTGGCTCAGCCTCCCAGCTGCTCTGGGGTACAGCATGCTCCCATCCTACGGCGTGTTCCCATCCAGCAGGGCACACCCGTGGGTAAGGCGTGCTCCCGTCCGGCGGGGCAGACCCGTAGGTATGGCGTGCTCCCGTCCAGCAGGGTAGACCCGTGGGTACGGCGTGCTCCCGTCCAGCAGGGCAGACCCGTAGGTATGGCGTGCTCCCGTCCGGCGGGGCAGACCCGTGGGTACGGCGTGCTCCCGTCCAGCAGGGTAGACCCGTGGGTACGGCGTGCTCCCGTCCAGCAGGGTAGACCCGTGGGTACGGTGTGCTCCCGTCTGGCGGGGCAGACCCGTCCACCTGGTTCTTCTCCAGCCCTTGCTCTGTTCTTCTTGGCCCTTGGCCATGTGTGTTTAAAATCAGGTCAAGTTGCAGCAAAAAAAATCTTGAAAATGTGTTTGCATTTGTGTCACTGGTGGATGATTTGGGGACAATTCACATTGTCCGTGATGCTGCACGCAGCGTGGTTGGCACCTGCACTTCCTCTCGGCTGCTTTTCCTCTGTCATTTTTGGGCCAGATTGCCCTTGTCTTGAGAGCTGGGCTGTGCATTGAAGGTAGGTTTGCTGTGTTTTATCTGGCATTGTTAAGTATTTTTCAGGAGAGTTTTTCCTCTTATCTGCCATCTGGAAGCCTCTGATAAAGGAATATTTTCCCAAGACTCTGAATAGCTGATTAAGAGTCTGTGAAAGACAGCAAACCACATTTGCATGGAGGAGGCCATCCGATGGGGCAGGACCTCCCACCGCTGAGCACCTTTTCCGAGCAGCCACAAGGCAGTGGGACATTTTACTGCACATAAAACAGCTGTGATAAGTTGTAGCTTGGAAGCTGGATAGTGAGGACTGACTGGAGCTGTCAGGCGTGTGCATGTGTGCGGGTCTGTGCGCCTGTGCGGGCCTGTGCGCGTGTGCGGGCCTGTGCGCCTGTGCGGGCCTGTGCGCCTGTGCGGGCCTGTGCGCGTGTGCGGGCCTGTGCGCCTGTGCGGGTCTGTGCGCCTGTGCGGGTCTGTGGCCTGTGAGGGCCTGTGCGCGTCTGCGGGCCTGTGCGCCTGTGCGGGCCTGTGCGCGTGTGCGGGCCTGTGCGCCTGTGCGGGCCTGTGCGCGTGTGCGGATCTGTGCGCGTGTGCGGGCCTGTGCGCGTGTGCGGGTCTGTGCGCGTGTCCGGGCCTGTGCGGGTCTGTGCGCCTGTGCGGGCCTGTGCGCGTGTGCGGGCCTGTGCGGGCCTGTGCGCGTGTGCGGGTGTGTGCGCCTGTGCCGGCCTGTGCGCGTGTGCGGGCCTGTGCGGGCCTGTGCGCGTGTGCGGGTCTGTGCGCCTGTGCGGGTCTGTGCGCCTGTGAGGGTGTGTGCGCGTGTGCGGGTCTGTGCGCGTGTGCGGGTCTGTGCGCCTGTGAGGGCCTGTGCGCGTGTGCGGGCCTGTGCGCCTGTGAGGGTCTGTGCGCGTGTGCGGGTCTGTGCGCCTGTGAGGGTCTGTGCGCGTGTGCGGGTCTGTGCGCGTGTGCGGGCCTGTGCGCGTGTGCGGGTCTGTGCGCCTGTGCGGGCCTGTGCGCCTGTGCGGGTCTGTGCGCGTGTGCGGATCTGTGCGCCTGTGAGGGTCTGTGCGCGTGTGCGGGTCTGTGCGCCTGTGCGGGTCTGTGCGCTTGTGCGGATCTGTGCGCGTGTGCGGGTCTGTGCGCGTGTGCGGGTCTGTGCGGCTGTGTGAGTGTGCACGTGTGCGTGTCTGTGCGCCTGTGAGTCTGTGCACGTGTGCGGGTCTGTGCGCCTGTGTGAGTCTGTGCACGTGTGCGGGTCTGTACGTGCTCCTGTGTGTGCTTTCACGCGCGTGTTGAGATCTTGGATGCTGGAGCTTGTTTAAATATGATGAAAATAGGAGGGAAATGAAGCCGTCCTCCTTCTCTGGAACGCCTGCTTTTGTGAGTCGCCGTCACCCTGAGGGGTGGGGAGGGTCTGGGTGCGGCGCCCAGCGGAGATACCAGGCAGCATTGTTGTGCTCGTGCTTGTCCTTGGATTTTACACTGATTTCACTTGAAGTTGCTGTGATTGTGGCCTCGCATTGATACAGATCTAATTACTTGAAATGTCGTGGTACCAGGAGAGAAGAAGGCCGCTGGGACAGCAATCGGGGGTGGCGTCCACTCTTCTGTCCAGCCCTCTGGTGGGGCTGGCGCTCCCCCCGGTAGCATTTTGCCAGTTATCCATGCAGGTGGGAAATACCTTTTTCTTTCGTTCCTGATGATAACCAGCCTTACACATCTCGTATCAGGGTAACTGTGACCATATTGTAGAATGGAGCCAAATGCACGGGGAGTTTCTGAGCTGATATTTAGTGGGTTTGGGGGGTTTTTTGAGACAGGGTTTCCCTGTGTTGCGCAGGCCGTAGTGCGGTGCTCTTTTCAGGCATGGTCCTGGCACCCACGGCCCTGAGCTCCTGGGCTCCACTGAGCCTCCCGCCACAGCTGAGCCGAGACTTTGGAGCACGCACAGCAGTTGTGCTTGGCACTTGCAGTTCCCCTGCAGGATGATCCTGGAGAGCCTCCCTGGTTAAAAAAAAAAAAAAAAAACTCACAGAGACAACCATAGGATGCTACTTCGTGGCATCCTACCTGAGGAGGACGGAGGTGCACCGTGAGCCCTGGTTTTGCCTCCAGCACTTTTTCCAGCAAAATGGACAAAAGACTTTTCAGGCCAAACACAGTGACTCACGCCTGTAATCCTAGCACTTTAGGAGGCCAAGGAGGGAGGATTGCTTGAGCCCAGGAGCTCTAGACAGTGAGCCATGATCGCATCATTGCATTCTAACCTGTGCAACAGAGTGAGACCCTGTCTCTAAAAGAATTTTTTAAAAATGTTTTTCAGAAGTGTGTAATTTTTCAATGACCACCTTGTCATTGAGAATTGAGGAAAATGAATACTCATAAATTGCTGGCAGGAATGTAATTCAGGGCCGGGCACGGTGGCTCTCACCTGTAATCCCAGCACTTTAGGAGGCCGAGGCAGGAGGATCACTTGAGGTCAGGAGTTCAAGACGACCTTGGGTAACATGGTGAAACCCTGTCTCTACTAAAAGTACAAAAATTATCTGGGCGTGGTGGTGCACACCTGTAGTCCCAGGTACTCGGGAGACTGAGGAATGAGAGTCGCTGGAACCTGGGAGGCAGAAGTTGCAGTGAGCGGAGATCGAGCCGCTGCACTCCAGCCTGGGTGACAGAGTGAGACTCCACCTCAAAAAAAAAAAAAGAAAAGGAATATGATTTAGGATGGCCTTTCTGGAGGGTAGTTTACAGGATGCATTAAAATACTAAAGCGTTCTGTCTTTGGCTGTATGTTAAATTGACTCAGATCCACAACCCCTGCACGGGGGCAGGCGGCGGGCGCAGAGCGCATGCCTCCACCTCCTCCTCTCTACACCCACCCCCGGGTCCGAGGGCTCCATGTCACAGGTACACGCCGGTGGCCCCCGTGAGCTCTCCAACCTGGGCCCAGCCCCAGACGCAGGGATTTGTGTCCCTTGCAGCCCATCAGGCAGCTGCCTCATTCCCCACAACAAAGCTCCTGGTCCCTACACTCCTCGTCTCAGGGATGGCCTCTCCCAGGGGCTCAAGCCCAGGTCACCCCACACCTATCACGCACTCTGCTGTGTCTCTCAGACCCACGTGCTGCTGCTGCTGCATGTCCCGAATCTGCTCAGGGAAAACCTGCTGTGCTGACAGCTGAAGTCCCTCCCCTCTTGAGAGGGGCGCCTGTGTGGGTGGCTGAGGGGGCGGGGGCGGGGGCTGTGTGGTTCCACAAGGACTGTGCGGGGTGGGCAGAGGCAGGGAGACCAAAATGGCGAAGAGCTGGTAGAACCTGCCCTGACCCCTCACCCACCCTCAGGCCTCCAGCTCCGTGCCAGGTGAGGGGACGATTTGACAGGGAGGCAGGAGGAGGGGTCGCCTGGGGCTGGGGACCTGCAGGCCTGTCACTGGGAGTCTGAGCCAAGCTTCTTTCTGGGCACCCTGGCAGCACCCCTGAGGTGTGGGCATGCAGCAGGATGACGGAGTTGCATCGTGGGCCCTGGTTTTGCCTCCAGCACTTTTTCCTGCCGATTCAGTTGCTCGTGGGGTCGGCGTTGCACCGGCTTCTCCATCGCTGTTCAGAGAAGAGACAAGCCCAAGCCTGTGCCTGCGCTGGCAGGAGGCTGGAGAGTGAGTGGTGTCCGCCTTGTCCCCTGGGGCCATTTGCAGCTGTCAGGATGGACGGGAGCCTCAGCACCAAGACAGGCCATGGGTGAAAAGCAAGAGGCCACGAGAGTTCGCTGCTGGATTCATTTCAAAGACAGAGGAAAGAAGAATATGTGTCCATCTGTGTATATACAGAGAGCCCTGCTAGCACGTGCAGCAAGTGGTAAGGCCAGCTGCCTCCTGGGAGGGAAGTCACCCTGAGGACAGGAGATCCCCACCGAGGGCTCCAAAAGGAAGGAGCGGAGTGGAGGGTAAGAGGAGCAAGCACAGGTGCAGGCTGATGGGGAGGAAGGAGTGGAGGGTGAGAGAAGCGAGTACAGGCTGATGGGGAGGAAGGAGAGGGAGGGTGTGAGGAGCGCGCACAGGCTGATGGGGAGGAAGGAGAGGGAGAGAGGGTGAGAGGAGCGAGCGCAGGCTGATGGGGAGGAAGGAGAGGAGTGGAGGGTGAGAGGAGCGAGCGCAGGCTGATGGGGAGGAAGGAGAGGAGTGGAGGGTGAGAGGAGCGAGCGCAGGCTGATGGGGAGGAAGGAGAGGAGTGGAGAAGGAGAAGAGTGGAGGGTGAGGAGCGAGCGCAGGCTGATGGGGAGGAAGGAGAGGAGTGGAGGGTGAGAGGAGCGAGCGCAGGCTGATGGGGAGGAAGGAGTGGAGGGTAAGAGGAGCGAGTACAGGCTGATGGGGAGGAAGGAGAGGGAGGGTGTGAGGAGCGCGCACAGGCTGATGGGGAGGAAGGAGAGGGAGAGAGGGTGAGAGGAGCGAGCGCAGGCTGATGGGGAGGAAGGAGAGGAGTGGAGGGTGAGAGGAGCGAGTGCAGGCTGATGGGGAGGAAGGAGAGGAGTGGAGAAGGAGAAGAGTGGAGGGTGAGGAGCGAGCGCAGGCTGATGGGGAGGAAGGAGAGGAGTGGAGGGTGAGAGGAGCGAGCGCAGGCTGATGGGGAGGAAGGAGAGGAGTGAAGGGTGAGAGGAGCGAGCGCAGGCTGATGGGGAGGAAGGAGAGGAGTGGAGGGTGAGAGGAGCCAGCACAGGCGCAGGCTGATGGGGAGGAAGGAGAGGAGTGGAGGGTGAGAGGAGCGAGTGCAGGCTGATGGGGAGGAAGGAGAGGAGTGGAGGGTGAGAGGAGCCAGCACAGGTGCAGGCTGATGGGGAGGAGGGAGAGGAAGGGAGGGTGAGAGGAGCCAGCACAGGCGCAGGTTGATGGGGAGGAAGGAGAGGAGTGGAGGGTGAGAGGAGCCAGCACAGGCGCAGGCTGATGGGGAGGAAGGAGAGGAGTGGAGGGTGAGAGGAGCGAGTGCAGGCTGATGGGGAGGAAGGAGAGGAGTGGAGGGTGAGAGGAGCGAGTGCAGGCTGATGGGGAGGAAGGAGAGGAGTGGAGGGTGAGAGGAGCGAGCACAGGTGCAGGCTGATGGGGAGGGAGGAGAGGAAGGGAGGGTGAGAGGAGCCAGCACAGGTGCAGGTTGATGGGGAGGAAGGAGAGGAGTGGAGGGTGAGAGGAGCCAGCACAGGCGCAGGCTGATGGGGAGGAAGTAGAGGAGTGGAGGGCGAGAGGAGCAAGCACAGGTGCAGGCTGATGGGGAGGAAGGAGAGGAGTGGAGGGCGAGAGGAGCAAGCACAGGTGCAGGCTGATGGGGAGGAAGGAGAGGAGTGGAGGGCGAGAGGAGCCAGCACAGGCGCAGGCTGATGGGGAGGAAGGAGAGGAGTGGAGGGCGAGAGGAGCAAGCACAGGTGCAGGCTGATGGGGAGGAAGGAGAGGAGAGGGAGGGAGGCGGGAGCTGCTGTGCTCTCTCAGAGGCAGGGATGGCTGGCCTCTGCCAGGTGAGCGGCGTAAGGATCTGTGTCAGATGCAGGTTTTGCTCACAGCCGTCATGGTGTGCAGGTACCTGTGGCAGTCTTCTCTGATTTCTTTATTTTCCTGGTGAAGCAAGGGCAAGGGCTGTGGGGAGAGGGAGGCGGAGCTTTGAAAGATGGTGGGAGAGCCAGGAGGGAACGGATGAGGGTCCCTTCCGCACAGGGCTGGGTGGTACCCAGTGCTCACCTGAAGTGGGCCAGGGGCTGGCTGTGAGCCCCTCCATAGCTGTCGGCTGCCAGGAGCAGCCCAGAGGAGCTGAGGGGAACCTGACGGGGAGAAAGGAGCCAGGTCAATGACACCTGCGAAGAGGTGACACTGGTGAAACCCACAGGGCAGCCAACCGCCTATCACCCTAGGGCTCCGAGCCACCACGCCCCTCTGCCTTTCCCGAGGGATGCTGGTGCTTGTGACTTGTCCAGCAGGGAGGTGGGTTTCTGACTGCCCCTCTCTGACCCTGACTCTTAGATGCCAGGTCCAGGGCAGCTGTGCTCACAGACGCTGCATTCTCTGTGCGTCCGGCGGAGGAGATGATGGGACGGGGAACTCTCGCTGCCGCCCACCCCATAAAGTGTAACCGGTCTCTTCCTTGCACCTGATCAAGACATGTAACGTTCAACTTGTGCAAGGCGTAAGTGTCCTCACAGTAAACCATACATTACCCAAAAGAATATAAAAAGTTAGAACCAGAAGGTATTATGGGTTACATGGTCACCGTGATTCACAGACGAGCAAGCCGTGAGGCCCCTCGTGGTGCTCCTGTCTGCGTGGTGCCTGTGACTGTCGCAGGAGGTGCCACTTGCGGCTTAGAAGTGCAGCCCTGGCCCGCGGTCACCCCACAGACCGGAACTGTCTCCCTGGCGCGGTGCGTTTTGGACCCGTCCTCTTAGCTGCATCCTTGTTTGCTCTGCATGAGTCATTGAGTGTTCCCTGATCCCTCCCGTGTCCATCCTAATGATTAAGTGAACAATGACATTTCTAAGTTCTGTTTAACTTTCTTACTAAGAAAGATTTAGCTGATTAAAAGCTTCCAAAAATATTCTGTGAAAAATGATCAAATGTTGATTTACCCAGTAGGGGACAGTGTACTTAGAAGCCATCTCCATCTGCCCTTGGCTCCGGCAGGGAATGACATAGTAATTAATCAGCTGCGGTGAATCAGATTAGTTTAAGAACTAGGATTCCGGCACCCTACCCTCGAGAGAGCAAAGTGTGTTGACTACAGTGGAACCTGAAAAGGCTTCAAGGTTTTTACAGCTACATTCTGTTCTGTGTGGTTGTGATTTTGCTCAATACCTGTCATTGTTGTTTTCAAAATCAAATGCACATCATTTGGTAAAAGCCCAGCTGGGATGTCCACTTGTGTTTGTCACGTGCAAGAGCATCACTGCCATATTCTGCATGAAAAAAGGAAGACTAAACTGACAGAGGCTGCCCAGTGTCGGACAGTTTGAGAGGAAGTGGCCCTGCTACCTTCCAGACAGTGTGCATGAAAAGCGGGCAAAAGCACCTGCCCCCTAAACCAGCAGATCCCTGTGCAGGAACCAAACAGCCACGTGCGCAGAGGGGCGTGCAGCAGGGGACGTCCCAGTAGCCATCCACGGTGGTGATGACCTCTGGTAGAGGGGCACACAGCAGGGGAGGTCCCGTGCGCAGAGGGGCACACAGCAGGGAGGTTCCAGCCGCCGTCCACGGTGGTGATGACTTCTGGTAGAGGGGCACACAGCAGGGAGGTTCCAGCCACCGTCCACGGTGGTGGTGACCTCTGGTAGAGGGGCACACAGCAGGGGAGGTTCCGTATGCAGAGGGGCACACAGCAGGGAGGTCCCAGCAGCTGTCCACGGTGGTAACGACCTCTGGTAGAGGAGCATACAGCGGGGAGGTTCCAGCAGCCGTCTGCAGTGGCGACGACCTCTGGTCAGCTCCACATGGCCATTGAGGAAAGTGGTTAAGTCCTGGTTATAATTCCATCGCATGGGATATGATGTAGCCATTAAAAGTATGCAGATTTAAGTTACAATATGTCATTTTAACACACTGTATTCACTCAATTATATTTTACATGTAAGATACAAATGTATAACTTATATGTGTATAATAATAAAGTATGTGACACGATCTCCTGAAGATGTATGTGTGTCTGTGTGTGCTTGTGTATTTGTGTATCTCTCTGTGTGTCTCTGTACATGTCTGTGTCTGTGTGTGTTTGTTGTCCCTGTGTGTGTGGTCTGTGGCTGTGCATGGTGTCTCTGTGTCTGTTTGTATCTGTGTGTGTCTCTGTGTGTTTTGTGGATGTTTGTGTGTCTGCATGTGTGTCTGTTGTGTGTGTGGCTGTGTGTGCACACAGCCACAGTGTACACATGTTGTTAGCACGTGTGGAGAAAAAGACCCAGAAGTCTGTGCAGTGAAATCCCCAGGGACTCCTCGTGTGATGATAAAGGGTGTGTCGTGCAAACTGTTTATATTTTGCTGCTTTATACTCATGAATTAGTTATGTTTTTGTATTGTGTTACAAAAACCCAGAAGTTTGCATAATAAGTAATTTCATGTGAATTCAAACAATCATGGGCAGTTCCTTTTTCTTGGCTGGGTGTGTAGCTGACCTGCTTTTCTGGCACAATACTTGACATATTAAAATCAGTATTTATGACAGTGGTTAGGTTTTATTGAGCTCTTTGATTTCATGTCTTGAATGAATTTAGAGAAACAATGCCGATGTAATCAAGGCAAATAAATGACTGCATTTTGTGATATTTACCAGTTCCTGTTATTTTCCTCCTGTGTTGCAGACACTGGCTCTGAGACCCCGACTGCCCGACGGCTCTACACTGCCAGCGGGCCTCCTGAGGGCTACGTCCCCTGTTGGCCGGAGCCCAGCAGCTGTGGGAGCCCCGAGAACGCCTCCAGCGGGGATGACACAGAAGGTAAAATGCTGGGTGGGAGGAAAGGTAGACATCTTTGCAGATAAGCTCGTATTTCCCAATTTTCTGGTATTGTAATACCTTTATCTAAATTCATACTTGGGGGGTGGGTGAGCATGTTGTTACACTGTATAATGAACCACATGGTGTACCTTTGTATTTTATAGCCGTGAAAAGTGATGCTTAAAAGACTTGTAATGACAGGAAAAAAGACTTCATATGGAGGAGATTGAAAGTGGGAATATGACTATAGCCCATGTTTGTTAATGCTTTAGGAGTACCCTGGAACTAAATACATATTAAATACCATTAAATAATTGTTAACAGTACTTGTCTTGGTTTAGCAAAATATTATTTTCTTGATTTTCCAAGTTTTTCAGAATTTCTGACATTGTACATCAAATCTGTAATCAAGGAAATACCTTATTTCGAATGTCTTTTGGAAAAAATTATTATAATTCCTATTGTTGTTGCATGTCGTACGAATGAAAGAATATACAATATTCTCTTAATACGGTTGACTGTTGAGCATGGAAAAGCTGAAGTTGCCCATATACTTTTTACCTTAAAAGGGAAATAGTTGTTTTTCACTTCACGTTGATCTTTTTTAAGGTGCACAAGAGGAATTTAGAGTTTTCAAATAAAAGTTGTACCTAGATGATTTGTAACAATATAAACTAAGAAACTCTATATTATAAACATTAATTAATTTGAATATCAACAAAATGTGGTTTTTGACTGCTTTTGTCTTTCTGGCTTCCTAAATTAAAGGATCAGAAACCATAAAAACAAAAATGAGATAACTAAGGAATAATGGATTCATCCTTTCAAGCCCTGTTGAAAATCTTTGAAACACAATTATTAGATAGATAGATTATTTAACTAGAAAATGTGCGTTCTTATGAAGATAAATTCCTCTGGGTGAATATGCTTCATTGCGTACTTAATCTGTCCAAGAAGGAAGTGCGTTGGCCCTCACTCACGCCCTTCCTGTTGTCCGCGGTTGGCGCTCTCGCCCCGTTGTACCGCGTTGTCCATGCTGCTCATGTTCCCAGGACAGGCCTGTGCTGGACCCCAGGGTAGAAGGCTCGCTTGGCCATGAGCCAACACTGCTTCCCAGACAGGCTGTGTCAGGACTGAGCTACAGCAGTGTTCTTACAGGAAGTGGAAAGATACTTGCACCACATAGACAGGCATTTCTCTTCACAAGCTGCTTCTTGAGGACACGTGTCCAGGAGCCCTTGAGGAGTCACTCCTTTCCTGTTGCCCGGGCCCCCTTGCCACCTTCTCCAGGCGCCAGTGACTTGAAATGGTAAAGTTGGGAAAAAGACAGCAAAGCCCACCCTCTAATTGTGTTTCCTACCTTTGTTCTTCAAAATGAAAGAGAAAATGCCCAGAGCAAGCCCCAAGCACAGCCTTGCAGCTGCAGAGCCGATGGAGCCTCCAGGGCCCTCAGGAGCCAGAGGCCAGGAGAAGCAAGGATGGGACCCCTCTCTCTCTGACCCTCCAAGGTCAGTGTGGGAACACGGCACACAAGAAGGAAGAGCCTTTGAGCTTTTTTGGTTGCAGTTTTAAGCACAGAGGTGAGAACTGGAGCTGGAAAAATAACGGCCAACGTTGTTGTCGTGGTCTCTCTTGGAAGCACTCAGGTCACTGGCTTTCATTTTGAACACGTGGGGCCCACACGTCAACTCCCAGGAAGCTGCAGAGGAAAGTGCTGTTTGTTTTTGCCTTTGCTGTGCCTGGCACCAGGCCCCCTGGGCATTCACACTCAGGACCTTGCGCAGCCCTGCTCTGCGCCGGGGCATCCCCACAGCAACTTGGATCGGCCGCCCAGGGCCTTGTCGCCCAGGCAGGGGTGGCATACCTGGTGCTTAGCCCTCAGTCTGGCCCCTCCTGGCTGCCCGGCCTCTGAGACTTGGTTTCCACCCTCCCGGAGGCCATCTAGGCCCCCGCAGCGGCACTTGCTGCGCCCTTGGGTCTGCCGGTCCCGGTTCCAACAGGCTGAGGGCCTGCCCTTTGTCTTGTCCTGGGTACCTGGCTACTGCCTTGTGATAAATGGAGATTTAGTGCTCACTGACCATATCAATTAGGGCCTGTGTGTATTTTTTATGAAGACAGGCAGACCTGTGCCCAAAAGCCAGGACAGGAAGACCTAAGTACCAGCAGTTTGTCTCAGTCTGTCTTGTCTGTGTTCTTTGGGTAATCTCTGAATGTGACAAGCACAGACTGTGGGTGCTTTTGGGCTCACAGCTTGTCAGGAACAGGTGGAAGGAGACGGGCTGTGGGAAGTCTTGAATGGCATTGTGTTGGATGTGGTTCTGGGACCTCTGCCACCTGGGTTAATGGGTCTTGGCTCTAGACAGAAACATGCACGTACTCCTCCTCTTGTTGACGTGGGGTTGCGTCTTGCTCTCCAGAAGCCAGTAAACCTCTGGCCTGTTAGTGACAGAACAACCCACTATAGATTGTGCCAGAAGAAAGTTGTCCTTTTTGGCAGAGTCTCCATGGAAAATGCTACACAGCCACATTTAGCAGGCGAACTCACTTATCTGGCAGGACGCTCTTCTGCTCACGGTCCTGGCGCGTCGTAGGAACACTGCCCTACATGAATTTACAGAGTCTATTACAGTGATGTGGACATTCCTCTGGGCAGCTGGGATAAGCACGTTGTGCTCAAAATACCGCTTACGTCCGTCTTCTCCTGTGTAGACCGCATTACAGGACTCTGGACCCAGCTGACCACTGTGGGGACGCTGGGCACCTTCCCAGCAGCACGACAGTGTGTCCCTATGCCACGGTGCCGGAAACAAGTCCAGCCATGTAATTTTTAGAAGAAAATGTCCGCAGTGCCCCCAACATGCCTCTTCCCTGGGTTTTCCAGTGGCACACAGTGCTGGCAGCTTGCATGGTGGTGCACCTTCCTGCTCCTGCCAGACACCTCCAGGAGGAGACAAGGGGTGTGGGGGCACCGCCAGCATCTGAAAGCCTCGTTCAGGGAACACAGGAATTGATCAGTCCGTTAGGTTTTGGAAATGCTTACCTTACATCAAGTCAAGATCATAGGTGAGGCCAGGCGCAGTGGCTCACGCCTGTAATTCCAGCACTTTGGGAGGCCAAGGCAGGCAGATCACCTGAGGTCAGGAGTTTGAGAACAGCCTGGCCAACATGGCGAAACCCTGTCTCTACTAAAATATAAAAATTAGCCAGGTGTGGTGGCATGTACCTGTAATCCCAGCTACTCGAGACGCTGAGGCCTGAGAATCGCTTGAACTGGGGAGGCGGAGGCCGTGGTGAGCCGAGATCATACCACTGCACTCCAGCCTGGGCAACAGAGCGAGAATTCGCCTCAAAAAAAGAAAAAAAAGATCATACGTGAGCTCTTCACCTAGTTTATATGAGTGTACCTCTCTGGGAAAATATCATCTTGGAGTTTCACTTTTCATATTCATCTTTTATTGCAGATTAATCAAAAGACCTGGAGAGTGTTGGCCTTTTTTCCTTGTTTTTGTAAAACTGTCATTTAAAATCTTGTTCCTTATTCATTGTGCAGTCACTAGCAGTTATGTAAAACTCCAGGTGAAAGGTATTCCCTTTAGAGTTCAGCGCTAGAAAAATATTTTGTTCTTATGAACTCGTGTACTTCTTGTTGGATAAGAGAGAGATTTCCCATCGATACCCTTTTTGCTTTTGCCACCAGGAAGCTCAGATTTCAGCTTTTCATTGTTTTTATTCAGTAGCAGTTGTTTCCTTTGACCTCCAGTTTGTGGTAGTTACTACCTTTCCCCACTTCTCTGCTGCTTAACTCATTCTTCTTAGATTCTTAAAATGGCTTGTTTTCTGAGCTACATCTTTTCCTTTTTGCAAGTACACTGAGTAATCAGGGTTTACCAAGTAATTCACTGAATCAAATGCTTTTTAAACGCTTGTGTTGGGCGGTGTGCTCAGGCCTAAGAAAGGGAAGAGCGCCAGGAGGGCCGTGGCGTTGTAGGAGCTGACCCTAGCTGGGGAGGCTCCTTTGTGAGCCTGGCCTACAGAATGGGCGCGGCGCTAAGGAAGGCCGGAGGGAAGCGGAGCCTGGGCGCCTCTGGAGCCTGCGGAGGGACCGGGGGGCGGGGCCGAGGTGGGGCTAAGCGTAGAGCGGGATGGCGCCGAGGTGGGGTGGCCCGGGGCGGGGCGGCGGAAGGGCCGGGGCGGGGCGGGGACGGGCGGAACTGGGGGCGGGGTGCCGCTTTACCTTTTCTGCGAGAACGTCGGGAAACCTGCGTGGGCGGCTCAGGGGCCTTGCCGTGTCCTGCGCCCCGGCTCGCCACGGCCTTGAGGGCGCACTTGCCCCGCCTGGGTTGCAGACCCTCCCTCCTCTCCTGTCTCCCGTGTTTTTGCAGCCGGGAACTGCATTGGGTGCCTGAGGAATTTGACCGCGCGCCGCCGCGCGTCTCCCCCGCCTTTCCAGGGCCTCGGCGGGAGCTGGGGCTGCGGTCGGGGCTCGGGACCCGGGCAGGTCTCTCGGCGCCTTCTCGCCGCCGGGATGTCCTTGGAGCCTCAGACCCTGCTCGGGAAACCTGGGTGCCGTCTCGGCTGGAAGCCTCGGAGGCCTGCGCCGGTTCCGCGCGCTCCGTTCTCGGGGCGGGACCGCTGCATCCGGGGCCTCTCCGCGCCTCGCCCCCGATTCCTCCGTGGCTGCCCCGTATTCCACCTACTACGGCCTCGGCTAGGGCCCCGCGGGCCTGGCGCGCTCCCCCGGGCGCGGCGGGCACTGGCCGCAGTTCTGCCGACTTCAGCCCTGGGTCCGGTCAGCGCTGCGTCCTGCCTCGCCTGGGCCGCCCGGGCGCTCCCCGCGCGCTGCCTTCCTCCTGCTGCGCTCCACAGGGACCCGCCTCCCTCCAGTCCTGCTCCCTGCGCCGCTGCCTCCCTCCACGGGTTCCCGCCTCTCCCCTGCGCCCCCTCAGCGCGTGGTGTTAGCGGGCCCCTTCTCTGCCCATGGGGTGACAGTCTGGACCCACACGCTTAGCGTTTGTTGTGCCAGACCGTCTGGGCTTATTGCAAAGCTTGTGCAAACGTGAGCGTTGCCGGCTTTTTATTCCCCGAGGAGCCTTATCCTGGCGCCTGGTGGAATTAAGTCTTAAGTCAATATTTGGTGAACTGCGTTGAATGATTATGTATAAAAACAGCCCGTAAGGCAAGTGTTAGTGTTTCCCCGGTTCCTAATCACAAGCGGTGTGAGGCATTGACTCAGATTCTGTGCTCAGATCCAGCTACAGAGTCATGAACATAAGTCATTTCTGTGGAGAGCTGTTGTGATGGTGATTCTAGCAGCAAGCACCAGTTGAAATAGTTACTAACTTCACGGCTTCTGGAAGCATGCAGTAAATGCACAGTTATAATGTGGATTCCGTTTGAGTTAAACATCCGTACATGCTCTGTTTTGACAGAATCGTGGCTCTCTCTGCCTTTTGCCTTTCCTGAAGGAGTCCTAGCGTGACTTCTCTTAGCCTTTCCAGAGTGGCTCGTGGGTGGGTGATGGGGCTGCCCCCCGCTCCGCATTCCTCGCATCTCACCCTCTCAAGGGCCTGACAGAGTCAGAGCTAGCAGTGTTTCATTCTTGTCACGCTGATTTATTGATATGAGAGTTCACACATTCAGCTGTGTCCAAGCTCGCCTGGTCCTAGAGGAGGGGAGGGGCGCCCTGCTGTGCGCGCTCTCTCTCTCTCTCTCTGAGTGTCCTGCGAGAGACCTGTTGCTCAGCTGCCTTTACCTACCCACAAGTGGGATGAGAGCCTGGACTTGGAGGTCTCATGCATCCTGGGCCATCAGAAAAGGCTGTGATGGTTTCTAAAAGGTTGGCACTGTGTATGGTCATGTTTTTTGTGTCTTTGGCATCTCCTGGATTCTTCCCGGACTTAATGAAGCCAATGAGAATAGCATTGGCTGTTTGATTAAAGACTGTGGGTGCCGGGTGTCAGGCATGAACTTTGAAATAACTCACCTGTGGGATCTACATGGTTTTTGTTTTTGTTTTTTTTTTTTTTTTTAGCTTGCCTAGGAAGAAACAAAAGAAAAGAATGCATTTGTTCTTATTGCCATTTATTTTCGTAAAACATAGTTACTCGATTTCCAAGCTATTGTTGGCACATATTCCTAAGCAATTTGGATTAGAGAAATGTCTAGATAGTGGTGTATCCTTACACTGCTTTTAGCTTGAAGTGAATGTGTTACAAAAATAGAGTGATTTATGAATATTTTACTAGATATTAATATTTGTTTAATTGAAGTTAAAGAGTATCTGAGAAAAAAAGGTAGAAGATGATGATGATGATGATGATTTTGAGATGGAGTCTCGCTCTGTCATCCCAGCTGGAGTGCAGTGGCGCAATCTCACTGCACCCTCTGCCTTCTGGGTTTAAGCCGCCCTCCTGCCTCAGCCTCCCGAGAAGCTGGGACCACAGGTGCGCACCACTACACCAAGCTATTTTTTTTTTTTTTTTTTTGGTATTTTTTAGTAGAGACGGGGTTTCACCATGTTGGCCAGGCTGGTCTCGAACCGCTGGGGTCAAGTGATCTGCTTGCCTTGGCCTCCCAAATTGCTGGAATTACAGGCCTGAGCCACTGTGCCCAGTCAGTTATTGAAAAAATAATACATGAATTGCCCAAAGCTGAAGAGACTCTCAGGAATAGAAAGATGGCTGAAAGTCCCTACCGTAATAATGAAGAAAGACTCTTGAAATGCCAGACAAGGCCTCGGAAAAAGATGCTAAAATATGCCCCTATTGCAGGAAGTCAGGGACCCCGAACGGAGGGACCGGCTGAAGGCGTGACAGAGAACATAAATTGTGAAGATTTCATGGACATTTGTTAGTTCTCCAAATTAATACTTTTATAATTTCTTATGCCTGTCTTTATTGCAATCTCTGAACATAAATTGTGAAGATTTCATGGACATGTATCACTTCCCCAATCAATACTCTTATAATTTCCTATGCATGTCTTTAATCTCTTAATCCCATCATCTTCTTAAACTGAGAATGTATGTTGCCTCAGGACCCTGTGATGGTTGCGTTAACTGCACAAATTGTTCGTAAAGCATGTGTGTTTGAACAATATGAAATCTGGGCATCTTGACAAAAGAACAGGATAACAGCGATGTTCAGGGAACAAGGGAGATTACCATTAGGTCTGACTGCCTGGGAGCCGGGCAGGACACAGCCGTATTTCTCTTATTGCCGAAAACGGGTAAGAGAAATATCGCTGAATTATTTCCCCAGTAAGGAATATTAATAATTAAGAGCCCTGGAAAAAGAATGCATTCCTGGGGGGACGGAGGGGGATCTCTAAAATGGCCGCTCTGGGGGTGTCTGCCTTATGCAGTTGTAGATAGGGATGAAACACGCCCTGGTCTCCTGCAGCGCCCCCAGGCTTGCTAGGATTAGGAGATTCCAGCCTGGTGAATTCTAGTCAGACCGGTTCTCTGCTCTTGAACCCTGTTATCAATGACAATGTATGCACAGTGGAACATGAAACTTCATCAGCAATTCTAGTTTCGCCCTGGCCTTGTGACCTTGCCCTGCTCATTTGCCTTGTGATATTTTATTGCCCGTGAAGCATGTGATCTCTGTGACCCATACCGTATTTGTACACTCCCTCCCCTTTGAAAATCGCTAATAAAAACTTGCTGGTTTTGGGGCTCAGGGGGCATCACGGAACCTGCTGACATGTGATGTCTCCCCCGGACACCCAGCTTTAAAATTTCTCTCTTTTGTACTCTTTCCCTTTATTTCTCAGACTGGCCGATGCTTAGGGAAAATAGAAAAGAACCTATGTTGAAATATTGGGGGCTGGTTCCCCCGATATCCCCAGGAGGTAAACAGATGTCTTGGCAGAAATTGGAATTAAGCTGCAGGCTTCAGAGCCCCCCTCTTCTCTGTGGTACCACTGAAAACCCGTGAAGTAAATGAGCGTTTTAGTTAAGTTTTCAACTCAAAAAGTCACGAGTCCAAGTCAATGAAGAATATTTACAAAACACTTCACAGTTTCAGAGCCTCACACAAATATAACCTCATTTTAACATTTTTTTGTGGATACATTTACTCTATTTAAATTTACTATTTAAATTTTTTATTTACTGTGGCTTTATATTTATTGAATAATTCAATGGCTTTTCTTCATTTGTACTGTTTTAATTACTTTCTTAACTTTCCTATTCTTTAAATTAAAAAAATTGTCCTGCATCTAATTTTAACTTAATGACTTGCCTCATGGTTTTGACAGTTTTATTTAAGGGAATTTAGCACTTTATTGCCCTATTTTAAGACTTTTATTGCTTATAAAATTTTTATCATTTTGTTGGCCATTTTATGGAAAGTTATAGAAAATGACTAAATGTGAATTGTTTTTAAAAGTATCTATCAAGCTGTTTTATGGTGAGACACTAACTACTTTTCCACTAAGTCAGTTTTTAAGACTCAAACATGTAAACATGAAACATAAGAACAATTTCTTGAGTATGTATAATTCAAGCCTATTCAAAACTAATCTAGAAAATTTGGACATTAATTCGGTATCAAAGTCTGTCTCAGGGAAGAATTCAGGAACTAATCTTGTTGAAGATTATGAAATAATGTGTATTTGGCCACATGTTTAGTAAGTATTCAGAAGGCAGACGTTTAGCTTAGCGGCAGATCACATCCAGAGGAAAACCAACCTTTCCTTTGGTGGTTCCTGATCACCGCCCGGCATCCAAATTCAAAATCACAAAACTTTAGCATCTAGATTGTTGTGTTTTAGCCCAACTCAGTTTTTTATAACGTTGAGGTCCCGTATGGTCTTTCAGTACCATTTGGAATCAAAAGCTAAATGATGTCCTGCAGCTGGCATGGAGCCGGGGGAGGAGGCCACATTTCCAGCTCCAAGGCTGTGCCTCCCTTGTTGTCTTTGGAAATTACTGCTCCAGATTCAGATCTATTAAGAGAGAGAGAGCGAGAATCCATTTTTTTAAAGTGACAGGGAACTCTTCAAGTCCTCTTTATTCCGAGGGTGTTCAGGCACCTGCTGACCCTCACGGCTGACCCTGGAGGGGTGCTCCCCGTCTCACAGGCAGTCCTTGGTGGCTGAGGCCCTGGGGAGAAGTCTCTGTCCCAGGAGCCATGTGAGCTACCTTTATTCCCTGAAGCCCTGTCTGCTGGGTCTGAATTTTATCCTCAAAGGCCAAACCGAACATGAATTCCTCTCTCTGTGGCAGGTCTTCTACATGGCAAGCAACTGCCATGGTCCACGCCAGCCACAGCCACCGCTTGTCCATCCCTGAATCTCCAGGGGTCTCAAACCACCCTGCCCGGGGCAGGACATGCTTCTCAGCAGGCCGGAGTGTCCGCGTCTGTGAGACTCCAGTGTTTCCTTGGCTAAATGAGTACAATCTATGGTGTTATTACAAAATATTTTCCTGGATTTTAGGCAAACAACACACTCAGCAACTGGAAGCTTTTCATGTTACTACATTTTAAAGATCTGCTTTCACAGGTAGGGTTTAGATCAACTTGATAAGAAGTTTACTACTTTTTATTTAGCACCTAGAGGACATTGGTAGCTTGAGGGTAATTATCAGATGCAATTTGTAGCCTAGCTTTGAATCTAGAATAAAGTTCATATTCCCTTTAAAATGCCTAGCCTACTTTCACGTAAGAAGGTGCAGCTGTGAGAATTAGAATCTGAAGACTGGTTATTTTTGTTATCTAACTATTTCTACTCCAGCAGTTCATCAGAATGTAGGTGTCAAATAGTAGCAGAGAGAGTTTTGACACATTGTGACTCCTTTTAAAGTTAGTGTGTCTGAAAGGTGTGTTTTGGGGATGGCAGCTTTTCAAAGCGCACTGCTCCAATTATAAATAGCCCGGCCTCTGGTTCCCTCACATCGCTTTCAGCTGCTGGGTGTGAAGGGCGTAGACCTCCCACATGCCCTGGAGATGTGGACATTCTGGAGTCTCTGGAGTGGTTCTGAAAAGTCATATGGAGGGTGCAGCATGAGTGGAGAAGTCACAGTGCAACAGGGTAAAAGGGCCCGTGTCAGAGCCACCAGGACGCCAGAGCATAGAGCACATGCTCAGGGCCTCAGAGCTGTTTGGATGAAGCCTCTGTTGTTTTCCCCTTGACCTGCTGAGCCAACTGTCTTATTTTGGATAATATTCCTTAGGGTCTTGTGTTCCTCACTAAAGCTGAGAATGGGATGCTTGGCAGACCCCTCAGATGAGACTTTGAGAAGCTGGGAGGTTGTGACTATAATTGTGTTACGGTGGTCAAGACACCTGTCAGACCACCGTGAGGAAGACTTCATTCAGGACATCACCCTAGGTGCAGGGACCACCACAATGGGGTTTTACACGGGGGCAGAGAGACTGGGCTCAAGACCTACTCATCATGGAAAAGTGGGAATCTGTAGCCAAGGGGCAGGGTGGGGGTGGATGGAAAACTTCTGAGAGGAGACATCAAAGGTGAGGGAGAGTCTGGCTAAACAACCCACCAGGATTCTTAATGAAGGCAGACAGGGCGATCAGACGTCACCGAGGCGTGGTGGGGTGAGGAGCCCAATCAGGTGTCAAGGGTGGGGTCCTTGCGAAAGTGACTTTGTTGCTGAGACTGGATTTTGCAGGGAAGCGCACAGGTGGGCCTCAGAGGAGGTTCCGGAGCCTGACGAAGGCTCAGCCGGGCAGTCTCTGCTGGCCATCTTTCCACCCAGATGTAAGTGCGGCTTCTGCTTAAGAGATGGTTTCTGGCTTGGCAGGAAACCTAACAGCACAGTGAAAACATCATTACAAAGAAACAGGTCTGTCTGAATGAACCAAAGCTCAACAATTGCAAAACGGATGGGTTCTGTGGCTTCTGGTGGCAAGACCTCCAGAGGCCCTCTGTCTATGTTAGGTGGAGGGCACTGCTTTGCAATCCTGCTTGCGTTTTGTTCCTTCAAGTTCTGATTACTCTTGCATTCTTTGTATGAGACTCCAATCCCCAAGGAAGGTTTTCTCCATCTCATATATGAAAGTCATTCATAAACATCTTTTTCTCTCAGTTGCCAAATTATTGTGACCCCTGCTGGGTATGTCTCACCACAAATGCAGGCACGTGTTTTAAATAAGACAGAGTTAGAGGATGTTGTTTTTCTCGTGAGCTAGATTATAAGCTATTTTTTACAGTGCTCCATTGTCCAGAAGCATCAGGAACTTTGAGATCTGGGATGGAGTAGCCACCATGACTCAGCCTCCTCAGGCTGGGCAGCGCTGCAGGGCTCTGGGCGTGGCGATTTGGGTGACCCTGGAGCTGCTGTCAAACCCCCAGTTGACAGCAGGGGAAGTGGGGTGCAGAGGCCACAAGCTGGTGCGGCAGAGCCTGCCAAATGCATCCAGTCTGGCTCTCTGGCATACGGTGTTTTTTAGTGGCTTTGGGCAGCATCACTGATGTTCAAAGTGTGCAGTTCATGAGTCTGCATGTAGCATGACCCTGAGACCACTATCACAGTTGAAATAATGAATGTGTCCGTCACCACCAGGTCTCCTTGTGTCCTGAGACTGCCCCTTCCTCCCCTCTGCCCTGTCCAGGAAGCCCCAGTGGATCTGCTCACAGACCCCAGGACTCACAGAAGTGGGGCCAGGTGGTGTGTGGAACTGGGGCAGCGGGGCGATCTGGGCTCTCTCACACACTGTCAGGATGTTGCAGCTCATGATGTGTGTGTTGGTGGCACATTCCTTTTTCTCCTGAGTGGTGACCACTGCATTTGTGACACACTTGCCTGTTGATGGGGTGGCAGCTGTGGATTCTCTTGGATTTTCTGTGTTTACAAGGGTGGCAGCTGTGGATTCTCTTGGACTTTCTGTGTTCACAGGGGTGGCAGCTGTGGATTCTCTTGGACTTTCCGTGTTTTCGGGGGAGGGGTGGCAGCTGTGGATTCTCTTGGACTTTCCGTGTTTACCGGGGGAGGTGGCAGCTGTGGATTCTCTTGGACTTTCCGTGTTTTCGGGGAGGGGTGGCAGCTGTGTATTCTCTTGGACTTTCTGTGTTTTCAGGGGAGGGGTGGCAGCTATGGATTCTCTTGGACTTTCTGTGTTTTCAGGGGTGGCAGCTGTGGATTCTCTTGCATCTTCTGTGTTCACAGGGGTGGCAGCTGTGGATTCTCTTGCATCTTCTGTGTTCACAGGGGTGGCAGCTGTGGATTCTCTTGCATCTTCTGTGTTCACAGGGGTGGCAGCTATGGATTCTCTTGGACTTTCTGTGTTCACAGGGGTGGCAGCTGTGGATTCTCTTGCATCTTCTGTGTTCACAGGGGTGGCAGCTGTGGATTCTCTTGCATCTTCTGTGTTCACAGGGGTGGCAGCTATGGATTCTCTTGGACTTTCTGTGTTCACAGGGGTGGCAGCTGTGGATTCTCTTGCATCTTCTGTGTTCACAGGGGTGGCAGCTGTGGATTCTCTTGCATCTTCTGTGTTCACAGGGGTGGCAGCTGTGGATTCTCTTGCATCTTCTGTGTTCACAGGGGTGGCAGCTATGGATTCTCTTGGACTTTCTGTGTTCACAGGGGTGGCAGCTGTGGATTCTCTTGCATCTTCTGTGTTCACAGGGGTGGCAGCTGTGGATTCTCTTGCATCTTCTGTGTTCACAGGGGTGGCAGCTGCGTTTCTTCCCTTCCAGCTCTTGCACACGTTGTCTCCCTGGTGCCCTGCCTGGAGCCCCAGTGTGGAGGTGACCACAGTGATGTCACAGGACCTGTTGGAGAAAAGGCTTTCAGCATTTCAACATGACTTATGACCTTGCCTGTGGGTTCTTGTAGGTATCCGGTATCCGATTTAGATTTCTTCCTTTGAGGCAGTTTGATTTGAGATTTTATCATACACTTTACATGACTGGAATCTCGTGAATATCTTGCATGGAATATTTGTAGCAGCATCCACGGGAGAGATGGGCCCGTGGCCCTCCCTTCTTGCAATGCCCTTGTCAGGGGAGTGGAGACGCTGGAGGCCTCACAGAGCTGCGAGGGGTGGGTGCTGTGAGGGGTGGGAGCTGTGACGGCCAGAGCTTTTGTGAGGGCTGGGTGCTGTGATGGGTGGGAGCTGTGAGGGGTGGGTGCTGTGAGGGGCCAGAGCTTTTGTGAGGGGTGGGAGCTGTGAGGGGTCACTGCTGTGAGGGGTGGAAGCCGTGAGGGGTCACTTGCTGTGAGCAGTAGGAGCTGTGAGGGATCAAAGCTGTGAGGGGTCGGAGCTGAAGCTGTGAGTTGGGAGCTGTGAGGGGTCACTGCTGAGAGGGACTGGAGCTTTGAGGGGTGGGTGCTGTGAGGGGTGGGAGCTGTGAGGGGCCGGAGCTTTGACGGGTGAGAGCTGTGAGAGGTGGGAGCTGTGAGGAGTCGGAGCTGTGAGGGGTCACTGCTGTAAGGGGTGGGAGCTGTGAGAGGTCACTGCTGAGGGATGGGAGCTGTAAGGGGTCACTTGCTGTGAGTAGGAGCTGTGAGGGATCAAAGCTGTGAGGGGTCGGAGCTGAAGCTTTGAGGGGCCAGAATCATAAGAGGCCAGAGCTGTGACGGTCGTCAGAGCCATGAGGGCCCAGAGCCGTGAGGGACGTTGGAGTCGTCAGGGGTCATTATCTTTTCTGCTATCTGGAAACGGGTATGTAAGACATGTGTTGGCTTTTTCTTTTCTTTTGAGATGGAGTCTCGCGCTGTCACCCAGGCTGGAGTGCAGTGGTGCAATCTGGGCTCACTGCAAGCTCCGCCTCCCAGGTTCAAGCGATTCTTCTGCCTCAGCCTCCGGAGTAGCTGGGACTACAGGCACCTGCCACCATGCCTGGCTAATTTTTGTATTTTTAGTAGAGACTGGGTTTCACCGTGTTAGCCAGGATGGTCTCAATCTCCTGACCTCGTGATCCGCCCGCCTCGGCCTCCCAAGACTTTTTCTTTAAATGTTTAGTAAAAGTCACAGGTGAACCTATCTAAGCCTGAAGTTCTTTTGTGGGATTATTTTTAACTAGACTCATTTTTTAAGACAGATGCAGGAATATTGTGATTTTCTGTTTCTTTCTGTGTCCATTGGCTAAATTGTACTTTTCTCAGGAATCTGTTTCTAACGGATTAACTGATTTGCATGTCGTTGTGTGCAGTATCCTTTCATTACCTTCTTAACACCAACAAGACGTATCGGCACTTCCGTGTTCCCGATGCTGGATTTTCAAGCCTCCTCTCTTAAACTAGACTTGGAAATCAGAGAAATTGGGAGGAAAAAAGCAGCCTATACTTAGACCACCCAAGGAGTAACTGCAGGGAGCATCCTGAGAAAAGGATGTCCAGTCTCTTTTTTTTTTAATGTATATTAACTTTTCCTTTTCAAAAGTACACGCATACACATTTATGTGAAAAAAATATGACAAACTTAACATTTTATGGCCTTTTTGCCTCCTTCACCTTTTTAAATTACTGTTTTATAGTCTTATAAAAATAGATCAATAGCGCAGTCGATCTCAACAGGGCAACCATTTGTTTGTCTTGTAGTCTTAGGAGGGGAAGCTGACCCCGGGGTACGACACTGGCGATGAGCGGCACTGACAGAGCTGGCAGAGAAGGACGTGCCGGGAGGAGCCTGGGGGGTGATGAGCAGCATTCCGCAGTGTTCTTGCTGGGTGATGAGGGTCGCCCCCGTGACCTGTCGCATCCTAGAGGGGCTTCCTGTGGGTGGGAAAACACTCGATGTGTTACTTATCTCCAAATTCATGAAGGCAGTCACATTTTTTAATAGACACCTAAGAGGAGAGGCTTAATTTCATCTTTTTTTAACAGAACCTGGGAAATTAAAATGGATTGCCTAGACGTGGTTGGTTTTAAACATCAGTGTGTTCAGGGCAGACCCAGAGGCTGCTGTTCAAAGACGTCTGGACCAGGCTGGTTGGTCAGACCTGCGCAGTGGACCCCAAAAGCAACAACACACACTCGCAGATGAAATTATTCAAACACCCACTGGTGAGTGAGGAGCGAGATGAAGGTGTCGAGGAGACTCAGGCTTGGCGGCTTCATCTTGGGACTGTGTGCGGAGCTGCTTCAGCCTGTGCCACGCTGTGGTGGTGGAGGCTGTGCAGAACGGATACCAATCACAACAAGACACGGTGGGAACTCTCTTCCACAAAGCGGCAGCAATGTCATCTCACAGTTCCACAGCGGCGTTCAGTTTGACCGTGAACAGAGCTGGGGGGTGTCTACATCCAATGAAGAGGGGAGGCTGGTGCTTGGTAAAATACTTCCTGTATTTTCAGGGTGAGAGAAACCGATGCGACTGCTTTATCGAGTCATGGGGTGGGACTGCGTCACAGCTTGCGGTGTCCGCAGCTGGCGAAGAGCCCGGAGCTCACCCTCTGCAGGGTTCCTGTCCAGCATGCGGGCAGGCCCTGGGCTTTGAGGGCGGTGTGCTTGAGGCTGTTGAGACAGAGGAGAATAGGAAACCGCTTTGAAGAGCTTCATTGTGGAAGAGGAACTCATGTATTCTATCTCATTTCAGAGGTGAAGGGAAAGCGCTTGAGTGGAAATGATAGGGAATCTGCCCTTACAGTGTCTCACAAACTTCACTCACGTTGTTTCATCTTGATTCTTCACAATCTGTGATGGGGTGCACAGCTCAGAAAACTCCAACAGGCGCTTCCTAAAATGAGAACTGTCTGAACCCCCGCCCTTGGCGTGGTGCAGCGGCAAGCTTTATAGTTCTAGGTCTGCTCGGGCAACACCCGGGAGCCGTGTGCCGGCCGTGGCACAGACGCCCGTGGTATAGACTTTACCCATCAGTGTCTGGGCGGGGCTTGGGTGTGGGGCGGGGCGTGTGCGCCATGTGCCGTCTGTTCTTGGCCTGCACACACCCTCTGTTCCCCCCGCATGGCGCCAGTTACTTATCTGATACCCTTCTGTCAGGGAGCAGCAGCACGGGTAGTGTGCCTCTGTCCTCACGAGGGGCCGCCGCGCCTCTGTCCTCACGAGGGGCCGCCGCGTCTCTGTCCTCGCCGAGGGGCCGCCGCGTCTCTGTCCTCGCCGAGGGGCCGCCGCGTCTCTGTCCTCGCCGAGGGGGCGCCGCGTCTCTGTCCTCACGAGGGGCCGCCGCGTCTCTGTCCTCACGAGGGGCCGCCGCGTCTCTGTCCTCGCCGAGGGGCCGCCGCGTCTCTGTCCTCGCCGAGGGGGCGCCGCGTCTCTGTCCTCACGAGGGGCCGCCGCGTCTCTGTCCTCACGAGGGGCCGCCGCGCCTCTGTCCTCGCCGAGGGGCCGCCGCGTCTCTGTCCTCGCCGAGGGGCCGCCGCGTCTCTGTCCTCGCCGAGGGGGCGCCGCGTCTCTGTCCTCGCCGAGGGGGCGCCGCGTCTCTGTCCTCACGAGGGGCCGCCGCGTCTCTGTCCTCACGAGGGGCCGCCGCGTCTCTGTCCTCACGAGGGGCCGCCGCGTCTCTGTCCTCACGAGGGGCCGCCGCGTCTCTGTCCTCGCCGGGGGGGCGCCGCGTCTCTGTCCTCACGAGGGGCCGCCGCGCCTCTGTCCTCACGAGGGGCCGCCGCGCCTCTGTCCTCACGAGGGGCCGCCGCGTCTCTGTCCTCGCCGAGGGGGCGCCGCGTCTCTGTCCTCACGAGGGGCCGCCGCGCCTCTGTCCTCACGAGGGGCCGCCGCGTCTCTGTCCTCGCCGAGGGGGCGCCGCGTCTCTGTCCTCGCCGAGGGGCCGCCGCGTCTCTGTCCTCACGAGGGGCCGCCGCGTCTCTGTCCTCACGAGGGGCCGCCGCGCCTCTGTCCTCACGAGGGGCCGCCGCGTCTCTGTCCTCACGAGGGGCCGCCGCGTCTCTGTCCTCGCCGAGGGGGCGCCGCGTCTCTGTCCTCACGAGGGGCCGCCGCGTCTCTGTCCTCGCCGAGGGGCCGCCGCGTCTCTGTCCTCACGAGGGGCCGCCGCGTCTCTGTCCTCGCCGAGGGGCCGCCGCGTCTCTGTCCTCACGAGGGGCCGCCGCGTCTCTGTCCTCGCCGAGGGGCCGCCGCGTCTCTGTCCTCACGAGGGGCCGCCGCGTCTCTGTCCTCGCCGAGGGGCCGCCGCGTCTCTGTCCTCGCCGAGGGGGCGCCGCGTCTCTGTCCTCACGAGGGGCCGCCGCGTCTCTGTCCTCGCCGAGGGGGCGCCGCGTCTCTGTCCTCACGAGGGGCCGCCGCGTCTCTGTCCTCGCCGAGGGGCCGCCGCGTCTCTGTCCTCACGAGGGGCCGCCGCGTCTCTGTCCTCGCCGAGGGGCCGCCGCGTCTCTGTCCTCACGAGGGGGCGCCGCGTCTCTGTCCTCACGAGGGGCCGCCGCGTCTCTGTCCTCACGAGGGGCCGCCGCGTCTCTGTCCTCGCCGAGGGGCCGCCACGTCTCTGTCCTCACTGAGGTGTTGAGACTGCCATGGTTTATCCATGGTGCTTCCTGCCCACCCTCTCCCCAGCCGCCCGTTTCAAGCCATGCTGCCCCTCTCAGCCTGTGAGAATTGGCTGTGCTACCTCTTCTGTTCCGCAACACCACAGTGGTAGTTTGAAATCGGCCACGGGGGAAATATTTACACCAGGGAAATGAGCAGATTGGAGGACTCAGGACTTTTCCGAGAGCTGGTTATTAGCCATTTACCAGCACATCACCAACCTATGCTATTTATAAACCACCTTCTGCCAACCTGGAGTCCAGCTTAGCTTCGTGTCAAAACGCAACCTGATGCTGACTCAGATGGGCAAATCATCATTACTTATTTTTTATTCTCACACACAAGTAACTTTAGAAAGGACTAAATTGTAAAATAAATTTTTTAAAAGAACAAAAGAAATACGGGTTTCCCCCCCATAGAGGGAAAGGCCCATAGAAATGAAATTTTACTATAAAAATGCAACAACTGGCCAGGCGCAATGGCTCATTCCTGAAATCCCAGCACTTTGGGAGCCCGAGGCAGGTGGATCACTTGAGACCAGGAGTTTGAGACAACCCTGGCCAACATGGCGAAACCCCGTCTCTACTGAAAATAAAAAAAATTAGCTGGGCATGGTGGTGCTTGCCTGTACTCCCAGCTACTGGAGAGGCAGTGGTACCGGAATCACTTGAACCTGGGAGGCAGAGGTTGCAGTGAGCCGAGATTGTTCCACTGCACTCCAGCCTGTGCAGCAAAGTAAGAGTCTGTGTCAGGAAAAAAAAAAAAAAAAAAAAAGCAACAACTTGTACATCCTTCAAAACACACCATATATTATGATTGTCGCATCTGTGAGTGTATGTACTGCTAATTTATATTACGTTAGTCCTAGGATCTTTGATGGTAAAGTTGAGAATCACCGAAGTAAATAGTGTAAACTCTTTTTCTACTAAAACTACAAGATCCTGATGGAAAATTTATTTAGCCTAATATGTTTGTTATGGTTTCATTGTACTGAAAATTGTTATATTTGAATTTTTTTAACAGATCAGGATCCTCATGACCAGCCAAAGAGAAGAAGAATTAGGAAGCATAAATCAAAGAAAAAATTTAAAAATCCCAATAATGTTCTTATAGAACAAGCAGAATTAGAGAAACAGCAGAGTCTGTTACAGGAGAAATCTCAGCGACAGCACACAGATGGCACCACAATAAGCAAAAATAAAAAAAGGAAACTGAAAAAGAAACAGCAAATTAAAAGGAAGAAAGCAGCCGGCTTGGCAGCAAAGGCTGCTGGTGTCAGTTTCATGTACCAGCCCGAGGACAGCAGCAATGAAGGGGAAGGCGTGGGAGAGGCTTGTGAGGAGGATGGTGTGGACACCAGCGAGGAAGACCCGACACTGGCCGGGGAGGAAGACGTTAAAGATACCAGGGAGGAAGATGGTGCGGACGCTAGCGAGGAAGACCTGACACGGGCCAGGCAGGAAGAGGGTGCGGACGCCAGTGAGGAAGATCCGACACCGGCCGGGGAGGAAGACGTTAAAGACGCCAGGGAGGAGGACGGTGTGGACACCATTGAGGAAGACCTGACACGGGCCGGGGAGGAAGACGGTAAAGACACCAGGGAGGAGGACGGTGCGGACGCCAGCGAGGAAGACCCGACATGGGCTGGGGAGGAAGAGGGTGCAGACTCCGGGGAGGAGGACGGTGCAGACGCCAGCGAGGAAGATGATACAATTACCAATGAAAAGGCACACAGTATTCTAAATTTTTTGAAGTCAACACAGGAAATGTATTTTTATGACGGTATGTTTTTTACTGTTTTTCTCTTGCATAGTGACATCCACTTAAAAGTTTATTAAAAGAAACAAATATAATGCTTAAATGTTAAAACATACTTTAAAAATATTCAATGTAAAATAATTAGTTGTAAGGCAACTAATATAAGTAAAAAATATTCAATGTAAATAATTAGTTATAAGGCAAAGATCAGAGTATTTATGTGCTTTCCACCGATGATGTGGATGGGCATGCGCCCCTGGCGTATCCAGAGAAGCAGTGTGGTGGCCCTGGCCAGCTGTGCCAAGGACAGGCTGGCCCCGTGTCCTCCATGCCTCTAAGGTCAGGTTTTGGAGTGTGTTGGCATCCAGGCTATTTTTCTAAACAAGAGATAAATCCAGATTGGAGGTTTTGATGAGCTGAGCTCACCTTCATAAGCAGACTGAGAGGTGAAGGAAACACAGCTTGCGCCTTTAGGACAGGTTTCATTTTCTCTTCCACATAGAACGGATGCACGATTTCTCAGCATGCATTATTGTGCAGTTGTTTGTACTGACATAAGATAAGGAAAATAAACATAGGTTTAATGTCACAGATGGCACTTGCTTACATCTGCACTACGCTTTGTTGACAGCTGACCTAGGGACACGTGGCTGCCCCAGAACAGAGATACTCACCGTGCGCTGGCTTCCTGGCTTTCTTCTCTTTAATTTTTTTTAATACTGTTTAATTTTTGTGGGTATAGGTGTCTTTTCAATGACGTTACCAGCAGGTTCAGGTTAATGTGGTGGGTTTAGCAGATCCAGATTTAAGCAAGGCATTTGATGGTGTTCTTATGAGCAAGATTGAGAAATATCAGCTATGTAATAATTTGGGAAGTAAGTAACTGATTTTAACAAAGATGCAGAAGTACCATTTTTAATAGATTGATTTCAACACGAAGAGCACTCTAGCCTCTTCCTCTTTAGCGTGTTTCTCAGCAGATTGTATTAACAAATTGAAAACATATATCCAGATGGCACATCAGGAAGACATGGCTAAGACACTGCAAAGTAGACGCAGAATTCAGAAAGATCTCAGTAAACTTTCTATTCTGTGTGTGATCGAGCAGCTTGGGGCAGACCAACAGTCATGCCAGGAGTAACCAGAAAGCCAGGATGGGAAACACCTGTTGAAGGGATCAGGAAGCTACTCAGGAAAACAGCTCATAGAAAGATGGAACTCCTGGAACCCTCACGGGGAGATTATCATGGAAACATCTGCAGCCACTTGTCTTCAGGAATCTGCAAGTCCTGTGTGTGGGCGTTGGGTGAGGGTCTGGGGAAAGGACCTGGTGGAGCCCAGAGAGGCAGAAAAACCAGCCTCACAGGTTGAGAAACCAAAAGCAGAGCCTGGAGCCCAGTGAGCACAGACAGAGCCGGGGCTGGCAGGTTCAGAGGTCGCAGCCTGGAGCCCAGTGAGCACAGACATTAGAGCCGGGGCCGGCAGGTTCAGAGGTCTCAGCCTGGAGCCCAGTGAGCGCAGACATTAGAGCCGGGGCCGGCAGGTTCAGAGGTCTCAGCCTGGAGCCCAGTGAGCGCAGACATTAGAGCCGGGGCGGCAGGTTCAGAGGTCGCAGCCTGGAGCCCAGTGAGCACAGACATTAGGGCCGGGGCCGGCAGGTTCAGAGGTCGGAGCCTGGGGACCAGTGCGCTCAGTGGTCGGAGCAGGGGCCAGCGGGTTCAGAGGTCAGAGCCTGGGGACCAGTGGGCACAGACATTACAGCCAGGGCCGGCAGGTTCAGAGGTCGGAGCCTGGAGCCCAGTGAGCACAGACATTAGAACCGGGGCTGGCACGTTCAGAGGTCGGAGCCTGGGGACCAGTGAGCACAGACATTAGAGCCGGGGCCGGCAGGTTCAGAGGTCTCAGCCTGGAGCCCAGTGAGCACAGACATTAGAGCCGGGGCCGGCAGGTTCAGAGGTCTCAGCCTGGAGCCCAGTGAGCGCAGACATTAGAGCCGGGGCCGGCAGGTTCAGAGGTCGGAGCCTGGGGACCAGCGCGCTCAGTGGTCGGAGCAGGGGCCAGCGGGTTCAGAGGTCAGAGCCTGGGGACCAGTGGGCACAGACATTACAGCCAGGGCCGGCAGGTTCAGAGGTCGGAGCCTGGAGCCCAGTGAGCACAGACATTAGAACCGGGGCTGGCACGTTCAGAGGTCGGAGCCTGGGGACCAGTGAGCACAGACATTAGAGCCGGGGCTGGCAGGTTCAGAGGTCGGAGCCTGGGGACCGGTGGGCTCAGGTGTTGGAGCAGGGGCCGGCAGGTTCAGAGGTCGGAGCCTGGGGACCAGTGGGCTCAGGTGTTGGAGCTGGGGCTGGCAGGTGCAGAGGTTGGAGCCTGGGGGACCGGTGGGCTCAGAGGTTGGAGCAGGGGCCGGCGGGTTCAGAGGTTGGATCCTGGGGACCGGTGGGCTCAGAGGTCGAAGCAGGGGCCAGTGGGTTCAGAGGTCAGAGCCTGGGGACCAGTAAGCTCAGATGTTGGACCTGGGGCCAGGGGGTTCAGAGGTTGGAGCTGGGGCCGGTGGACTCAGAGGTCAGAGAACAGAACTCAACACTGCATGGCTTCCCTTAGAACCTTTGCCCAATTCTGAAGCTGTGGGTGGAAGATGAGAAGCCACACAGAGAGCCTCCGAATAACATAGGAGCCTCTTGGCCATCTTGAGGTGCTGATGAGATGAGGATCGGCCTGACCCTCGAGCCCAGCAGAGCAGGGCAGCCCAGAAGCAGATGACACTGTCCCAAATGTGTGGCCACCCTGGAGTCAGCTCAGTCCCTGCACGGTCCAGGGGATCCCCCTCTACTCGGTCTGCCTGGCGGAGCAAAGGGTGAGCCCTCTAGAGGAAAATGTCGCCATCCTAGACCTCTGCAGTCTTTCCTATGCGTTCAGCAACAGTTTACCGGGCATGCCACGAGACAGGACCACAGCACCGAAAACCACGAGAAAAAAAGAGCAGTAGAGCCACAGTGGGAGAGGCCGATGTTATCAGATAAGGAGCCTAAAATAAGGGGAAAAAGGAAAAATTGGAGCATTTCGCCAGGTAATTTGAATCTACTAAAATAATCAAATGGAAATTTTAGGCCTGAGAAATATAGTAACTAAAATTCAGGCCTCAAAAGACAGGGAAACAGCAAATGAGAGTTGGTATAAAAGAGAATTAGTGACCAGGAAGACAGGTGAAAGAAAGTCCCCAGAATGCAGAGTGGAGAGAAAACGGGTGGAAAACACAGGAAAGAGCCCGGCAGACATGGAGTGGGAAGTTGTGTCCCTGAAACAGGCCCAGGTGGAGAGGAGAGAGGACGGAGCGGGGGCAGGACGGAGATGTGACATTTGGGAGTTTTACACCATTGTTACAGGACACAGAGTCACAGGTTGAAGAAGTCCTGCCAAGTCCAAGCAGGGTTAACGCCGAAACCACCAGAGGCAAGTGAATTGCAGTCATACTGCTGAACAGCAGCCAGAGAAACAAGACCAGCAGCCAGATCCAGGGGAAGTCGGGGGCTTGTTTTCAGTTCTCCTTGATTTCTTCTAAACAGCCACAGTCTGATTCTTTTTTTAAGCGATGTGATGTGGACATAGAGAGCTTGCTTTCATTGTCTGGTTTAACCTGCTGCTGTTCGTAGCCCTGAGTCGTGTGTTGGACAGGGAAGGCGTCTCACCAGACAGAGGTGTAGACGGGCCAGGGGAGGCGTCCCACCAGACAGACGTGTAGACGGGCCAGGGGAGGCGTCCCACCAGACAGACGTGTAGACGGGCCAGGGGAGGCGTCCCACCAGACAGACGTGTAGACGGGCCAGGGGAGGCGTCCCACCAGACAGACGTGTAGACGGGCCAGGGGAGGCGTCCCACCAGACAGACGTGTAGACGGGCCAGGGGAGGCGTCCCACCAGACAGACGTGTAGACGGGCCAGGGGAGGCGTCTCACCAGACAGACGTGTAGACGGGCCAGGGGAGGCGTCTCACCAGACAGACGTGTAGACGGGCCAGGGGAGGCGTCTCACCAGACAGACGTGTAGACGGGCCAGGGGAGGCGTCCCACCAGACAGACGTGTAGACGGGCCAGGGGAGGCGTCTCACCAG
The DNA here is from genome assembly GCF_000001405.40 of Homo sapiens. Taxonomy (NCBI): domain Eukaryota; kingdom Metazoa; phylum Chordata; class Mammalia; order Primates; family Hominidae; genus Homo; species Homo sapiens. Next base: position 669,202 of record NC_000008.11, on the reverse strand, counting down.
ACAGACGTGTAGACGGGCCAGGGGAGGCGTCTCACCAGACAGACGTGTAGACGGGCCAGGGGAGGCGTCTCACCAGACAGACGTGTAGACGGGCCAGGGGAGGCGTCTCACCAGACAGAGGTGTAGACGGGCCAGGGGAGGCGTCTCACCAGACAGAGGTGTAGATGGGCCAGGGGAGGCGTCTCACCAGACAGAGGTGTAGACGGGCCAGGTTTCCACAGTCGTTCATGCAGTGGTATTTTGTGCTGAGCTCTGTTCTGATTCTCTCTTCTGGTAGCTTCTCATCTCCCAGATATGTCATTCTGTGTGGAAGCGTAGGTTTGAGACCTTCCTTAAGAGAGGAAAGCTTATCTTTAGTTTATAGAAATAAAAACAAAACTGTATTTCCAAGCAAAACTGACTTTATGTAGGTGTCTCCAGAGATGCAGCTTCAGCTGCCCTCGCAGATGCCGCTGAGGAGCTGCTGGACCGCCTTGCGTCACACAGCATGCTGCCCTCAGACGTGTCCATCCTGTACCACATGAAAACGCTGCTGCTCCTGCAAGATACTGAGAGATTGAAGCATGCTCTGGAAATGTTCCCAGAACATTGCACGATGCCTCCTGGTAAGTACCGTACGATTTATTCAAGGTCCTGCTTAAGATACTCTCATCGAGGTTTGCCTCTGAAAGACTTACACGCCACCAAAACAGCAATGAGTTGGAAAATATGACACTGCACATATGGCATGGGAGAATAGAGTCCCAGAGAGAAACAGGCTTCCTGCATCTCTGCTTGATATAAAAATATTTCACATAATATATGCAGAAATGCATGTGCAGTCTAAGTTTCCGGACTTGGGAGCTGTCAACTCTTGGAGCCAAATTTTCCTAAGTTTAAATAGAAATGAATTCATTTCTTCCTCTTTTCCTTCTCCTCTACTGCTGTGGTAGATGGTAAATTTTTGCTTACCTCCAACTCTCTGGTACCTTATTGAACCCCTGACGTGGTGATGACGACTTTTATTTTCTGCCACCTTCACCGGGCATCCTTTTCATGCAAACTGTTGTGTGCTGGAGCAGCTGTGCTCATGTCTTCCCAATGCCGTGTGCGGTGACACAAGCTGTGGTGAGGGTATTCAGGCCACAGAAACCTGCAAATGCTGAAAATCAGAAATTCAGGCTGTTGAGCCATTCACCTGCACACCACTGAGTGCAGAGCAGCCCACCTGGCCCAGGGCTGGCGTCCCAGAGGAGGAGTGGAGGAGGGTCCGTGGCACCCGTCAGTGGCACCTATCCCAGAGGAGGAGTGAAGGTGGGTCCGTGGCACCCGTCCCAGAGAAGGAGTGAAGGAGGCTCTGCAGATTTTGTGGAGGGAGTTTCAGAGTAAGTGTCGGGAGTGGTTTCTGTCCGTAGAAACCACATTGCTGAGGGGTCAAGACCAGCATGTTAGAGAAGCCAGGTAGCAAACAGTTACATAACCACGGTATGATGATGCCGTGGCACTGGTGCAGGGAGCCGGGGGCTGCAGGGACCACAAGGCTGGAGTCACAGCGTGCAGAGCATATGGGTGCTGGAGGAGCTGCCTTCATGCAGAACGCCCTCATCCGTCAAGGAGCTGTTGGCTTTGTGTTGCCCTGCATGGTGCTGTGGGCTGTGCAGCCTACCACTGGGGAAGGCTGGTGGGGACCCCACCCTGGGGCGCTTGCTCCCTAGCTGAGGAGCTGGAAAAGAAGCCAGATACTCGGTGAGATGCGTCATAGAGCTGCAGATAGATCCTGGAGATGAGGCTGTGGAGGAGCGGGAAGAGGAGGGTGTTGTTGCAGCCAAGTGCGCATGCGCTGAGATGGGTGAACCCATGTGTTTGGGAACTGCGAGGAGCCCGGTGGCTGGACCAGGGGATGGATGTGAGTTGCAGAAGGTGGAGAAGGTGAAGAGGTGACAGGGCCAGGCACATGGGAGGAGCCCGGTGGCTGGACCAGGGGATGCACGTGACAGGGCGAGAGGCATTGAGTGAGTCTCAGAAGGGGGAAAGGTGACAGGACCAGGCACATGGGACCCCGGGCATGTGAGCCTTGTGGGCTTCTACGCAGACAGAGACAGGAGGTTCCTGGAAGCTATGAGGCTTCTGGGCTGTTATCTTGAGGCTGGATGGAGGAGATAGAGAATGGAGACCAGTCTGGGGCTGCTGAGGACCTGCTGAGAGATACCTGCAGCGTGGACCAGGTGGGGGTGGCTGAGGATTTGCCAAGAGGTACTTGCAGCATGGACCAGGTTGGGGTTGCTGAGGACCTGCTGAGAGGGGCCTGCAGCGTGGACCAAGGTGCAGCCACAGGTTAGGCAGCTGTAGCCAACGTCCAGGTGGACCATGGAGGTAGAACCAGTGGGAGCTGCCGAGTGGCCGGTGAGGCACTGGGAGGACCAGGTCACCGCGAGGAGGAGGAGGGGCTCCCAGAAAGATAGGGTTTGAGGTGAGAGGCCCTGCCCAGAGCGCAGTGCTGGGCAGCTATGCAGGTGCCAGTCAGACCTCAGGTTCCAGCTGAGGCTCAAGAGGGCCATAAGGCCCGGAGTGCAGGGAGGAGAGAGATCAGGGACAGTGAGTACAGATGCCCACCAGGAGCGTGACCAGGGACCATGAGAAACGACACTGGAGGAGGAAGCAGGGCCCGCGGGCGACGGAAGAGAGAGGAGGGGCCCCAGCAGGAAGGTGGCAGTGCTCCTGAGAAGGCACCTGTGTGTGCGGAGAGGGCGGCGTTGGCCCCAGGCGGGCATCTGTTTCTGGTGGGTTGTCAGGCCTCTTACAGCAAGTACTTAACAAACTTAGATTTCCATAATCAGATTTATCTCAAACCGCAAAAAAAAGCTGATTTTATTATGTTAAACTGATAGGAGATTTTTATGAGAGATGAAAGTAAGCGATTTTAACTTTTTAATTTTTTTAATTTTTGCTCTGTTTCTCACACTTGAGGCTTTTCTGAAATTCACCAAAAGAGTTTTGGCAGTTGTGGGGAATTTACCAGAACCCCCCATTATTAAAACAATTGGTTTCTTATATTAAAATCATCAGACAGGTTTTGTGTACACAGACATTTATGTTAAGCCACTGATAGAACTAAACTGTGTGTAGGAACCTGTTTTCTCTAAGAAAGGACTCCTTTGAGTTCTGTAGGATATGTGCTTAAAGGTTTTCTGTGTCAAGCTATTTTATGAAATAAAATTTTACAAACAATGAAGCTTCATTTTCACACGTTGTATTTGTTTAATGCAGACTTGGCCTATACGAGTTTTTGAAATTAAGGGTTTTTTCCGTAAAACTAGCTTAGGAGTTTAATGAGTCACTGTGTCTCTCACCTCTGTAGGATGAGCACAGAGATCACATTTGAGAAGCAGGTGTGGGTGTTTTCTGCTGGTCACGTCTCCTCTGCCTCTCCTCTGGCTCAGCAGTTACTTTTCCTCAGTCATGGGGGCTGCATTCAGCTGCGATGCCAGCATTAGGGCCAAGCTCTCCCGCTTCTGTGACGTTTTATTACACGTACTCTTTATCAGTAGTAGCTGCCATTCCCTGAGTGTTCCTCCCACCGTGCACTGAGAAGGGCTGAGGATTTCCGAACATCAACCTCCTCTAATTCTCTGTATGGGAATTAGATTTTTATCATCCTGACTGTTGGGGCTTTCTAGAGCTCAGGCAACTTGCCCCTGGGCGGGATGGAGCCTGCCTGGGGGGAGTGTGAATGAGGCTTCTGTTGTCTGTGGCTTGGCTCTCTGTGGTTGGAAACTTCAGAAGCAGTAGATTCCAGGTGCAACATTTGGTGCCCGGACAAGTTGTAAAACCTGACCTTGGGGAGGGCCTTCACTGGCAGCCAGTGTCCACCCGTGAGCCCGGTGAGCACAGACGTTAGAGCCAGGGCCGGCGGGCTCAGAGGTTGGAGCCGGGGACCAGTGGGCTCAGAGGTCGGAGCCGGGGACCAGTGGGCTCAGAGGTCGGAGCCATGTCCCTGCCGTGAAGCTCTGAGGGTTGGTGGTGACATCAGGGGCGATTGTGGCATCGCGATTGTGGTGTCTTGGCTGCCTTTGGCCGGCGCTGCCACTGCCCTGGTTTCATGACGTAGGCACCACATGGTCCTGTGTTGTCTCACTTACGGCTCCACTTCTGGCTTTTTTCTACTTGCTCACCCTTGAGATAAACTTCTATTTCATTTTCATTTCGGTTTATATGTGGGTTTTCTTCCAGGTCTGATGTTAAGCCTATAATATTGCAATGTGATGTTTTGAAGTTAAGGTGTAATAGAGCCAGTGAACCAAGGGTTCACACCCCAGTGAAATACAAATATTCAGAATTGAGCCACTGTGTTGCCATACTGATTATGTAATGTGTGATTAACAAGTATAATGTGTCACTTTCAACATCAGTTTCATGCCAAAGTTGCATTTTATTAGATTATTTGGGAGTTCACTTTGGGCCCAAAGGCTCGTGTCTACATAATAATAACTTATGATTTTTCTTTTTGTCTTTGTTTTATTTTTTGTTTTGTGTTTTTTGCTTTCTAGACCATGCCAGAGTAATCTCAGCTTTCTTTAGTTACTGGATCACACATATCCTTCCTGAGAAGAGCAGTGACTAAAATGGAATATCTCTTTAAGAACAGCTCCTCTT